>NC_000011.10:108081515-108384545 GCF_000001405.40 Homo sapiens
GCCGAGGCGGGCAGATCACAAGGTCAGGAGATCGAGACCATCCTGGCTAACATGGTGAAACCCTGTCTCTACTAAAAATACAAAAAATTAGCCAGGCGTGGTGGCGGGCACCTGTAGTCCCAGCTACTCGGGAGGCTGAGGCAGGAGAATGGTGTGAACCTGGGAGGCAGAGCTTGCAGTGAGCTGAGATGGCGCTACTGCACTCCAGCCTGGGTGAGAGTGCGAGTCTCCGTCTCAAGAAAAAAATCAGTTGGCTATGATGTATGTGTTTATTTTTGAATGCTTAGTTCAGTTCTATTGGTTTATATATTTGTCCTTATGCTGGTGCCACATCGTTGTGATTTACTGTAGCCTTGCGATAAGCTTTAAAAGCAAGATGTGTGCATGTTTCAAGTTGGTTCTTTTTCAAGATCATTCTGGCTATTTGGGTTCCCTTCTAATTCCATATGAATTTGAGAATCAGCTTTTCCATTTTTGTGAAAAAGACCTTTGGAATTTTGATAGGAAATGCATTGAATTGTATTAATGTTATGTCTCCCAATTATGAAAATGGAATTTCTTTTTATTTGTTTTTTGTTTTTCTTTCAGCAGTGTTTTACAGCTTTCAGTGTACAAGTCTTCCACATTCTTGGTTAAATTTATTCCTTGGTATTTTCTTTGGATGCTGTTGTAAATTGAATTGCTCTTCCTTCCTCCCTCTTTCCTTTCTTTTCCTTCCCCTTCCCCTTCCCTCCCTTTCCCTTCCCCTTCCTTCTTCTCTCTTTCTTTCTGTTTTTTTTTTTTTAAGACAGGGTCCACTGTGTCACCGAGGCTGGAGTGCAGTGGCGCAATCATGGCTCACTGCAGTGTTGCCCTCCTGAGCTCGAGTAATCCTCCCACCTCAGCCACCTGAGTAGCTAGGACCACAGGTTCAGGCCACCACACCTGGCTATATTATTTTTTGTAGAGACAGTCTCTCACTGTGTTGACCAGGCTGGTCTTGAACTCCTGGGCTCAAGTGGTTCTCCCACCTTAGCCCCTCAAAGTGCTAGGATTACGGGCAGGAGCTACCATGCCCAGCCTGGAATTGTTTTCTTAATTTTCTTCTGGATTGTTCCTTGCTGGTGTATAAAAACACAACTGATTTTTTTTTCTGTTTCTTTTTTTTCAGACAGGGTTTCACTCTGTCACCTAGGCTGGAATGCAATGGCATGATCACAGCTCACTGCAGCCTTCGCCTCCTGGGCTCAAGCCTCCACCTTCTGAGTACCTGGGACTAAGGGCCATACCACCATGCCCGGCTAATTTTTTTTTTTGAGACAGGGTCTTGCTGTGTTGCCCAGTCTGGTCTTGAATTCCTGGGTTCAAGTGAGCCTCCTGCCTCTGCCTCTCAAAGTGCCAGAATTACAGGCATGAGCTACCATGCCCAACCACAAATAATTTTTATGTGTTGATTTTGTACTTTGCAGCTTTCCTCAGTTTATTTATTGGCTCAGATACCTTTTTTGTAGATTCTTTCAGCTTTTCTGTATATAAGATCATGACATCTGCAAATAGAAATACTTTTACTTCTTCCTTTCCAGTTTGGTTCTATTTTCTTTTCTCTGACTAATTGCTCTGACCGGAACGTCTACTACAGTAACAAATGGCAGGGGTGAATTCAGGCATCCTTGTCTTATTCCTGATTTTAGGGTGCTCACTCTTAGTCTTTTGCCATTATATTGTTTTATGTTGGTTTTCCATAACCTCACTATGCTGAATAGCAGTTTGGCACTCTGTCTGGTAGATATACTATAGCTTATTTAACTGGTCCTTTACTGCTGCATTAAGTAGTTTCCGATGTGTTGCTATTACTGTTAGTGCTACAGAGGATAATATTGTACATTGAATATTTGTGAATCTTTATCTACAAGATAGAGTCCCAGAAGTGAGGATTGCTGGGTTTCTCTTAGTTTTCTGATTCTAAGGTGACTATGTCCTACTTTTAGCTCCACATTAAAGTAGAACATTTCTAGGCTGGGTGCCATGGCTCATGCCTGTCATCTCAGCACTTTGGTAAGCCAAGGTGGGAGGATTGTTTAAGGCCACGAGTTTAAGACCAGTCAGGGCAATGTAGTGAGACCCATCTCTACAAAATGTTTTAAAAATTAGACGAGCATGATGGTGCGTGCCTGTAGTCCTAGCTATTCAGGAGGATTGTTTGAACCCAGGAGGTCAAGGCTGCAGTGAGCTATGATGGCACCACTGTACTCCAGTCTGGGCAACAGAGTGATACCCTGTCTCAAAGTAGAAAATTTCTGTGGAGTAGAGTAAGTATCATTAGCTGATCCAGGCAGTAGAATAGGTGGTGTGGCTATTGGAGGTGTGGAGGAGGTGATGTTCTAGAACAAGCTTGTCCAACCCTGCGGGCTGCATGCGGCCCAGGACGGCTTTGAACGTGGCCCAACACACACATTTGTAAACTTCCGTAAAACATTATGAGATTTTTTGGCGATTTTTTTTCTTTAGCTCATCATCTGTCATTAGTGTTAGTGTATTTTATGTATGGCCCAAGACAGTCCTTCTTCCAGTGTGGCCCAGGGAAGCCAAAAGATTGGACACCCCTGCTTTAGAAGAATAAACTGATAGTAGCATCCAAGTTATTTGGGAGACTTGCTTCTGAGGAGGAGTGGAGTAGTTTGTGGTAGACCAGTGCTGCTGCTGAGAACAACTAGAAAATCAGGTAAATGTAAAAAATAGTAATTTCATGTTATTTAAGAGCTATAGAAACAGCTATGACGAAGGATTGAAATGTACAGAAATGCCAGATAAACCTTTCAGAGGTTACTTGAGGATTTGTAACTGTGTTTCCCTAAGGAGACGCAGCAGCTGAGAATGTAGTTTTGGCCTAGGCTAAGCAATACTGCTGGGGGGCAGTAGATGTTTTGGTGGTCACACAGGACTGGAGTAACAAAACCCATTGGACACTGAATTGAAAGTCCAGGAGGGACATATCTTCGATTCAGTGGCTAACCCTGGAGATGGACTGATTCCCTTTCATAGCAAAGGATGAACCCATTCTTAATGCAAGATAACATCATCTTGTTCTTGTGTGATTCTTATATATACAGTGTCCAGTATTCAGTACAACATTACTAGTCCTATGAAGACAGATAAATTAATGACTTAACTAAAAGAAAAATCATTTTAGAAGCGATCTCAGGTGATCCTGATGTTGGAGTTAGCACATAAGGACTTTAATTAATTAAGATTAATAGCTTAACCACAATGAGCTATCACTTCATACCCAGTAGGATGACTAAAATAAAAAGGACAGATATAACACGTGTTGGTAAGGATATGGAAAAATTGGAATCATATTGTTGGTGGCACAGCTGCTGTGAAAACAGTTTGGTTGTTCCTCAAGAAGTTCAACATAGGCTGGTCCAAGTGCAGTGGTGTTTACAACTAATTAATCACAACCATTTACAGATGTAGTTGTTCCTTCTCCACTCCCACTGCTTCACTTGACTAGCCTTTCAAAACAAACAAAAGAAGGTCAACAGAGTTGCTGTATGGCCCAACTGTTCTACTCTGAGGTGTATACCAAAGAGAAATGAAAACATACTTTCATTCAGAAACATGCTCATAAATGTTCATAGTAGAGTGGCATTACTCTTAATAGTCAAAAAGTGTAAACAACCCAAATATCCATTAGTTGCATAGATAAGCAAAGTATGCTGTATCCATACAGTGGAATATTATTCAGTTCTAAGAAATGAATTATTATTCTGCTATATGCTACAAGGTAGATGAACCTTGAAAACATGGTGATTCAAATAAGCCAGACACATAAGGACAAATTTTGCATGAATATGGTTGTATGAGGTATCAAGAACAGGGAAATCCATTGAGACAAAAAGTAGAATAAAAGTTACCAGGGGATGGGGAAGGGGGGGATGGGAAGTTACTGTTCCATGTATACAAGATTTCTGTTTGGGATAATGAAGAAGTTCTAGAAATAGATAGCGGTGATGTTTGTACAGCATTGTGAATGTACTTAATGCCACTAAATTTTACACTTAAAAATTATTAAAATGATAAATCTTTTTTACTCTTAGTAAAAGATATGTGTTAAAAAAGGAATGAACTACTGGTACATGCTGTGACACATGGATGAATCTTGAAAACTTGATGCTAAGTAAAAGAAGTGGGTCACAAAATACCACTTATTGTATGATAACATTTATCTGAGATACCCAGAATCAGCACATCCATAGAGTAGACTAGATGTTGCCCAGGCCTGGGAGGTGAGAGGAGGATAGCTAGAGAATGGGATTTGACTGCTGGCAGGTGTGGGGTTTCTTTTTGGGGTAATGAAAGTGTTCTAAAATTTTATTATGGTGATGATTACGCAACCCTCTGAATATACTTTAAAAGCACTGAATTGTACATTTTAAGTGAGTGAATTGTATGGTTTGCGAATTATATATCAGTAATTATTAATAAGCTTAGATAATAAATAGCAATGAAGATATAATACATATTAATGGATAGATGGAAATTGTTATCTGAGGAAAGAAAGTGTCTAAAACCATATATAATTGGAGTCATAGAGCATAGAAAAGAGGGTATTAACCAATATTTGAAATGGTATTGACTAAAATTTTCCAAAATTGATTTAAGATTTAAGGGTGTCTGTGAATCCCAAGTGGGATAAATACAAATTAAACCATTCCTAGGTACATCATAGTAAAACAGCTTACAACTGAAAACAATAATAAAACTTTTAAAACAGCCACGGGGGAAAAATAACACACTACCTTCAAAGTAACAATATAAGACTAATAGCTAGCTTGTAATCCCAGCTAGTTGGGAGGCTGAGGAATGAAGACTGCTTGAGCCCAGGAGTTCAAGACCAGCCTGAGCAATGTATCTAGATGTCCATATCAAAACAAAAATAAAAACTGATAGCTGTCCTCTTGATAGGTTGAATGAAGGAGGGAGGTAGATCACTTTGATTGTTACAGTAGTTCACACCTGAGCCAGGCATTGCAAGGAGAGATGGATGGATTCTCATTAAGTTAGTGGAGTATGGCTACCTAAGGGAATACAGAAAGACTTCCCTAGAGCATGCCAGTATGGATACTTTCAAGGGAAATCCATTTCTAAATTTTCAACTTCCACATTCACTCTTTTCTAAAATTCCACCCTGTGATGGAAGTATCACAGCAGTTTTTCCTTTCTGTTTCTTTCACAATTACCCATTCCCAGTTTGCAAAGAAAGGCATACCTCTCTTGATTCTTACTGTGGTGCTTTGCCTCAGAATGTAGCAGCCTTCAGATGGCCTAAGACAGGAATATTTTGAAATACTGGTATTGATGTACATAGAATTCATTTTTAATGAGTTAGGTATCAGATCCTAGTCAGATAGTTTCTACTTCTTTGCTTTCAGCACAATTGATGTTAGCTATTATTTTTGTGTTCTCTTTTTATTTTATTTTTTTCATTCCTCACCTAACTGGTAGATGTTAGCCATTCTTTAAAGATGGATCATTAAAAATAAATTTTAATATTAGATCAGTATGGATTTTTTTGTTTTGCAAATGGCTCAGGAGGTGTTCAAATAATTGAATGATATAATAAGAAAAACATATTCTAGTCTCATCTACTTATTTATGTGAATAAGACTTCTCAGGGCAAAGACATACATTTATACAAATAAAAGAAATTATGCTGATTCCTGGATTTATAATTGGGAGGAAAAAAGTTTCATCCACCCCACTAAGAGTTGATGCATCCAGTAAAATTTTACATATGCATATATTTTATGTATGTGTATGCACGATGTAATTGTTGTTTGGATTATTTGTATACTTAAAATTTGGATAGCTCAATCCTTGGAAAACAATACTTGAATTTTATAAGCACAAGAAATTTCAAAATCTTCAATTTAAATTTATTTACATATATTTTTAGAGAAGTAGGATTAAAAAATAAATGTAAGACTTTCAAGCATGAAAATACAATATACTGCTGGGTGCAGTGGCATGCACCTGTAGTCCCAGCTACTCAGGAGGAGTCCAGCCTGGACAATATAGATAGTGAGACCTTGTCTGA
The DNA here is from genome assembly GCF_000001405.40 of Homo sapiens. Taxonomy (NCBI): domain Eukaryota; kingdom Metazoa; phylum Chordata; class Mammalia; order Primates; family Hominidae; genus Homo; species Homo sapiens. The sequence continues at coordinate 108,087,595 of NC_000011.10, forward strand.
ATTTAAAAAATTTTTTAATTTGTGTATGTTTGTGTCTCAGTTATTTTTTAAAAAAACAATATGCTCTGTTTAAATTGTTATCAGGAGCCAGGTGCGGTGGCCCACGCGTATAATCCTAGCACTTTTTTGGGAGGCCGAGGCAGGTGGATCACCTGAGGTCAGAAGTTTGAGACCAGCCTGGCCAACATGGCAAAACCCCATCTGTGCTAAAAATTCAAAAATTAGCCGGGCATGGTGGCGGGCACCTGTAATCCCGGCTGCTCTGGAGGCTGAGGCAGGAGAATCGCTTGAACCCGAGAGGCAGAGGTTGCAGTGAGCCAAGATGGCATCATTGCACTCCAGTCTGGGGGACAAGAGCAAAACTCCATCTCAAAAAAACTAAAAAAAAATTTGTATCAGGAAAGTGAAATGGAGATACAAATTCTTTATTGCTTAGGAAGAATTCATTTATAGTTTTTTTTTTAATGCATGATGGTATATATATCATCATTATGGAATGTAGGTTATATTGGATACATTTTAAAGAGTGAAATAACAGTTTTAATATATTAATCATAAAAAGTTTTAAATGTTAACATAAATATCCAAGAATTTAACAGTTTTTCTAAAGTATTTTAACAGATTTCTGAAAAAAAATTTTAATTATCATTGCCAAGGTCAGCACTAGGGTGAGGCAAGAAGGCACCTAGAGTGCAAAATTGAAGAAGGTTCTTACTCTCAGGATTCTGCAAGTGCAGCATCAGCACTTAGGGGAACGTAAAAGTGAGTGCCTCCCTAAATTAGGCACCCTAGGATGCTTGCTTATCCTAGTTCCAAACCTGATCACTAGATTATTTAACATGAGAAATTCGCTTGTGAATCATTGACTTTAGAAAAAAATAATTGCAAACATTAATCATTTTTCCATCAACTGCTTTTAATTTGTTTTTTAGGGTGGGATTAAAAACTCAGCCTGAATCAAAATGCCCTGAGCTGCTTGCCAATTACTGTGACATGTTGCTAAGAAAAACACCATTAAGCAAAAAACTAACCTCTGAAGAGATTGAAGCAAAGCTTAAAGAAGTGGTACATGAATTTTTTGTATTTCAACTTTTAAAATTACCTTACTTTGAATTTGTGTTTTGCTTATAGGACTTTCTGTGATAGTATCAATTTAAAAATGTATTATCTGTAAAGAACTAATGTTACGAAGATTTGCAGTGCAAGACCTCTCGGGGGGTTATTTTTCTTTCTGAAAATTTTTATTCTACAGCTTCTTGAAAGGAATACCATTTAATTCCTCTCCTTTCTTGGTTATTTTTAGGAATTAAGTTCTAGCTACTAATACAGGACATATCATTCCAACAAATTTGGAATGATAGTTGACAGATTGGGAGTTTTTCACTCCTTCCTTTTTGTGAGAGTCCAAGATAGATAGCAAGGGATGAATGAGAGTAGATTAAGTAGTTGTTTTCATCTTTGTCACCCAGTTGTTAGTGTAATGATGTAAGCCCAGGAATACAAACAAGAAAAAAAATAAGATATTGGGCAAGTGTAGACAGAAAGGCCGAGAGAGATGACTAGTGTCAGAAAAAAAAGTGAAAAAGATAAGTAGAAGAGACACTTTGCAGGGGGACATTGATTTTTTTCATGTAAAGTATATCGTTGCATTTTATACAAAATCTAAAAAACTGATATTTAGACCGACTAACAATTTGGTTATAGTCTCAGTTTTGCTAACCTTTAAAGTAGTGTATCAGGACTGGGTATTTCTCAGAGATGGATAATTCAGTAGGCCTCTATCTGTATATGCTCATAAAAGTTTCTGACTTGTGACAATTGGTGGATATAGAAAGGTCTAAATTCGAGAGATGGTAAGAGTATATAAGAACTGAAAGTAACTTTATTTTTCATACAGCTCTTGGTACTTAAGTATGTACAGAACAAAGATGTTTTTATGAGGTATCATAAAGCTCATTTGACACGACGTCTTATATTAGACATCTCTGCCGATAGTGAAATTGAAGAAAACATGGTAGAGTGGCTAAGAGTAAGTAAATTTTTTTAAATATTTGGTTTTCTAATACATTACATCATTTATATGTGTGCTTAAGTAATACATTTTGGAGATATTGTTAATGTCAAAGAAGTAGGAAACATTTTATAAGAATATAGCGTCAGTTAGGCCGGGCGCACTGGCTCATACCTGTAATCCCAGCACTTTGGGAGGCCGAGGCAGGTGGATCACCTGAAGTCAGGAGTTCAAGACTAGCCTGACCAACATGGCAAAACCGCGTCTCTACTAAAAATACAAAAATTAGCTGGATGTGCTGGTGCACTCCGGTAATTCCAGCTGCTTGGGAGGCTGAGGCAAGAGAATCACTTGAACCCAGGAGGTGGAGGTTGCAGTGAGCCAAGATCGTGCCATTGCACTCCAGCCTGGGTAACAGAGTGGGACTCCATTTCAAAAAAAAAAGAATATACCATCAATTATATAAAATAAAGTGATATCTAATAAATGTTCTTAATACTTTCAGTAAAGTATCTTTGTTCTTGAGTTGTTTCTACTGTTTCACTCCCATTTGTACCTCAACTCTCATTTAAACTGACCTTATTAATAAATAGACTACAGGGGCTGGGCACGGTGGCTCACACCTATAATCCCAGCACTTTGGGAGGCCAAGGCAGGTGGATCACAAGGTCAGGAGATCGAGACCATCCTGGCTAACACAGTGAAACCCAGTCTCTATTAAAAATACAAAAAAATTAACGAGGCGTGGTGGTGGGGGGCCTGTAGTCCCAGCTACTTGGGAGGCTGAGGCAGGAGAATGGCATGAACCCTGGGGGGCGGAGCTTGCAGTGAGCTGAAATCGAGCCACTGAACTCCAGCCTGGGTGACAGAGCAAGACTCCATCTCAAGAAAAATAAAATAAATAAATAGACTGCAGGACAAATTATTATATCTTTAAGGTATTTTCAGTACTAAATGCTTAACTTTAGAGATGTTTATAAATGATAACAATAAATACTTCTGTATAGCAAAAAGAACCTTTAAATGATGGCCTATTTAGGGTAATCAATGCTGATTATAACTAAATTCCCATATAAAGTATTTTGAGTTCTTTTTTTGTTTTAATTATTAAAGTAAATATCTTTAATTTCTGTGTATGTATATAACTCTCTCCACATATATATGGAGAGAGAGAGAGTGCGAGCAAGCACACACGAGAGAGACCTACAGATATTTTAACTTATAGCTAGCCCTTCGCATGGAACTTTAGGATAGTAAAAATTACTGTGCTAACTGAAACTGCTTAGTAGGAAAAAGAATGATTATTCTGTGACTTTTTAAAACTATTGTCAAAAGACTCAAAACTCTTACTGTCACTTATAAGTATATAGGAAAAAGGGGAAAATAGCAAAACTAATACATATTTACTACGAGAAACCTTTAGAATTAAATTTTCTTTCTTTCTTTCTTTTTTTCTTTTTTTTGGAGATGTAGTCTTGCTGTGTTACCCAGGCTGGATTGCAGTGGTGCAATCTTGACTCACTGAAACCTCTGTCTCCCAGATTCAAGCAATTCTCCTGTCTCAGCCTCCTAAGTAGCTGGGACTACAGGTTTGTGCCATGACGCCTGGCTAATTTTTGTATTTTTAGTAGAGACACGGTTTTGCATGTTGGCCAGGCTGGTCTTGAAATCCTGGTCTTAAGTGATCCGCCTGCCTCGGCCTCCCAAAGTACTGAGATTACAGGCGTGAGCCACCACACCCGGCCTATGTTATTTCTTTGTTAAAAAAAAAATATCAAGACCCAACAGTAAAATGACAAACAAGGCTAGGCATGGTGGCTCACACCTGTAATCCCAGCACTTTGGGAGGCTGAGGAGGGCAGATGGCTTGTGCTCAGAGTTTGAGATGAGCCTGGGCAACGTGGTGAAACCCCATCTCTACAAAAATTTAAAAAATTAGCTGGGTGTGATGGCATGCACCTTAGTCCCAGCTGCTTGGGAGGCTGAGGTGGGAGGATCGCCTGAGCCTGTGAGGTGGAGGTTGCATTGAACAGAGATCTTACCACTGTACTCCTGCCTGAGCAACAGAGTCAGATCCTGTCTCTCTCACTCACACACACACACACACACACACACACACACACACACGACAAATAATTAAAAGCAGGCAAAGGATTCGAATTGACATCTCTTCACAGAAGATAGACAGATGGCCAATAAGTGCATGCAAAGATACTCAACATCATTAGTCATTAGTGAAATGCAAGTGAAATGCTCAACATGTTGGCTCCTGCTTATCCCAAATATTTTGAAAGGCTGAGGTGGGAGGATTGCATGAAGCCAGGAGTTAGAAACTACCCTGGGCAAAATAACAATACTCCATGTCTACAAAAAATACAGAAATCAGCTAGGCATGGTGATGTGTGCCTGTGGTTCTAGCTACTCAGGAGGCTGAGATGGGATGATTGCTTGAGCCCAGAAGTTCAAAGTTGTAATGAGCTGAGATTGTGCCACTGCACTGCAGCCTGGGCAACAGAGTGAGACCCTTTCTCAAAAACAAAAAAAACACAAAGAGATACTACTTTATTCCCACTAGGGTAGCTAAAATAAAGACAGATGATAACAAATGCTAGTAAGGAAGAGGAGAAATTGGAACCTTCGTAAGTTGCTAGTGGAGACATAAGATGGTGCAGACACTTTGGAAAACTGTTGGGCAGTTCCTTAAAATGTTGAACGTAGAGCTGACCCAGCAATTTCACTCTTAGGTAATTCATTTGAAGAGAAATGAAAACATGTTTCATGTAAAAACTTGTAAACAAATGTTCATGGCAAGATTACTAATAATAGTCAAAAAGTGGAAACAACCCAAAATGTCAGTGAGCTAATGAATAAAATGTGATTTATCCATACAATGGAATATTTTTTGTGATAAAAAGGAATAAACTAATAATACATGCTGCAATATTAGGTGAACTTTGAAAACATAATGCTGAGTGAAAGAAGCCAATCCCAAAGACCATATCGTATGATTCCACTAATGTGAAGTGTCCAGAATAGGCAAATCCACAAATTCCAGGAGTTGGGGCCAGGAGGGGAAATGACGAGTGACTGTAAATAGTATGGGGTTTCTTTTTGGGGTGATGAAAATGTTCTAAAATTAGATAGTGGTGATGGTTGCACAGTTCTGTAGATATACTAAACTTCATTACACTGTATATTTTATTTTTATTTTTATTTTTTATATTTTTTTGAGACAGAGTCTCACTTTGTTGCCCAGGCTGGAGTGCAGTGGTGCGATCTTGGCTCACTGCAACTTCTGCCACCCAGGTTCAAGCGATTTTCCTGCCTCAGCCTCCTGAGTAGCTGGGATTACAGGCGCATGCCACCATGCCCAGCTAATTTTTGTATTTTTAGCAGAGATGGGTTTCACCATGTTAGCCAGGCTGGTCTTGAACTCCTGACCTCAGGTGATCCACCCGCCTCAGCCTCCCAAAGTGCTGGGATTACAGGCATGAGCCCAGCCAAATTGTATACTTTAAAATAGTAGATTTTATGGTAGATAAATTATCTGACACAGTAAAGCTGTTAATAAAGAGTAGTTTGAATAGCTTTTGCCTTCTTGTGTAACTTGACAGAGTAAGCATCTTTTCTTTGCCTTGGAGAGTTGTCACACCCCCTGTAATTTGGATGATCTTCTAGCATTTTATCTTTTGGGCTGTCAGTGTCATGAAATACTGAGAATTCCTTTATAGCATTTTTGCCAGGATCACTTCTTCTAGGGTATCTTATCTTTTTTGTCACTCACCACTTTTATCTTTTATGTTGGTAATTTGCTTTCACTAAGTTCCTCAACACTGGCATTGTCAGCCTTACTACCACAGTCAGCTTTCTTCTATAACTCCATTTATGTTCTATTTTATTTTCATTTCCAGCATTATCACTTTTCATTTCCTGTTTACTTTTATATCTTTGCCAATTATCTTGTTTGATTATTCTTTTTTGTAAGTAGTCATGTGGGTTTATTACTGGAAGACAAGGATGCAATGAAACTGCATACTTTGCTGTCTGCAGTTTAACTGAATAAACAAATGACTAATAGGTTGTGTTTACATTTTTTAAAAATTTATTTATTTAATTTTTTCAAGCAACAGGATCTTCTGTTGCCCAGGCTGGAGCGCAGTGACACAATCAGAGCTTAAACTCCTGGGCTCAAGCAATCCACCCACCTCAGCCTTCCGAGTAGCTGGGACTATCTCGGCAGTATGCCGCCATATCCTGCTAACTTTTAAAATTTTTTTGTAGTGATGGGGGTGTCACTGTGTTGCCCAGGCTGGTCTTAAAATCCTGGCTTCAAGTGATCCTCCTGCTTCAGCCTCCCAAAGTGCTAGGATTACACACCATGCCAACTAATAGATTTTGAAAGAAGTATTGTGGTTAGTCATTGTTACTTTTGTCATGATTTGTGGATCAAAGAGCTAGAAATAAAGTTTTTACTTCATGCAGTTAAATTTATTATATAGTGTCAACTGAAAGTTGAGCTTTGTTCTTGGGGAATTGGTATTATTTAACTGTACTGTGGTAACTGAAATTCATACATACTAAAAATGCGCAAAGCAGGGACCCCTTGTAATACCGTATTTTGTTTCTAAGTAGCAAATTTCATAGGTATTAGACAATAAAATTCTAATAAATGAGAAAAATTTTGTATTAAAACATTTAAGACTTAGTTTTTCTATTAAAATTTTTCCCAGTAATATATCAGATTATGTATTTATTACCTCTTCCTTCTTTGGTTTATATTTATAGGAAGTTGGTATGCCAGCGGATTATGTAAACAAGCTTGCTAGAATGTTTCAGGACATAAAAGTATCTGAAGATTTGAACCAAGCTTTTAAGGAAATGCACAAAAATAATAAATTGGCATTACCAGGTATTATTTTATAATTACATGTATATATTTTTTAAACTTAGAAGAATATCTTTGTTTTCCAGTAAATTAAAAATAAACCTCAGCAGTAATAGATCGAAAGATGTTATGAAGTCCATTTCCGTGGAGACAGCTATCAAAGCAGTGTGTTAGATTTACAGATCTTTATTTCAAAACAAAAGGACACTTTTAACAAAATCTTTATAGTCTTATTGATTTTTCACCCAAAGTTACCCTGTATTTATTTTGAATTTTATCCATTGTTAATTTACTTTATATTCCTGATATTCTTCTCTATAGCTGATTCAGTTAATATAAAAATTCTGAATGCTGGCGCCTGGTCAAGAAGTTCTGAGAAAGTCTTTGTCTCACTTCCTACTGAACTGGAGGACTTGATACCGGAAGTAGAAGAATTCTACAAAAAAAATCATAGTGGTAGAAAATTACATTGGCATCATCTCATGTCAAATGGAATTGTAAGTAGATAGTGTGTTAGTTATTTCAGCTTTCAGTTTGGATGAAAGTAGCAGGACTCCGCAGAATTGCTTAAACAAAATAGATTTTTGCCTCTCTCACATGTAAAAGTTTGAGCAGAAATAGTGAATTTTTTTCATGAAGTTGATAGGGACATAGGCTTCTGGTTATACCATCATACTTAAGATACTGCCGTTGTCTACAGAATTCAACATGATCCCAACTATCTCAGTATTCCTGGCAACAGAAAGCAAAAGGTGAGGGTAGCTTACACCTTTCATTAGGGACAACTTCTAGAAGTTTCCTCTGTCATTTTCCATTTGCATCCGCCAGTACTCAGTCACTTGGCCACATTTTGTTACATGGAAAGCTGGGAGATGAGCGTGTATTCTGGGCAGTCATTAACGTCTTCTAAAATGTTTATTACTGTGAAAGAGTGGATACTGGAAGACAGCAACCTTTTTCATATATAAATTCATGTCATAGATATTAAGAGAGAATCATCATGAGATTCTTTATTAAAAATCTGTTTTATCTATTATAGATAACATTTAAGAATGAAGTTGGTCAATATGATTTGGAGGTAACCACGTTTCAGCTCGCTGTATTGTTTGCATGGAACCAAAGACCCAGAGAGAAAATCAGCTTTGAAAATCTTAAGCTTGCAACTGAACTCCCTGATGCTGAACTTAGGAGGACTTTATGGGTTGGTTTATGTTTTTTTGTTTTTAAGACTGTATCCTCTCATGTAGCAGGAAATATATGATTGGCTTGTAATATATTAGTAAATTCATAACAGTTTCAGAATGTCTTATCAAGAAAAATAGAGGCCGGGCACAGTGGATCACGCCTGTAATCCCAGCACTTTGGAAGGCCGAGGTGGGCAGATCACTTGAGGTCAGGAGTTCGAGACCAGCCTAGCCAACATAGTGAAACCCCATCTCTACTAAAAATACAAAAATTAGCTGGGCGTGGTGGTGGGCGCCTGTAATCCCAGCTACTTGGGAGGCTGAGGCAGGAGAATCGCTTGAATTCAGGAGGTAGAGGTTGCAGTGAGCCAAGATTGCGCCACTACACTCCAGCCCAGGCAACAGAGTGAGAACTCCGTCTGAAAAAAAAAAAAAATTATGCACACACACACACACACGAGATATTTATGGAAAAAATAAATTGCAAATAGGCAAGTTACCAAGGCAGAGAAAAGTGCTTCAAAAAAAAGGAGAGGCTGGGGCAGTGGCTCATGGCTGTAATCCCAGCACTTTGGGAGGCCAAGGTGGGAGAAGAGGATTGCTTGAACTCAGGAGTTTGAGACTAGCTAGGCAACATAGTGCAATCCCATCTCTAAAAAAAAAAAAAAAAAACAAATTAGCCAGCTTGGTGGCTGTATCCCCAGCTACTTGGAAGGCTGAGGTGGGAAGATTGCTTGAGCCCAGGAGGATGCAGTGAGCCACAATCACACCACTGCACTCCAGCCTGGGCAACATAGTGAGACCCATCTCAAAAATTTTTTTTTTTAAAAAAGAGAAAGATTGAGTTGGTATTTAAGTGTTACCTGTGAGGAATGTGACCAGCTATGTACTTTTTTTTTTTTTTTTTTTTTTTTTTTGAGACACTCTTGTCGCTCAGGCTGGAGTGCAATGGCGCAATCTCAGCTCACTGCAACCTCCGCCTCCAGGGTTTAAGCGATTCTCCTACCTCAGCCTCCCAAGTAGCTGGAATTACAGGCATGTGCCACCACACTCAGCTAATTTTATATTTTTAGTGGAGACGGGGTTTCACCATGTTGGTCAGGCTAGTCTCAAACTCCTGACCTCAGGTAATTTGCCCGCCTCGGCCTCCCAAAATGCTGGGATTACAGGCCTGAGCTACTGTGCCTCAGATACATACTTAATTTTTATACTGAGAATGTGTTCAAAGATTTTATGATAATCAAAAATCTAAAAACTTTGGTCTGTTTGAGGACTTGTAGATTGTACTCATTAGCCCCCTGCTCACAACTACATTTTATTACTACTCCATAGACCTCTTAAAAGTTCCAGGTTTTTTTGTTGAGACAGAGTCTTGCTCTGTCCTCCAGGTTGGAGTTCAGTGGCACAATCTCAGCTCACTGCAACCTCCATCTCCCAGGTTCAAGCGATCCTCCCACCTGAGCCCCCCAAGTAGCTGGGACTACAGGTGCATGCCCCACGCTGGCTAATTTTTGTATTTTCAGTAGAGACGGGGTTTTGCCGTGTTGCCCAGGCTGGTTTCAGACTCCTGAGCTCAAGTAATCTGCCTGCCTCAGCTTCCCAAAGTGCTGGAATTACAGGCGTGAGCCACTGCACTTGGCCTGAAGTTCCAAAATTAATTATTACCTATGGAGGAAATAGCTGGTATATAACTGGCAGATGGTGTTTACTATGGTCCTGTGTGACCAATCCCAGTTTCTTGTCTTACTGTAAAGAGAGCATTTATTGCTTTCTCATAACCAACTCTTTTCACCTCTTCTCTTTCCTCATTATGCATTCAAATGTTATATTCATGGAAGTACCACACATTTTAAGTTTGTGTTTGTAATCTTTTTCTTGCCTATGTTGATTATGTGGGAGAATTGATCTTAGTATTCCATACTGTTTATAGATGCTAATTGTTTTCTCCTTATTCTTCATAGTCTTTAGTAGCTTTCCCAAAACTCAAACGGCAAGTTTTGTTGTATGAACCTCAAGTCAACTCACCCAAAGACTTTACAGAAGGTACCCTCTTCTCAGTGAACCAGGAGTTCAGTTTAATGTAAGCTCGTTAGTTGATCTAAAATAAAAACACCTTGTTTGAATTTTAGCACTTTGTTTTTTGCAAAATAATTGTTTTCCTTACATTATATTTAAAACATTATATACTGTCATCACTCTAAACTTACATCATTTAGTTGTTTATGGAAAATATTAATCAGATGTTTACTTTTCTATATTTTTCATTGATACATTTTTGGTCTCTGACATTATACTGTATTGCATTTCATCTTTCAGGTTGATATCTTTTTGTGCTCTAAAGCAACTTTATTCAGAGAAAGCGTTTTTTGTGTTGTTTTGTTTCGTTTTTGTTTTTGTTTTTGTTTTTGTTTGTTAAGACCCAGTTAGGCAATAACACTGAATCCTAACCCATATATCTTCAATTAGCTAGTCACTTTCATGGCAATATAAAATATTAACTTTGTTTTTACAGAGAATGTAGTCACTTGTTTTATTAACAGGTTAGTTATCATGTTTAAGGAAAATACATAGAGTTTGTTTTAAAGCAATATGTAGGTTATTTGTCATTTAACCTTTAAACAGTTCTGATATTTTAGCATATTTTTAAATCTTTTCTCTCAGACATTGTTGCTATAATAGGATTTTTAAAGTGTTTTTCACCATAAAATACTTGATGCAATTCTTTTTGTAGAAAAAATGCAAAGGTTCAGAAAAGGGGTAAAATCAACTTGATTGGACGTTTGCAGCTCACTACAGAAAGGATGAGAGAAGAAGAGAATGAAGGAATAGTTCAACTACGAATACTAAGAACCCAGGTTTGTAATGTTGACAGAATGTCTGAAGTTTAAAAAAACTTTAGTTTTTTTTTTTTTTTTTTAAATTTTGAAATCTTTTTTGAATTTAAAAGCATGTAGGGGCTAAGTGCAGTGGCCCACACATAATCCCAACACTTTGGGATGCTGAGGCAGGATTTCTTGGGCAACAAAGTGAGATCTTGTCTCAATCAATTTTTTAAAAATATATTAAAAATTTCCATTCCAGTTGAAATATGAATTCCAGTTTCATATTCCATTGTAATGTGAAATTAGGAAACTTATTTAGAACCAAAAAAGTTCTCTAATATTCATTTCTTCTTTTAAAAACAGTTTAAAACTAGGATTAAGACCTTCTGAATATAATAAGTAACACCTACACATGATTGTTTTAATTTTAGAAATAGTCCTTTTAAAACCAAATTTTTCAACTTTTACTATTTTCATTTAATACTATTTGAAACTTCTGGCCAGTGTACTTTTTTTTTTTTTTTTTGAGACAGGGTCTCACTTTGTTGCCCAGGCTAGAGTGCAGTGGCACCATCTTAACTCACTGCAGCCTCAACTCCCTGGGCTCAAAGGATCCTCCCACCTCTGCCTCCGGATTAGCTGGGACCACAGGCATGCGCCACCACACTCAGCTAATTTTTGTATTTTTAGTGGAGACAGGGTTTTGCCATGTTGCCCAGGCTGGTCTCGAACTCCTGGGCTCAAGCAATATGCCTCCCTCGGCCTCCCAAAGTGCTGGGATTACAGGTGTGAGCTACCATGCCCAGCCCAGTGTACTTTTTAAAATATAAAACAAGACGAAAAGATTAAAAATGCATATTACCTATAGATCATGTAATAGGATAATGTGGCAGAGAAAAGATGAATGAATAAAAACCAATTGCATTTCTATGGGGCAATAAATAAAAGGAGAATAAAATAAGAAAAATACATACACATTTTTTAAAAAGTACTGTGTAGGAGCTGTATGAAAAGAGTGGCCCTTTACTGGGAGATTCAGAAGGAGAGTTGAATAAATAGAAAGGTTGAGCTCTTTTTTTGTTGCTAAAATTTTTAGTTGTAATTTAGACACAATGGAATGTATCTTTCAAAGTATAATTTTCAGTGAGTTGTGATAAATATATATACCTATGTGAACATTACCCAATTAAGATACAGAACATTTGTGTCACACCAGTCATCTTCCCATGTTTCCAGGCAGGCTCTCCGCCTACCCCAGCTGATTCTTATTACCATCACTTAGTTCTGCCAGTTCTAGGTTTTCATATAAATGGAACCAGACAGTATGTACTTTTATGTCTGACTTTTTTTGCTCAGCATGAAAAACTATATTCTTCCATTAAAGGTTGAATAACTTAAACAAAAAAAAAATTTTTTTTTTTTTTTAATGGACTCAAGCGATCCTCCTTCAGCCTTCCCAGTAGCTGGGACTACAGGCACATGCCACGGCACCTGGCAGCTAGGCTGAATAACATAAAAGATTGGTTTTTCTGATATTAATATCAAGTTCAAAATTTTAAAATTTCACATGAAAATTCAACTAGGAATATTTTTGGAATTTTACAAATTGTTTTTTATCAGAATAAATAAGAATGATTGAGAAACTTAAAAAAATAAAAAAAAGGTGGTAGTGGTGGAACTTGCCCTGCCAAATACGAAAATATTTTAAAAATCTGTAGTAATAAAACAGTATGGCAAGAAGATTAATTGAAGAAAATAACTTTAGGCTCGGCGCGGTGGCTCACACCTGTAATCCCAGCACTTTGGGAGGCCGAGGTGGGCAGATTGCCTGAGGTCAGGAGTTCAAGACCAGCCTAGCCAACATGTTGAAGCCCTGTCTCTACTAAAAATACAAAAACTAGCCAGCTGTGGTGGCGCATGCCTGTAATCCCAGCTACTTGGGGGTGCTGAGGCAGGAGAATTGCCTGAACCTGGCGGGCAGAGGTTGCAGTGAGCCTAGATTGCGCCACTGCACTCCAGCTTGGGCAATAGAGTGAGACTCCATCTCAAAAAAAGCAAACAAAAACAAACAAAAAACCTTACTCTGTAAGTATAGAAGAATTTATACAATAAAGGAAATAATTTCTATGACCTATGGAAAGAAAATGAATTATTCACTAAGTGGTGTTGGGAAATTTTTCTGTTTGGAGGAAAAGTAAGAAGATATTCGTAGCTATGCCAGGATAAACTCCTGGAGTAAAGAGTTGAAATGTGGCCAGGCGCGGTGGCTCACGCCTGTAATCCCAACACTTTGGGAGGCCGAGGCGGGTGGATCACAAGGCCAGGAGATCGAGACCATCCTGGCCAACATGGTGAAACCCCGTCTCTACTAAAATACAAAAAACTAGCCAGGTGTAGTGGTGCATGCCTGTGGTCCCAGCTACCCAGGAGGCTGAGGCAGGGGAATGGCTTGAACCTGGGAGGCGGAGGTTGCAGTGAGCGGAGATCGCGCCACTGCACTCCAGCCTGGCAACAGAGCAAGACTCCATCTAAAAAAAAAGAGTTGAAATGTATAAGCGGGTGTAGTCGTACGATAAGATGTGCAGAGAAATTGAAGTTCTTTTGTTTTGTCTTAATGTGACCCATAATTATGTACAATCCAATAATCTAAGCTGTCTTTAGGTAATGCTCAGACTTTATTTCCTCCTGATCCTACTCCATTCATCCTCATTCATTGCTATTTGCATAGGTGGCATCTGGATATATTGAGTGTGAGAGGGATTTGCTTGACTGGTAATGACAGTAAAGGGAGTGTCATATCTATGCAGTTATGACAGTGTCCTGGATTCTTGCTTTTGGCAGCTATGAAGTAGTTGATTATCTTTGGGAATTTGGCTTTCTGTTGGTAACTGCTGCTGTTGTCTACAGCAGATGAATTTATGGTTCATTCTTTTTCTAGTTGCTAAGGGCCCCATGGCCTCTTCCCTGCTCTCTTTCCCCTGCTCTTACTGAGCTCTTGAAGCCTCTGAGACTCCACTACATCTTCTGTGTGGCTCCTTGGCCTACATGGCACACTGTCATTGTTCTCTGCAGAATAATGACAGGATCACCTTGCCCTGTCATTAAAGGCCCTGTGGCAGGTCCATTAGCTCGAAACTCTTGCTGTCACACTTGGGAACTGAGGGAGAGTCAGAAGTGCAGATTATTTCCCTCATACTGTGCTACTCTTTAAGTGACCTCCAGCATATCAAATGGGGACCAGGGCCAGTGTCCCTCTGCTCTCTTTTCCTCTTAGGTTCTCTAACTACCACCTTCACCTCTATCTAAGGAGAAACTGGGATGTTTACAAATGCCTCTGCTTTTCCTCTGGGTTCCTGTAATCTTCAAGTGCCTGAAGGAACACACTTTCCTTCTTCCTTCTTCCTCTCTGAACCCCTGACATAAACCCCAATTTATGATGATCAGGAGCCTGGTATCTGAATACCATCAAGGGTGAGAGGAATTCACTTGACCTTCTGGTGTCATCATATCTTTTATTTATTTTTGTTTATTTTATTTTATTTTGAGACAGGGTCTCACCCTGTTGCCCAGGCTGGGGTGCAATGGTGTGATCTTGGCTCACTACAACCTCCACCTCCCAGGTTCAAATGATTCTCCTGCCTCGGACTCCTGAGTAGCTGGGATTAGAGGTGCTCGCCACCACACTGAGCTATTTTTTGTATTTTTTGTATTTTTAGTAGAGATGGGTTTCACCATGTTGGCCGGGCTGATCTCGAACTCCTGACTTCGTAATCCGCTCCCCTTGGCCTCCTAAAGTGCTGGGATTACAGGCGTGAGCCACCATGCCCGGCCTATTTTTCTATTCTTTTGAGACAGGGTCTCACTCTGTCACCCAGGCTGGAGTGCAGTGGTACAATCTCAGCTCACTGCAACCTCTGCCTTTCAGGCTCAAGTGATCCTCCTGACTCAGCCCCCTGCGTAGCTGGGACCACAGGCGCGTGCCACCATACCCAGCTAATTTGTTTTTGTATATTTTGTAGAGATGGGGTTTCGCCATGTTGCCTAGGCTGGTCTCAAACTCCACGACTCAAACGATCCACCCACCTCAACCTCCCAAATTGCTGGGATTGCAGGCATGAGCCACCCTCCCTGGCTGGTTATCATATCTATATAGGGGAAGTTGAAGGAGTTTTTCTCTTACTGAATAGTGCCTGACTCCCAAGTCTGTTGATTTGCAGCAAAATTATATTTTTAAACGTTAAAAGCAAATGTTACTTCTTTTTCTATTTTGACATTTCTTTTACAACAAACTCTAATCTGTGCTAAGATAGATATATGCCTTTTGTTTTGGAGACAGGGTCTCAGGCTGTGGTGCAGTGGTGTGATCTCAGCTTACTGCAACCTCCACCTCCCAGGCTCAAGCAATCCTCTTTCTTCAGCCTCCTGAATAGCGGGGACCACAGACACACGCCACCATGCCTGGCTAATTTTTGTATTTTTTATAGAGATGGGGTTTCGCCATGTTGCCCAGGCTGTTCTCAAACTCCTGGACTCAAGCAATCCACCCACATCACCCTCCCAAAGTGCTAAGATTACACACATGAGCCACCACACCCGGCATATACATGCCTTTTGTTGGGTAAAGAGAGAGCTGGTACTGGAAAAGGTAAAAGAGAAAAGAATATTTAATGATTTTCTGATAACTCTTATTGTAAACTTAACAGTAATTAAGGAAATCATCAAGAAAAATTTTGATAAAATGACCTAGATGAAAAAGATTTATTTCTTTAGAAACTTAAAAGTGACTGGGCATCGTGGCTTACACCTGTAATCCTAGCACTTTGGGAGACCAGGGCAGGGGAGTATTTGAGTCTGGGGGTTCAAGACCAACCTGGACAACATAGCAAAACCTTGTGTCTGTATTTAAAGAGAAGAAGGGGAAAAAAAAAACCTTAAAAACATTTAATTGAGTCAATATAAACTGAAGATAATATTTGTAGCAAATATAATTAATTAATCTGGTAAATATATAAAGAGTACTACTTAATGACTTTTAAAACAGACCCCACCTGACCTGTACTGCTATACAAAGAAATAACTGAATACAAGGGAAAAATTTGGTGTAAGGGGTTTGTTATATTTTAATTAATGTTTAACATGATACCAGGTTATATACACATTGTTTTCACAGGTAAGATAACTTTTAAGAATGTGAATGGCATGGGAAAAAAGGAATTGAAGGAAATAATATTAAAACATTAGGTGTAGTTTTCTTTCAGCAGAGAAGCAGAGGTAATTTTGCTTTTCCTTATTTTTCAAAATCTCTATAGTCAGATTTTTTTTAAATACATACTTTAAGTTCTGGGATACATATGCAGAATGTGCAGGTTTGTTACATGGGTATACACGTGTCATGGTCATTTGCTGCACCCATCAACCCGTCATCTACATGAGGTGTTTCTCCTAATGCTTATCCCTCCCCTATCCCCCCACCCCAATAAGCAGATTCTCTTTTATGGGGCATGAGAAAACAAAAGATGTTTTTATTTGTTAAGTAAAAGATACTAGTCTCAACATTAATCCCCTAGTGATTATTATTCATTTGGGTAGATGTTGGATAGAGGATGAATATGCATAAAAAGTCATTTTTCAGTTTGTTGTACTTAAAATAATTTCGTATATTAATGCGCTTTTATTTTTATTTTTTCTTTTAGGAAGCTATCATACAAATAATGAAAATGAGAAAGAAAATTAGTAATGCTCAGCTGCAGACTGAATTAGTAGAAATTTTGAAAAACATGTTCTTGCCACAAAAGAAAATGATAAAAGAGCAAATAGAGTGGCTAATAGAGCACAAATACATCAGAAGAGATGAATCTGATATCAACACTTTCATATATATGGCATAATTTTGAATATCATGGACAATATTTAGAACCCAAATTTTGGAGTGCTTGGGCAGAAAGTTGTAAAGTTTGTGCTGGAGAAAGGTTTATTTGGACTTTGATTACATAAATATTAAAATCTCTGCCTTACCTTACAAAAACAACTATATTTTGCCAATCACATTAGTTAGCATGATGGCATTCCCTTCATGTTGCACACTCTTTGACAGCATGCTGTTTTGTGGAGAAACTTGCATTCATGAAGAGCCCATTATCAACTTTTAAAAGTGAATTTGATTTGTACCCACCAGGAGAAATACAGTTGGGAAGGGTGAGGGTGGGGTTCTTGTTGCTTTTTTCTCTTTTTTCCTCTCTTAAAAAATGTACTTGCACAAGGAAGGATCTTCAGATATTCATGCACTGAAAAATGCTGTTATCTTTTGTTTTTAAAAAATGCAATTAAAACTAGAAATAGCACTCTTGGTTTCTTTTGATGAAAAGAGTGAGCTGGTCAATGCAACATTGGGAAACGGCAGATGTAGGTGAGAAGTTAAGTATTTAATAGTATCAAATTGTTCAAACATTGCTCAGTATAATAACTGGATTTTAATGGTGACCTAAAAATGGTATTAAATATTTTCAACTTTCAAATGTTGGTTTTCTTTAAGCAGGAGACTGCTATTTTAGTTGTTGTTAAATGATGAGGAGTTTTTTTTTTTTTAAATATGGCTGGAAAGCTTGTTTTGAAAAATGAAGCTTATATTAATTGTTGCTTCAATAGTTTAAAAAATTTATGGAGATAGGTAGGTCATTATGATTGCAGAGCCAAAATAGCAAAACAAACATATTAAGTGTGTTTACTAAACATATTGTGTGTTTACTAACACACTTAATGTTTATATACCTAATATTTATTATGCCATATCTGAATTTATTAAAAACAACACAGAAATCTCCTGCTCTGATATAGTTATGTAACTGATCTCTTAATCTGTAGCATAGAAGTATTTTGGTATTTTAAGGTCTCATGATTAGGGATTTGTAGCCTCAGGTTTGAATCAGTCACCTAGGGGTAAGAGAAAAACCACAACATAAGACCTGAAAAACAGAAGCAAAATTGTTGCACTCTTAATACGAGCAGTAAACTTGCCAAATATATGTACATATATATTTATATATTTTAAAAATAAACATTTTTTAAATCGTCAGAAGGCAACATTTACCATGTTCCTTTCAGTCTATCCAAAGTAGCAACTTAACTAGTTGCTGGCAACTGAATACCCAGAGTAGTGGAAATTTTAGGACTTGAGGACGTGAACAACTTGAAAGAGAAAATTGATTCCCCTTGAGGAAAGAATGGCTCAACGTGGATTTTTATTCATTGTGGTGCACGTTTCAAATTTTCTTGCAAATTATTTTATATCTTATTTGATGTTAAGTAATATTTTTAAAGTATGGTTTTTGAAGATAGTAGGAAATGGAGTACAGAAAGGCATACAGTATTATGTTACAGTGGAGTGCTTTCAAGAGCATTTCGTAGGATCTGTCCCCATCCGAAGAGGCTTTGTGAACTGCCTGCTGAATGGAAGGAAAGCAACTTTAAAACATTTAGAGTTTTGCTGAGTATAGCCAAATGCCTGTTCTGAAACTTATAGGAAATTGGAATTTTGTTTAAAATTTTACACTTTAAGGTAGCAAATGTCAATTATTAGACCGAGCATATTGTGAAGAATTAAACTAAAATTAATACGTACAGTTTTCTCTAATTAGGTGACTGTTCATAATGGGTATATTTGGAATTTAGAAGAAATAATTTTGTAGTAATTGTGGCCCTTATGTTTAACAGATAATTCAGCATTGGCGTATTTGCTTGTCCCAATACAAGAATGCCAAAGGAGGAAACAGGAAAAATTGCCGTCCATTTTAAAAATTTAGGTTTGTTGTTTTAAACCATAATTGTTCTCAGAACTTTTTTGGAACTTCTAATTTTGGGTCATTTAATTTAAGAATGAGAGTCATGATGTTTTGATTTATGAAGGTGAATTTAATGCAAAAGTGGGTAACACTACATTCATAGCAAAGTTTTTTATTAAATTTTATAAATTTTTAATAGCCAATTATGTCCTAATTGTATTTTGGGGAATGAACAGCAGCAAATACTGTAAATGTACAGTTTTCTTTTTTTTTTTTTTTTGGTTATGTATACAAAAGTTTTAACTACTTTTTGGTGTTTATGAAAATCATTTAGTTGACAAGGTGCCTATGCCATTGTTAAATTTTCTTTAAGTAATTTAACAACAGATTTGCTAATTTAAAAAAAAATGAAAAAAAAAATCTTACCAGCAGTTTGTAAAGGTCTGGAATCACAGTTGGCATCCTTTATTCAGGTCTCTTCTCTCCAGCGTACACTTAAAATTGGTGCCGAGCAGGGATATAACCTGCAGTTAAGTGAAAAGAAAATCCAGCCTCCCCCTCCAAAAAAAAAAAAAAAATTTAATTTTTAAAAATTAGTGGTATGGCAATAAGACACTTCAGAGGCTATCTTAACCTCTGAATACCCATCTTCTAGTTTAAAGACAGAGACATCCCATCTGGAAAATGTTAACTTGTGTTGCCATCTCGTTGCCGGAGTAAGTAGACATAAGACAGAGTTTAAGAAGTAAAAATATAGAAAAATTTTGATGGTCACAATGAGATAAATATTAGAATATTACTATTCCAATGATTAAATGAGGATCTTGAAATAAATTCTGAAGTCTTCCAATTTTTACATTTATTGGAGGGGTCCCTGAGTTCTGTCAACTTTTTTATTTAAGTCTCTTGCTCTTATTTTGTGCATAAATGTTAAACCTTCCAAAAATGAAATGTTAGCTTTCTTTCTTTTACTTTTTATTAAATTTAATAGAAAATATGACCTGAGTAGTTAAAAAGTATTTTGCATTATTTGCAGTAAGATGTCTCTAGCACTGCTCAAAGGGCAAATTTTAAAACTTCAGTCTGGGTGAAAGATTTGCTAGTTTTACAGAAAGATTTGCTATCTTAAACTCAAGCTGGTTTTTCTGTTCTCATGTAAGTGACTGGGATGCTGTCTTATGAATTCTTCCAAGGTCATGTTTGTGAAATAAACATTACATGAGAGCTTTCCTGTCATCTACACTATATGTTGTCTGGAGTGTTGAACAAATTTATTTTAGTTTCTAAGTTGTAATCTATCCTCATATGGTCTATACGATTTTGAATGTGTGCCACTACATACTGAGATGATAATGCTGTACAATTTTAAGTGGTAGCAGTTTCTGTATGCAGTAGGCTGAAATATTTTGATGAACTGCTTAATTTTTGGATTTTATTTTTTAAGTTGTATAATTTATTTTCTTGCAAAATAAAAATGTAATATAAAAGCTTTTACCTATCCAGAAAATGTTGATGTTCTACTATAAAATAGTTACAAAGAGTTTAATTAAAATTTTTATAGTAGGTATATTTTTAAATTTGAAGGTAAATTAATCTCAGCCAGCCTTAGGAATCAGAAATATGAAAAGTAACCCACTTATTTATATTAGACTTCAAATTCTAATTCAAAATGAGAGCAGTCAGGAATGTAGCTTTTCCACTGATGATAGCATGTGGCTATATGCCTGGAAGAGGTAATAAAAAAAAAAAAATTCCAACCTGAAAGTGGTTAATATATTCATCAACTAAGATAGGCTATGTCATAACAAAATTCAAATTTTATAGCAGATAAAAGTAAAAAATGGGCCGGGCTCAGTGGCTCACGCCTGTAATCCCAGCACTTTGGGAGGCCAAGGTGGGTGGATCACCTGAGGACAGGAGTTCAAGACCAGCCTGGCAAACATGGTGAAACCCTGTCTCTACTAAAAATATAAAAATTAGCCGGGTGTAGTAGCGCGCGCCTGTAGTCCCAGCTACTCGGAAGGCTAAGGCAGGAGAATCGCTTGAACCCGGGAGGCGGAGGTTGCAGTGAACCAAGATTGTGCCACTGCACTCCAGCCTGGGCGACAGAATGAGACTGTCTCAAAAAAAAAAAAAAAAAAAAAAAAAAAGTAAAAAATGTAAAACATAATCATTTCACATTTTGGATATATTTGAAAATTTGTGAAATACTTATTTTTGTTTTTATTTTTATTTTTTGAGACAGAGTCTCACTTTGTCACCCAGGCTGGAGTGCAGTGGCGCGATCTCGGCTCGCTGTAAGCTCCATCTCCTGGGTTCATGCCATTCTCCTGCGTCAGCCTCCCGAGTAGCTGGGACTACAGGCGCCTGCCACCACACCTGGCTAATTTTTTGCAGTTTTAGTGGAGACAGGGTTTCACCATGTTAGCCAGGATGGTCTCAATCTCCTGACCTCGTGATCTAGCTGCCTCGGCCTCCCAAAGTGCTGGGATTACAGGTGTGAGCCATCGCGTCTGGCCTGAAATACTTATTTTTAAGCTAGAAATAGTTTGGCAATAAGGTTGTGAAACTGGACAGATAATAGCAATTAGTTACTGATCAAGTGAACAATTTAATAATCGAAAAAACTCTTGACTATAAGAAACTTGAATTGCATACAGGGACTTAATTACCCAGAGGAACTAAATTTAAAAGAAATTTCAGGCTGGGCGCAGTGGCTCACACCTGTAATCCCAGCACTTTGAGAAGGTGAGGTGGGCAGATCACTTGAGGTCAGGAGTTCAAGAACAGCCTGGCCAACATGGCAATACCCCATCTCTACTAAAAATACATACCTGTAATCCCAGCTACTCAGGAGGCTGAGGCATGAGAATCACTTGAGCCTGGGAGGTGGAGGTTGTAGCAAGCTGAGATCGCACCACTGCGCTCCAGCCTGGGCAACAGGGCCAGACTAATTCATTCATTGATTCATAAATAAATGTTATAGAGCTCCTTTACATTGAGGGATCATTTCTTGTTCCTACTGTAGTAGTCAATAAATGTTTTGGACAACTGGATGGAGGAACACATTTGACTTCATAACGACTCTAAACTCAACCTTGGACTTAAACTGGCATTTGGGAGTTTGGGGTTGGGGGAGGAGTTGACTTGGAAATGAAGCTAGAGAAGGTATTTTCTCAGTATAAAATTTCATCTGAACCAAGAAACAGATTTCATTTAAACCAAGAAATAAGCTTAAGCTTTTGGGCCCCTTGTACAAGGCTCTGGGAGGGGGAGCCCTACAAGTTTTGTATTTTCTTAAAGAGGGTCCTCAAAATATCAAGTTGGATTCAGCCCTGTTAAACCTCAGTGTAAAAAGGGCACATAGTAGGACTGAATGAATGATAGCACATGTGCCTGAGAATATAGTTCAATGTTTTAGTTCTTTTTTTTTTTTTTTTTTTTTTTTTGAGATAGAGTTTCTGTCACCTAGGCTGGAGTGCAGTGGCACAATTGCAGATCATTGCAGCCTTGAACTCCTGGGCTCCAGTGATCCTCCCACTTTAGCCTCCTGAGTAGCTGGGACCACAGGCACACACCACCTAGGTAATTTTTTTTTTATTTGCCTAGGTAATTTTTTTTTTATTTGCGGAGAGGAGGTCTCACTATGTTGCCCAGGCTGGTTTCGAACTCCTGAGTTCGAGCAGTCCTCCTCCCTTGGCATCCAGGAGTGCTGGGATTACAGGCATGAGCCACCGCACTCGGCCAATATTTTACATTTTAAGTGTGGAGACTTTATTTCCCATTCCCCATTCTGGGCTATACAATAGAATATGGACTTTTTATATCACGGAACTCCTGTTTTGACAGTGTACAACCCAGAGCAGGGTGACAATTTAGATTAACAATTGATGGTGAGAGTTGAGTTCTAGACTTTTGTGAACATCTGATTAAAGCAAAATACATGCATATAAAAATATAAACAAGTGCATATATAAATGTTAAGAGTTAACACACCCAAGCTTAGAAATCTTTAATAGTGATGTCCTGGAGTGCGTAAAATGAGTAACAGCTTGCTTTGTGGATTGGTCATGGCCTAACTTCAGGAGCGCTGATCCAAACTTTGATTTGCTCTACTTATCTAGAGAATAACAGAAGACTTCTCTGAGTGTTAATGGCTTCTTCCTATTTTACTTAATAATAAAGGAAATAGAGTATTTCCTTTTTTCCTTTATTATGCTGTAATTACTGAGCCAGACTGATACTGTTTAGATTTTTCTTCAGCAGTGGTTGATGGTCGAGGTGTGGCTCACACCTCTAATCCCAGCACTTTAGGAGACTGAAGCAGGAGGATCACTTGAAGCCAGGTTCAAGACCAGCCTGGGCAGCATAGTGAGGCCCCCATCTCCACAAAAATGTAAAAATTAGCCAGCGGTGGTTGGTTGCACAAACCTGTAGTCCCAGCTACTCAGGAGGCTGAGGCTGCAGTGAGCTGTGATTGTGCCACTGCACTCCAGTCTAGGGAACAGAGTGAGACTCTGTCTTAAAAATAAGTGGAACTTGGGAATACTTTAACATGTTGTTTTCCCATGGCTGCTAAATGTATAATTATTAATATTTACCCCTACTCTACCTTATCTCCTAAATTCTCAGTAGATGATATTGCTTTGAAAAAATAAACAGAGAAAATAAGGCCTTCAGGCATGAACTCTTAACTTGCCTTTTCTCCACCTGTAAACTTTACCTCTAATCATGTACATCTTCATCTGCCTGCCTGTCTCAGAGGAAGAGATCACCTCACTTGTTGCTCAAGACCAACTATTTTATCTTTTTCTGAATTCCATCCTCTCCTTCCCTCTGTGTTTTGCCTTTTAAATATCTCCATCGCATAAATGTTTCAAACATTCTTCTTTTGGATATTTTTTTCTTCGCCTACTCCAGTGGCTCTCCATTTTGGTCCACAGACCGGCAGCATTGTCACTTGTTGGAAGTGTAAGTTCTTGAGCTCCACCCTAGACCTACTCAATCAGAAACTTGTTCAGGTGAAGCCCAACAATCTGAATTTTAAGAAGCCCTCTAGGTGGTGCTGATGACAGTCAAGTTTGAAAATCACTGGCCTATATACATACTGAAGTACCCACCATGCTTGAAAAAATCCCTACCCCTTACCTCGGTCATGCTGTGGCCTTATTTTCCCCCTTCCCTTCTCTGCTAAACATGTTGGAAGAGCATTCCACAGTCTTACTGTCTAGATCTTTTTGAGATAGGGTCTTGCTCTATTACCCAGGCCAGACTAGAGTATAGTGGTATGATCACAGCTCACTGCAACCTCTACCATCTGGGCTCAAACGATGCTCTCACCTCAGCCTCCCCAAGTAGCTGGGACCACAGGTACATGCCACCGTGCCTGGCTTTTTTTCTTTTTTAATTTTTGCAGAGATGGGATCTTGCTGTGTTGCTCAGGCTGATCTTAAACTCCTGGCCTCAAAGGATCCTCCCATCTCTGCCTCCCAAAGTGCTGGGATTATTAGGCATGAGCTACCATGCTTGGCCTTTGTATTTTCAATATGGTAGTAATTGGCTCATGTCTTCACTGTCCTTCTTACCAAGGTCATCAGTTACCTCATTAGTGCTTTTAGAAGTTCATTTCTGGCAAGGTGCAGTGGCTCATGCCTGTACCATCCCAACACTTTGGGAGGCCAAAGTGGGAAGATGGCTTGAGACGAACCTGGACAACAGAGCCAGACCCCGTCTCTACAAAAAAAAAAGTTCATTTTCAAGCTTTCTTACTTGATCTTACAGCATTTGCATCTTGAACACTGCTAGTTACTGAATTTGTTTCATTCCCTGGCTTCAAAGACACTATTCTCTCTTGGTGTCACTCCTCTCTCTCTCAGCTTTGTCTCATTCTCTGGTTCTCTGCCTGCACATCCCATGATTTCATCTCATAGTATGTATACTCTCCCTGGGTGATGTCATCTGCTTCCCTGGCTTTGACACTGTCTGCATGTGGATGCTTCAGACTGTCTCCAGCCCAGGTTTCTCTTCTAAAGTCAACATGTATTTCCAGCTACTTGAACATATCATCTATCACTTGCTCCAGTTAATTCTATCTCAGTCGCCCAGGTTAGCAACCTTGATGTAATTCCCTATTGCGCCCCTGCCCACACCACACTTGATTCCACTTCTGTCTTTTCTCCAGAAGCTGGCCTTTGTTTACCTCTGCTTCTCCTGTGTTCACTGAACACACACACTCTGTAACATGCTTATACCATGATGCACGTTTACTAACTGCTGGGTTACTTCTGGCTTACTTTTTTTTTTTTTTTTAATTTTTTCTTTTGCATGCTTCTCTATTCTGGGCTGGCCTACATTTTTGAAGTGGATTACCTAAATGTACAGAGTGGTTAAGCCGTGGTCAGTAAGATTATGTTTGCTTTTGGCATTTTTGAACCATTGAGCTAACCTCAAGTTTTCTCTTAATTGAGCTTATAATTCAGTGCCTGAGCCCCAAGACCCCAGAAGGTTTGAATGGAGTATTTCTCTTTAGCCTGTGGCTGAGTGATCACTCTAAATCTAAAACATAAAAGCAGGGCAAAGACTTTTATCATTTTTAAATTCCTCACACTTTCTAGTACAATTCTACACTTAATTATGGACCCACTATTTATGAAATTGAGTTGATAGGTTTGGGAATCATTGTTGAATAGACCACATCATCTTCTAAAGTAGAGGAACATATAATGAGTCTGAAGGCATTCTCTGGGCAAGTAGGACTAATGTCTTACACTTAAGAACTTAAGAACTTCCTAGCCTGGTGTGGTGGCTCACACCTGTGATCCCTGCACTTCGGAGGCCGAAGTGGGAGACTCACTTGAGCCGAGGAGTTTGAGCTGACATGGTGAAAACCCATCTCTACAAAAAATACAAAAAGTAGCCAGGTGTGTTGGCATGCGCCTGTAGTCCCAGCTACTCAAAGGCTGAGGTGGGAGGATCACTTGGGCGGGAGAGGTTGAGGCTGCAGAGAGCAGTGATCGCGCCACTGCACTCCTGCCTGGGTGACAGAGTGAGACCCTTTCTCAAAAAAAAAAAAAAAAAAAAAAAAAAGCCAGGCATGATGGCACGCACCTGTATTCCCAGCTACTCTGGAGGCTGAGGCAGGAGAACCGCTTGAACCTGGGAGATGGAGGTTACATTGAGCGGAGATTATGCCATTGCACTCCAGCCTGGGTGACTGAGTGAGACCGTCTGAAAAACAAAACAAAAACACTAGAGAAAATTCTCTCTAAATATGTTGAGTTTACTTGGGGATAAAAGAAAAATTACAATCTGTAATGCATTAATGGCAAGCATCCAGTGTGTTCTGTGTAAGGGGAACTTTTATTAGCAAAAAAAGATTTTCATAAGCTGCTTAGAAACAGAGTCCATGGGTTCCATAGGTTCAAAGCCAGAGTTGTTATCAGTTCATTGACGGAGATGCTGTTACTGAGCAGGTATCCTTTGGAGAATGTCTTGTTTGAATTATTGCAGTCCTAAAGAATGTTTAATGAAAAACCTTATCAGAGCAGGAGAAGCATGAAGCGTGTGAAGCAGTTTTTAGTAAGTCCTTGGAAGCAGTTCTTACCTCCGACATGCATGCATGTGCCTCCTTCCCGGCCCTATTTTGTCTGGGTCCAACAAAAGTGACTATTCTGGTATCTTCAGCTTTCACAATCCCAGGATAAATCATATGAAGGTTTTTAGGAACACTCTACTGTTGTCTTTTGCATCTTTCTGTTTATATCGTAATCATTTTCTTATTCTGATACAGAGCGTACAAACATTTCTGTGTGCCCACTGAAGAAGCTCTGTTGACACTTTGTACCTGTCTCAGGATTTCAGTGAAGGAAGTGTCTTAGCTATGTGCATCCCTCCAGGATGAGTATTAGTTTTCTAGAGTTGCTGTAACAAAGTACCACAGATTGAGTGGCCTAAAACAACAGATTGATTGTTTCACAATTCTAGAGGCTGGAAGTCCGAAATCGAGGTGTTGCCGGGACCATACTGCGCTGTCTCTCTCTCTCTCTCAAGATTCCAGGGAAGGGCCCTTTCTTGCCCTTTTCTGGCTTCTGGGGGTTGCTAGCATCTGTGGCATTCCGTAACTCATTGCTGCAGTGCGCCAGTTCCTACCTCCACTTTCCTGAGGCCATCTTTTTGTCCATCTTCTTATAAGTACACCACCAGTCATATTGGATTTATGGCCAGTGTACACCAGTGTGACGTCATCTTAACTAATCACACCTTCAAAGACCCTGTTTCCAAACAAGGTTCCATTCTGACGTTTTGGTGGATGTGAATCTGGGGGGAACACTTCAACCCAGTACAGTCAATCCTCTAGCCCCATAAAATTCACATTCATCCCACATGCAAAATACACTCGCCTTATCCCAACATCCTCAAAAATCCTGTTTCAGCATTAACTATAAATCCAAAATCTCTAAGTATAGTCAACTCAAAACATTGCGAATCTCATTATCTAAATCATGCAAACCAGGTATCACTGAGACTCTAGGTATGATATGATACATTCTAGGGCAAAATTCCTCTCCTAACTGTGGACATGTGAAACTAGGAAACAAGTTATCTGCTTCCAAAATACAACAGTGGGTGCAATGGTTTGAATGTGTCCCCTCCAAAATTCATGTTGAAACTTGTTGTGGTATTAGGAGGTGGGCCCCTTAGGAAATGAGGCCACGAGGGCTCTGCCCTCATGGATGGATTGGTGCCTTACAAAAGGGCTGGAAGGAACCGCTTAGGTGCCCTTTTGCCCATCTGCTCTTCTGCTACATGAGGATGTAGCAAGAAGGCCCTCACCAGACATGTAATGCTGGCACCTTGATCATGGACTTCCAAGCCTCCAGAACTGTGAGTAGTAAATTTCTATTACTTATAAATTACCCAGTAATAATCAGATGTCTGTTACAGCAGCACAAAGGGACTGCGATGAGGCAAGCACAGGACAGACATTTCCATTATGAAAGAATTTGCAAGGAATTAAAGGGGTCACTGTCTCACACAGGTTTTAACACAAAAGGGAAAACTACATTCATTTTCAAGGCCTTAATGACCCTTTGACTCGATCCAGCCTCTGGGCCCAGGGGGTGCAGTTGGCCTGGGCCTCTGGACCTATAGCTTCGTCCTCTCTGGCCTCTGTATCCATGGCTCTGCCCTGGGAGTCAGTCATTTTCCCTTCAATTTGTTCTGTCTCTGTCCCTTTCTATCCAGGCTGGGAGTATTTCTGCTGGTATAAAATTCTCAAAAATCTTGTCAGTTTTCTGTTGATGTCACGGGGATGCACACCATTAGAACTCTCAAGTTCTCCACGGATCTTTCCTGGATAACCCCAACTCTATTCCTGGCTTCGCTGACACGGTTGAGTGGATCCATGAGTCACACAACTCTCTTTAGCAAATTATTGTCCAGACACACTCTTCAGGCCAGAACTTCTCCTCCTTGGCAGTATAGTTAGGCTGAGAATTTTCCAAATCATCAAGTCCTGGTTCCTTTTTGCTTAACAATTCTGAGGCAGGAGAATAGGGAATTCAGGCCATCAAGGGTTAAGGCAGAAACAAAAGAACAGCAGGTGCAGCCAGGTCTAGGCAAAACTGGGCAGCACACAGGCCACATCCTTGCTCCTGTGATAATGAGACAGAAGTTTCCACATCAGCCTCTGATTGTGTGCCAAGCCTCCACGTCAGCCTCTGGTCACAGGCCAATCCTTCATGGGCTGTGGCCAATTGGAGTCCTCTAAAGGGCACTGAGGGGAGTTGCTTGGTTCCTTTAGCTTAATAAAAACCCCAGTTGAAGAGGCTCTTGAACCACTTGCTCAAGCCTGCTCCCACCCTGTGAATTGTACTTCGGCTTCTTCAATAAATCTGTGCCTTCATTAGCCCGTTCTTTTGTTGCTTTGTTAGTGCGTTTTGTTCAATTTTTTGTTCAATACACCAAGAACTTGGACAACTCACAGTTAAGACATTCCATCCAGTAACAATTCCTACCTCAATTTACCTCCTTCCACTTGCATTTTAATGTAAGCAGGCTGTTTTCCAACTCCTGGCTTCAAGTCATCCTCCTGCCTTGGCCTCCCAAAGTGCTGGGATTACAGGTATGAGCCACCATGCCTGGCCCCGGCTAATTTTTAAATTTTTTTCATAGAGATGGGGGTCTCACTGTGTTGCCCAAGCTGGTATCAAACCCTTGGCCTCAAGTCATCCTCCTGCCTTGGCCTCCTAAAGTGCTGGGATTACAGGCCTGAGCCACCACACCTGGCCCCTAAGAGATATATTAGAGTCTTAACTCGAAGTACCTATGAATGTGACTATTTGGAAATAGAGAACTTGCAGGTGTAATCAAATTAAGATGAGGTCATAATTGGATTTGGATGGGCCCTAAATCCAATGACCAGTGTCCTTATAGCAAGAGTGGAGAAAAAGCCACACACAGGGGAGAAGACAGGGGTTGGACTGATGCCTCTACAAAGCCAGGAATACCAAGGATTTCCAACAACCACCACGATCTTGGAGAGAGGCATGGAACAGACTCTCCGTTAGAACCCACAGAAAGAACCAATCCTGCCAACACCTGGATCTTGGACTCCAGCCTCCAGAACTGTAAGAAAATACATTTCTTTTGTTTTAAGCCACCCAGTTGGTGGTAATTTGCTGCTGCAATCTTAGGAAACAAATACAGATTTTGGTACTGAAAAGTGGGGTGCTGCCATATTAATATACACAAACATGGAAGTGCCTTTATTAATAGATTGGGGTGATGGGCAGAGGAAGAAGTTTGAGGCACATGATAGACTAAGCCTAGATTGCCTTGAAGAGAAAGTGGGTGGAAATGTGAGTGCCCCATCTCTACAAAAAATAAAAATTAGGTGGGCATGGTGACACACGTGTAGTCTTAGCTACTTGGAAGGCTGAGGCAGGAGGATTACTTGAGCTTAGGAGGCTGCAGTGAGTTATGATCGCACCACTGCACTCCAGCCTGGGTGACAGAGCAAGGCTCTGTCTCTCTCTTTTTTTTTTTTTTTGGAGACAGAGTTTTGCTCTGTCGCCCAGGCTGGAGTACAGTGGCACGATCTCGACTCACTGCAACCTCCACCTCCTGGGTTCAAGCGATTCTCTTGCCTCAGCCTCCTGAGTAGCTGGGCTTACAGAAGCCCATCACCACACCCAGCTAATTTTTTGTATTTTTACTAGAGACAGGGTTTCACCATGTTAGCCGGGCTGGTCTGGAACTCCTGACCTCAGGTGATCTGCCCTCCTTGGCCTCCCAAAGTGCTAGAATTACAGGCATGAGCCACCACACCTGGCCAGAGACCCTGTCCCTTAAACAAACATATCTTTTGGAAGGACACTGTTTAACGTAGTACAACGAGTTATTCCAGTAGTCTAAGTTTGACAGAAGTTGTTCGTTGTAGAAGAACTTACTTGGAAATGAATATCAAACATCTTTGTATTATAAATATAATACCCACAAGTTTTTCTTAAATGTTTTTAATTTTCCACTAGTTTCCTGCTGTGAAAATATTGCTCTAATATTCCTAAAACTAACTTCTACTTCTAGAAAGCCACTCTGGGTCTCATGGACATTTCAGAGGGCTTTATTTTATCAATATTTTAATAATACTTTGCAAGACCTAAGTCTCCACTTACAAGTTTGCCACTAGATGGAGGTATTGACTAGATCTCCTTGACAAATGTAATAAATCCCAGATAAACCACTTTTTGAGTAGCTCTTCATTAATACATCTGTCCAGACACTATTGCCTGCTATGACAGGAATGATAATCCAAAGCCACAAATTCAGATATGCAAAAAATGTTTTTAAATTTTTTCTTTGGCCAGGTGTGGTGGCTCACACCTGTAATCCCAGCACTTTGGGAGACTGAGGGAGGATTGCTTGGGCCCAGGAGTTGGAGACCAGCCTGGGCAACATAGTGAGAACCTGTGTCTACCAAAATACTAGTACTAATAATAATAAATTTTAAAATACAAACAAAAATAATTCTCTCTTAATTGTATTTAATTTTCATTCCAACACTCCATTTCTATTTCACAGAAGAAATGTTAATCTAGTCACTTTCTTTTTTTTTTTTGAGACGGAGTCTCGCTCTGTCACCCAGGCTGTAGTGCAGTGACACGATCTTGGCTCACTGCAAGCTCCGCTTCCTGGGTTCACGCCACTGTCCTACCTCAGCCTCCCAGGTAGCTGGGACTACAGGTGGCCCCCTCCATGCCCAGCTAATTTTTTGTATTTTTAGTAGAGACAGGGTTTCACCGTGTTAGGATGGTCTCGATCTCCTGACCTTGTGATCCGCCTGCCTTGGCCTCCTAAAGTGCTGGGATTACAGGCGTGAGCCACCGCGCCCGGCCAAGTCCTAGATTCTTAAATGAAATTATTAGCTACATTTTTGCCTGGTGCTCATATTGGTGATAAAGCTACTCTTATTTTTTTGAAGTTTAGTTTTAAAGAGCAGCTTGCCTGCTGTAGCTCCAGAAATAAATGTACTATTCTTCTCCCCTCAATGCTCCTAAATGTCTCTGAACTTCTCTAGAAGCTGTCCTGATGAACATAGTGGCACTTTTTCCTGGTAGTGCCTCTGATGGCAGAATTGTCCAATTACAGCTGACTTCTATGTTCCTAGTTAGGTTTCTCCTAGGGCAGGTGTCTCCTAAGACACAACTAGTGTAGTGAGTGCCTAGAAGCCTAGACCTAGCAACCAGACTGCCTAGATTCCAATTGCAACTGTGTCACTAACTACTAGCTTTGTGCCCTTGGACAAACTTCTGGAAAATGTGGATAATGCTACTCCCTAATTCAGTGGATTTTTGGGAGAATTAAAATTAAACTGTAAAAGAACTGGTTCATATTAAGAACTATGTACATAGCTATGTAACCAGTCTTTTTTTTTTTCTTCTTTTTTTGAGACACAGTCTCATTCTGTTGCCCAGGCTGGAGTGCAGTGGTGTGATCTCAGTTCACTGCAACCTCCACCTCCCAGGTTTAAGCAATTCTCCTGCCTCAGCCTCCTGAGTAGCTGGGATCACAGGTGCCCACTACCATGCCCAGCTAATTTTTGTATTTTTAGTAGAGATGGGGTTTTGCTATGTTGGCCAGGCTGCTTTTAACTCCTGACTTCAAATGATCCACTCACCTGGGCCTCCCAAAGTGCTGTGATTACAGGCGTGAGCGACCACGCCCAGCCTAACCAGTCATCTTTTACTGTGTGATACCCTAGTCATCAGCTTTGGCCTCTCACAACTGGTAATCTCTATGAGGCCAGACCTTTAGTTTTCTGAGTCATTTCTTTAACAATTCAACTTTTTCAGTTAGAAATATCTGTTTCTCTCTCTCTCTCTCTCTCTCACACACACACACACACAAAGTTTAAACACTGACATACAATGTAATGACTTCCTTTCAATAATTCTCGAAGCAGCCCAGTATGAAAAATATTTGTCTTTGGCCTCTGGTAGAAGGGAAAGGTGTGAGTGTGACATTCCAAGGAAGGAGGTAGGCCTTGGTGAGCTGTTGAATAGAGAGGTTCTTCGGTGCAGGAATCACAGGGGACTTTAAGGGACAAACCTGGAGTGATGGGGAAATTAAAGACAGGGTGCTATATTAAAAAATTACCCTGGCCGCGTGCAGTGGCTCACGCCTGTAATCCCAGTACTTTGGGAGGCCTAGTGGGGGCGGATTGCGTGAGCTCAGGAGTTTGAGACCAGCCTCTGGGCAACATGGTGAAAACCCGTCTCTACTAAAATACAAAAGATTAGCCAGGCTTGGCAGCGTGCGCCTGTAATCCCAGCTACTCGTGAGGCTGAGGCGAACTCAGGAGGCAGAGGTTGCAGTGAGTCAAGATCGCGCCTGGGTGACAAGTGCGAGACTGTCTCAAAAAAAAAAATTACCCCCAAACAGACCTATTTAGGTGGCTTATGCCTATAATATCTGTGCTTTGGGAGGCCAAGGCCAGAAGATCTCTTAAGGCCAGGAGTTTGAGACCAGCCTGGGCAACATAGCAAGACCCCTTCTCTATATAAAATAAAAATTAAAAAAATTAGCATGGTGGAGCATGCCTGTAGTCCTAGCTACGTAGCTACTTGGGAAGCAGAGACAGGAGGATCCCCTAGCTACTTGGGAGGCAGAGACAGGAGGATCCCCTGAGACCAGGAGTTTGAGGCTGCAGTGAGATATGATTGCACCACTGTACTCCAGACTGGGTGACAAGAGCGAGACCCTATCTTAAAAAAAAAAAATACTCCAAAACATAATGGCCTAAAATAACAACCATTTGTTTTCTCTCGTTTCTGTGGACCATGAATTCAGACAGCATGGTGGGTATGGCTTGTCTCTGCTCCATGATGTCTGGGGTCTCAGCTGGAGTGGTTGAAGGTTGGGGACTGGAATCACCTGAGGCCTTTTTACCCATATTTGTATCTGGACTGAGCCTGGAATTTGATTGCTTCAAAATATTTTCACGGCTGGGTGTGATGGCTCACGCCTGTAATCCCAGCACTTTGAGAGGCTGAGTCTGGCCGTCTGCTTGAGCCCAGGAGTCAGCAACCAGCCTAGGCAACATAGGGAGACCTAGTCTCTACAAAAAAAAAAAAATACAACAATTTGCTGGGCGTGGTCGCCTGCGCCTGTAATCCCAGCACTTTGGGAGGCCGAGGAGGGAGGCTCACTTGAGTCCAGGAGTTCAAGACCAGTCTGGCCAACATGGTGAAACCCCGTCTCCACAAAAAATACAAAAATTATCTGGTTGTGGAGGCTTTCGCCTGTAGTCTCAGCTACTGGGATGGCTGGGGAGGGAGGATCGCTTGAGCCCTGATGGTCGAGATTACAGTGAGCTGTGGTCACGTCACTGCACTCCAGCTTGGGTGACAGAGTGAGACCTTGTCTCAAAAAAAAAAAAAAAAATCCTAAAATATTTTCATGAGTTTGTGCTGGGTAGGCCTAAGGGAAACATGCTCAGTAAATCGAAAAATCTCGGATTACACATAAACCACCGGCCCCGGCAGGTTAGACTTGGTGGACACGGGAGCCAGCAGCGTGTCAGGTGCTCGTTGACCCCAGCGCCAGTGTCTCCATCCACGTCCTTCACTCGTCAACCTTTCCTGGCCCAGGCTGCGGTGTCCCAGCGCCAGGCTCCGCCCCGCCCTTGGCTGCCGGCCAATCGCCGCCGACTGAGAGGCGACTATTGGAGGAAGCGGGATGGGCGGTGCCCGCGCCGGGCCGCTAGGGGTGCGGGGTTGGGGAGGAGGCCGCTAGTCTACGCCTGTGGAGCCGATACTCAGCCCTCTGCGACCATGGCTGTGCTGGCGGCACTTCTGCGCAGCGGCGCCCGCAGCCGCAGCCCCCTGCTCCGGAGGCTGGTGCAGGTGAGCGGGGTTCGTCCCCACAGCACTCAGACCCGGGATGCGAGGAGTCCCCGCCTCGGAAGCTTCCAGCCCGCGGCCGTTGCGGCTCCCGCGGCCCGGGCGCGCGGCTTAGGCCCCAGGACAGTCACGCGACGGGTTCTGGTCCAAAAACCGCCTAAGTGCTCCGATAACACCCAGGGACTCGCCTATTTTTACAGCGCGTTTCTACTTCCAAGGTCTCGGCGT
Source organism: Homo sapiens (assembly GCF_000001405.40). Classification (NCBI taxonomy): domain Eukaryota; kingdom Metazoa; phylum Chordata; class Mammalia; order Primates; family Hominidae; genus Homo; species Homo sapiens. The sequence goes on from NC_000011.10 coordinate 108,121,904, forward strand.
AATCATCTTAATGAGCGTTACTGGTGTGTCAAACAAGGGCACGTGTCTGGGCGGGCAGGACCGCCAGGATTGGCGCTGGCCCGGCCTGAGCGGTGGGATCGGGGAGAGTCTCTTTGCAGGCCTGTGCAGCTGCTCCCGAGATTTTCTTTAAAACATATTTGTGTGCGTTATTGTCAGGAGAGGTTCCTTTTCTTTTTTAATACAATAGATAATCATTGGGCATACAAGGGGAGAGGGCACCATGTGATCATAACAGATGTTTTTTGGAGCAGCCTGAAATTTATCAGGGAAAACAAATGACTACTCAGATAATACAATAAATTATACTTGACATATGAGCAAAGCTCACATACTGAGGGCGTTCCAAGGGCTGTCGCTCTTCTGACCGTTGTGTTTAGGGAACACAGCAGGGGCAGAGTCTCAAAGAATTTATTCTCCACATGCGTAAGCAAGGGAGTACGCACCACAGATTGTCAGGCAAAGCCTCAGGAATAGGTAGAGACCTTCAGGGTGTGGTTGGTGAAGCTTGAGTTTTCTAGGTCGATGGGGGCAATAAGCTTGGAGATCCAGTTATGTTGTGAGTATGGACTTGACCCTAGTTAAGTAGGGATTGTTGATATGTTTGTTTTTGTTGCAATGGTAGGTCACTCTAGTTCTTACGTCTGGGCGTAGAATAACATTACTTGCACAAGGGTGCTGGCGGTAGGAGCTTTGCAAGAGATTGTAAAAGAACCAGTCTAGGACTTGACAATTAGGGAGTGAGGGTGCGAAGCCAAGGGAAAAGAAAGAGTCTAAAATTGATCCTGGGTGACTGAGATAATAGAAAAGTCACAAGGCGTAGGTTTCCAGGGAAGATGAGTTTTTAGCCTATTTGTTAGTCTCATGGGATGAGTGAAGAAATCACAAGAAAGTAATTAGGTTATCTTGGGTTTCAGTCAGTATTGACTAGGTGACATAGGTGAACTAGGTACTCTAGAGATGTAAAAAAAAAAAGTTCAGAACCTTCTTAATTTATGGTTTAATTAAGATCTTACAATCAGGTTGGTTGAGGTGGCTTATGCCAGTAATCCCAGCACTTTGGGAGGCCGGGGTGGGTAGATCATTTGAGGTCAAGAGTTCAAGACCAGCCTGGCCAACGTGGTGAAGCCCCACCTCTATTAAAAATACACACACACACAAAAATTAGCTGGGTGTGGTGGCAGGCGCCTGTAATCCCAGCTACTTGGGAGGCTGAGGCAGGAGAATCGCTTGAACCCGGGAGGAGGGGAAGGTTGCAGTGAGCTGAGATCATGCCACTGCACTCCAGCCTGGGCAACAGAGTGAGACTCCGTCTTAAAAAAAAAGATCTTAAAATGAAACACAAATACTCCTCATGAAAAAAATAAGCCTGTACATGCTGTAATGTATGATATGTGACATTCATATTACTGAACTCTAGGAAGCAGTTGTATTGGACACTTGAATTAAATGGTCATTTACTGAACTATAAACAGGATTTCCAGTTTTCTGTGCTATTTTGTAGAATGGAATTTGACCTCTCATTACATTGGCTCTTTTCCCTTTGCTTACCAGGTCTCTTTTATGGTCAACAAATCTTTATGGACTTTATTGGAGCACATTGCCTTTCTAGCTCTAATCACTTTTCTCTCTCTGGTCAAAGGAGTGGTCTTTACTCATTACCTCCCATGTATTCTGCATCTATTTCTCCTTAACTCTCTGCAGTTAAATTTCTTTGCCACTGAAGCTGAAAAATACAGTGATTTCCTTTTTCTTTGTTTTTTAATTATTTTTTTAAATCTATTTTAATTTTAGTTTTTGTAGACACGGGGTCTGGTTCTGTTGGCCAGGCTGGTCTTGAACTCCTGGCCTGCCAAAGTGCTGGGATTACAGGTGTGAGCCATTGTGCTCAGCCCAAGTTTTTTCTTCTTGACCTTTATCCTATATTTGACACTATTGACCACTCCCTTCTTGAAACTGTTTTGTGTTTTGATCCAGTTTTATTCAGCTTCTTTTAATACTCAGACTTAAAAAAAAATTCCTGTATTGTGCCAGTCTTGGGCTTATTTGCTCCCAGATTCATTTATCTTCCCTCCCCTAGTCTGTCTGCATTACTGTAGGCTGACCAATATCAGCTGGCTTCTGGCTGGGTGTAGCCACTGGAAGGCACCAGTGGAAGATTGGAAGATAGGAGGAAGGGAGAAGCCAGAATAATTTGTCTGTCTGTCTGTATCTGGCAGTGTCTGTCTCTCTTGTGGTTCCCGCTTCTGCTGGGATCCTGACCCCTTGGCTTTGGTAACCTTGCTTCTTCCCTTTGACCTAACAGCCTGTATGCTACTTCCTTCCTGTTGCTAATTTCTTTCTTTCTTTTTTATTTTTTGAGATCAAGTTTCGCTCTTGTTGCCCAGGCTGGAGTGCAGTGGCACGATCTTGGCTTACTGCAACCTTGGCCTCCCGGGTTCAAGCAGTTCTCCTGCCTCAGCCTCCTGAGTAGCTGGGATTACAGGCATGTGCCACCACACCCGCTACTTTTTGTATTTTTAGTAGGGACGGGCTTTCACCATGTTGGTCAGGATGGGCTCGAACTCCTGACCAGCTCACCAGGTGATCCACCTCTGATGATCTGCCCACCACAGCCTCCTAAAGTGATTACAGGTGTGAGCCACCACACCTGGCCCCCTTCCCTTTTTCTAATCTTACCCTAGTACACTCAGTTCCCCCGCAGCCAGAGTGGTCTTTTTATAACATAAAAGCTTTCAGTGGCTTGTCATTGCCCATAGGCCAGAATCTAGACCCTTATGATCTGCTGGGCCCTACTTAGTTCTGTGGCCTCAGCTGCTGCCGTGCTCACTCTGCTTTTGCCACAGGACCCTTCTTTCTATACTTAGTATGTGTGCCAATTTTGTTCCGAATTCGTGGCCTTAGTCCTACGTGTTCCTGATGCCTCAAATGTTCTTTTCCTGGATCTTTCCAAGGATGACTCTTTAACATTCATTTCTCAGCTCCATTAACATTGCTAGAAGGCCTTTTTTGACTCTCCCATGTAAAGTAGGCCGTCAGTTACTCTCTAGTTCATGATCAATTTTGCTGGTTTCATAACATTTACTGTAGCTGAAATTTTGTTTCTCTGAGTTATTGGTAACTTTCAGACTGTCTTCAAATATTTGTTTTGTGTCTGCTGCCATCACTGGGATAGAAAATAAATAAAATCAGTCTCTTCTTGGAATTCACAGTCTAGTGAGGAGAAAAGCCACCTGAGGGTTACAAAATTATATATTCTGGAACAATTAGAATGTGCACGGGCGTTGTGGAAGCTGAGATAGGAGTGCTGACCTCTGCCTGGCATGGCTGAGCCCTCCCTGAAAGATAATTGTGTTATGTAGATAAAACTTAATGGGTTGTGTTCATTCAGCATGTATTATTATACACTATATGGTTCAGTGTCCTGACCATACTATAATTTTGTCATTCGTTTCTGATATTGAAGGAGCGCTAGGCACTGTGCTAAGTCATAGGGATGTAACAGTGAGCAAGAGACACCATCCCGCCATCAGGAAGCCTGTATTATGTTGGAGGGGTGGATAATAAAACAAAGATGTGAACCACATACTTACAGTGTAAGAGGTGCTTTGAAGGAAATAAAGATATTCATATAAAAGAGAGGAAAAAGTAGAGGGTAACTTTAAATAGAGTAGTTAGGGTGGACCACTCTGGGAATGTGTCATTAGAAAAGACATGAAGAATAGGCTGGGTGTGGTGGCTCACGCCTGTAATCCCAGCACTTTGGGAGGCTGAGGCGGGCAGATCACCAGGTCAGGAGATCGAGACTATCCTGGCTAACAAGGTGAAACCCTGTCTCTATAAAAATGCAGAAAATTAGCCAGGCGTGGTGGCGGGCGCTTGTAGTCCCAGCTACCTGGAAGGCTGAGGCAGGAGAATGGCGTGAACCTGGGAGGCGGAGCTTGCAGTGAGCCGAGATCGCGCCACTGCACTCCAGTCTGGGTGACAAAGTGAGACTCCGTCTAAAAAAAAAAAAAAAGAAAAGACATGAAGAATAAAAATGAGCCAGCCATGGAGAGCTGGGAAGACTTTTTGTTTTGTTTTGTTTTTGATTTTTTTGGAGACAGGATCACACTCTGTTGCACAGGCTAGAGGGCAGCGGCGCGATCTCGGCTCACTGAAACTTCTGCCTCCTGGATTCAAGCGATTCTCCCACCTCAACCTCCCAAGTAGCTGGGACTACAGGTGCCCACCCCCACACCTGGCTAATTTTTGTATTTTTAGTAGACACGGGGTTTCACCATGTTGGCCAGGCTGGTCTCAAACTTCTAATCTCAAGTGATCCACCTGCCTCGGCCTCCCAAAGGGCTGGGATTATAGGCATGAGCCACTAGGCCCGGCCTGAGGAGACTATTACTGGCAGAGGCACACTGCAGAGACCTTGAGGTATCGGGATAGGGTTTAGAACAAAGAGATGCCAGTGGCTGGCACAGAGCAAGAGTGATGTAAATTTGGAGAGAAAACCTAGAGCCAGATCATGCAGGTTCTTGGAGGATGAGGTAAAGAATTTGTATATAATTCCAAGAGCAATGAAAAGCTGTTAAATTATTTTAAGCAGTAGAGTGATATGATCTGATTTACATTTTTCAAAGCTGGAGGGACTGTAGAGAGGTGTCAGGGGAGGCAGGGAACTAGGTAGAAGGCCATTAATAGGAACAAGAGATGGTGGCTTGGACTAGGTGGCAGCAGTAGACATGAGGCAGAGTGGACGAATTTAGTTATGTTTTGGACGCTGTTCACAGTATCTGGATTTTAGGGATTGCAATAAAGGGAAGGATGAAGGATGATTTTGGCTTGAGCACCTGAGAATACCGGCAACAAACAGGTTTTCTTTTTTTTTTTTTTTTTTTTGAGATGGAGTCTTCTCTGTCACCCAGGCTGGAGTGCAATGGCGCAATCTCAGCTCACTGCAACCTCCACCTCCCGGGTTTAAGCAGTTCTCTTGCCTTAGCCTCTGGAGTAGCTGGGATTACAGGCGCGTGCCACCATGCCCTGTTATTTTTTTATTTTATTTTATTTTTATTTTTTTGTATTTTTGGTAGAGACGGGGTTTCAGCATGTTGGCCAGGCTGGTCTGGAACTCCTGACCTCGTGATCCGCCCCCCTCGGCCTCCCAAACTGCTGGGATTACAGGGGTGAGCCACTGCACCTGGCCACAAACAGGTTTTCTAGGGTTGGAAATTGAGAGCTATGATTTGGACATTCACCTGCAGCTGTCAGGTTGGCGCTTGGGTGTGAGTCTGGTGGTCAGTTGAAAGGTCAGGGTTGGAGATAGAAATTTGGAAAATCATCAGCACATAGAAGCCTTTTTTTTTTTTTTTTGAGACAGAGTCTCACTCTGTCACCCAGGCTGGAGTGCAGTGGCGTGATCTTGGCTTACTGCAAGCTCCACTTCCCGGGTTCACACCATTCTCCCACCTCAGCCTCCCAAATAGCTAGGGCTACAGGTGCCCGCCACCACGCCTGGCTAATTTTGTTTTTGTATTTTTAGTAGATATGGGGTTTCACCGTGTTAGCCAGGATGGTCTCTATCTCCCGACCTCGTGATCTGCCTGCCTTGGCCTCCCAAAGTGCTGGGATTACAGGCGTGAGCCACTGTGCCCGGCCTCATAAATGCTTTTTAAAGCCATGGGACTGGATATAACTAAGGATATAGTGAAGTTAAATTAAAAGAGGCCTGGAACAAAGCCCTGGGACATTCAGCACTTGGAGGTTGGAAGGGGAAGATGAGATAGTAAAGGAGACTGAGGTAAATATGACTAATGAGGTAGGAAGGAGTCCACGTTTGTAATGGAAGCCAAGACAAGGAAGGGTTTCTGCAGTGGATTATACATATTACCTCATTTTATTCTCATAACAGCCTGTGGAGGGTATTTAAGAAAACCAAGGTAAGTGTGTCTAAGTAACTTGCTCAAAAATACTCAGCTTGCAGGGCACAGTGGCTCACGCCTGTAATCCCAGCACTTTGGAAGGCCAACGCAGGAGGATCGCTTGAGCCCAGGAGTTTGAGACCAGCTTGGTAAGATAGTGAGACTCTGTCTCTACAAAACAAACAAACAAAGAATACTGAGCTGGTAAGCCCAGGCTCTTAACTGCTCAGCATATTTCTCAAAGAAAGGTGAGCCCAGTCTTGCTGATGTGTTAAAAGGTTAAGTGAGACAATTATAGCGAGTTGGATTTTGCTACACAGACATTGCTGATGTTGCTCAGAACCAACAGTGGTAAACTGGCAGAAATAAAATCCTGATCTGAGTGGGTTGAACTGTAAAGAGGAGGTGAGGACAAGCAAATAGACACTGTAGGTAACCTGGAGAACCTTTCTTGCCAAAGAGAACTAAAGTAAGGTGAGGCCATGTGCAGTGGCTCATGCCTGTAATCCCAGCACTTTGGGAGGCCGAGGCAGGCGGATCACCTGAGGTCAGGAGTTCAAAATCAGCCTGGCCAACGTGGTGAAACCCTGTCTCTACTAAAAATACAAAAATTAGCCGGGCGTGGTGGCGCATGCCTGTAGTCCCAGGTACTCGGGAGGCTGAGGCAGGAGAATTGCTTGAACCTGGGAGGCAGAGGTTGCAGTGAGCTGAGATCGCACCACTGCACTCCAGCCTTTTTTCAAAAAGAAATGAGGTGAAAGCTCGGGAATGTGGGTCAAGAGACATTTATTTGTTTTTACTTTGTTTTTTAGGTGGGGGGAATCAGATCCTGTTTGTATGCTTATGGAATTATCCAGAAGTAAAAGGGGTGAATGATGTAGAGGAGAAGGAAGGGATAACTGTGCCATCTTTGAAAAGGCAACTGGAAATGGGATCCAGAGTAAAGTGGAGAGAACCAGGGAAGATTCCATTAAACTGGACCAGAAGCTTGAAAGAAGAGAAGTGGCTTAGTAAACAAGGAACAAACTAGCTAAGTAGAAAGGGGACTTTTAAAATTTAATTTTTATTTCAATAGGCTTTTGGGAACAGGTGGTGTTGGATTATATGAATAAGTTCTTTATTGGTGGTATCTGATATTTTGGTGCACCCATCACCTGAGCAGTATACACTGTAAACCAATGTGTAGTCTTTTATTCCTCACCCCCACCCCCCGCCTTTCCCCTGAGTCCCCAAAGTCCACTGTATCATTCTTATGCCTTTGTGTCCTCATAGCGCAGCTCCCACTTATGAGTGAGAACATAAGCTGTTTGGTGTTTCCATTCCTGAGTTACTTCACTTAGAATAATAGTCTCCAATTCCATCCAGGTTGCAGTGAGTGCCATTATTTCATTCCTTGTTACGGCTGAGTAGTATTCCATGGTATATATACCACATTTGCTTTATCCACTTGTTGATTGATGGGCATTTGGGCTGGTTCCATATTTTTGCAATTGCAAATTGTGCTGCTATGAACATGCGTGTGCAAGTGTCTTTTTCGTGTAACGACTTTTTTTTTTGAGATGGAGTCTTGCTCTGTCGCCCAGGCTGGAATGCAGTGGCGTGATCTCGGCTCACTGCAACTTCTGCCTCCTGGGTTCAAGCGATTCTCCTGCTTCAGCTTCCCGAGTAGCTGGGATTACAGACGTGTGCCACCACGTCCAGCTAATTTTTGTATTTTTAGTAGAGTTGGGGTTTCACCATGTTGGCCAGGCTGGTCTTGAACTCCCGACCTCATTATCCGCCCGCCTCAGCCTCCTAAAGTGCTGGGATTAAAGGCATGAGCCACTGTGCCTGGCCTTCATATAATGACTTCTTTTCCTCTGGGTAGATACCCAGTAGTGGAATTGCTGGATCAAATGGTAGTTCTAGTTTTAGTTCTTTAAGGAGTCTTCAGAAAGGGGACTTTTTGAAGAGATACAATGGGCAAGCACTAGGACATCCAAGGATAGGAAATAAAGTGCAGCTGGCTGGGTACAGGGATGTGTGCCTGTAGTCGCAGATACTTGGGAGGCTGAGGCAGGAGGATTGCTTGAGTCCAGGAGTTCTGGTTTATTTTTTATTTTTATATATGAAAATTTTCAAACAAAATAAATTGCAACTGACCCTGCCAGAACCCAAGCTAGAAAATCACTAACCAAAGCCATCTTTTGCCTCTTGTGGTGTGCCATGGTCTATTTCTCCTGTCTCTGAGTATATATGTTGCATTCTTTTGCTTCTCAGTGTATTCATGGCTTTTCTCTTTGTTCTAACCGCTGCTTTTCTGTGGCATTGGCTGGTCAGCTCCAGCCCCTTTTGACTTTTCAGTCCCAGTCCCCACCGTCATCCAACTGACCCAGTCTCTCTGGGTCCTAGCTTGGGTGAGTCCATTCCATTCTTGATCCCATCAGCTCTGGCCAGAGGCAGGGGAGTCACCTTGTAAGTACTTAGGGTTGTCCTTTGAGAAAGACATGTGTTTGGAGAGGCAGTGACCGGCATGTTTACTACAAGTAGGAACTTTTTTTTTTGTAAGTTTTTAAATTATTATTTTTTAAATTTATTATCATTTTTTGAGACTCGCTCTGTCGCCCAGGCTGGAGTACAGTGGCGTGATCTTGGCTCACTGCAAGCTCTGCCTCCCAGGTTCAAGTGATTCTCCTGCCTCAGACTCCTGAGTAGCTGGGCTTACATGCATGGACCACCACACCCAGCTAACTTTTATATTTCTAGTAGAGACGGGGTTTGACCATGTTGGTCAGGCTGGTCTTGAACTCCTGTCCTCATGATCCACCCGCCTCGGCCTCCAAAGTGCTGGGATTACAGGCATGAGCCACTGCGCCCAGCTACTGATAGTCTAATTTCAGATCAGTAGGTCTCTGAATTGTGTCCTGCGTTGTCAGAATTAATTAATTAATCTATTTATTATGGAGTTTCACTCTTGTCTCCCAGGCTGGAGTGCAGTGGCGTGATCTTGGCTCACTGCAACCTCCGCCTCCTGGGTTCAAGCAATTCTTCTGCCTCATCCTCCTGAGTGGCTGGGATTACAGGTGCCCGCTACCACGCCTGGCTAATTTTTGTATTTTTAGTAGAGACGGGGTTTTTTCGCCAAGTTGGCCAGGCTGATCTCTAACTCCTGACCTCCAGTGATATGCCCACCGCAGCCTTCCAAAGTGTTGGGATTACAGGCGTGAGCCACTTGCCCAGCCTACTGTTGACATTTGTTCCTAAGAAGTGTGGAAAGAACTGAGAAGTAGTAGGGGCAAGATGTTTACTCTTTCCTTTTTTAAGAAATAATTTATCTGCTATTATAGGTCATATTTATATGAGATGTGTTTGCCTCATATAAATCAGACAATTGTTGGAAGTGGATAGGGAGAAACAGCAAGTTTTACTTGAAAACAATCTTAAAAAATGAAAATATCTTGTTAGATTCTAAGACTAAATAATTTAGAACCTAGCTTTAACTCAAAACTACATTTTAGAAAGCTATATTTAAGAAAGACTTGGAATTTTTTTTTTTTTTTTTTAGACAGTCTTGCTTTGTTGCCAAGGCTGGAGTGTAGTCCCAGAATCTTGGCTCACTGCAACCTCCGCCTCCTGGGTTCAAGCTATTCTCCTGCCTCAGCCTCTGAAGTAGCTGGGATTATAGGCATGTGCCACAATGCTGGGCTAACTTTTGTATTTTTAGTAGAGACTGGGTCTCACCACGTTGTCCAGGCTGGTCTTGAACTCCTGACCTCAGGTGATCCGTCCACCTTGGCCTCCCAAAATGCTAGGATTACAGGCATGAGCCACCACGCCTGGCCAAGACTTGGAAATTTTAAGATAGTAAACTTAAGAGTTAAAACGTACATTTCCAATGAATAGTTAATTAGAAAAGTTTATTATAAAGCAGTCATTTTTTTCTAATTGTTAAAAGTGATATATTCTGACCACAAAAAACTTGGAAATAAAAGCATAAGGATGCAGGAAGAAACCACTATAACCTTATCACTGAGAAATATAAAATGATATAGTTTAATATTTTTTACATTATAACATTATAAATATTTATATTACAGGAAATAAGATATGTGGAACGGAGTTATGTATCAAAACCCACTTTGAAGGTAAGTAATTTAAATTGTGCTTTAAAATTTCCAGAATTTAAAGGAAATGTCAATAAAAATGCATATACTTATGATTTGGATACATGTGAAAGTCAAAGCAGGATTATGTAACAGTTAGGAATAGCTAACTATTCAAATATTCAGTTAAAGTAGATGACTATAATAGAAAAACATGTCAGTTAGTCTCTGCCAATGTTTGTTGCTTCCTTATAGTCTGCTACAAAACAACATTCCCTCTAGAACTGGGCAGTGTTCTTCTTTTACTCACAGGGACTCGCATTGTATTGTGTGTGGTACAAGCAGAGACTGTATAGAAGATCCTAGAAGAGAGGGAGTGGACCAGTTGGGAATTAGACAAGGAGGGCCATTACAGCATCTCCTAGGACCTTCTGAAGAGTCTCTGTTTTGTAAGGGTCACTAAAGTGACTTAGTTAAGATCTTCTATCAAAATCTAAGCAACCATTCTGTTATTTATCTCTAAACTTAATAGGAGATTGTGGAAGACAAGTGTAAGGAGAGAACTGTCACAGTGCTGTTTTATAGTATTCAAGAGAGCTTTTATCTTCTTTTGCTTAAAGTTCATATTATTGTCTTACTGTTTAAGAAATTATGGCTCTGGGCCGGGTGCGGTGGCTCACACCTGTAATCCCAGCACTTTGGGAGGCCGAGGCAGGTGGATCACGAGGTCAGGAGATCGAGACCATCCTGGCTAACACGGTGAAACCCCATCTCCACTAAAAATACAAAAAATTAGGTGGGCATGGTGGCAGGCACCTGTAGTCCCAGCTACTCGGGAGGCTGAGGCAGGAGAATGGCGTGAATCCGGGAGGCGGAGCTTGCAGTGAGTTGAGATCACGTGCCTGCACTCTAGCCTGGGCAACAGAGCAAAACTCCATCTCAAAAAAAAAAAAAAAAAAAAAAAAAAAAGAAAAAAGAAATTATGGCTCTGGCTGGGCACAGTGGTTCATGCCTGTGATCCCAGCACTTTGGGAGGCCAAAGTGCGTGGATCACCTGAGGTTAGGAGTTCAAGACCAGCCTGGCCAACATGGCAAAACCCCATCTCTATTAAAAATACAAAAATTAGCCGGGTGTGGTTGCAGATGCCTGTAATCCCAACTACTCAGGAGGCTGAGGCAGGAGAATCACTTGAACCCGGGAGGCAGAGGTTGCAGTCAGCCAAGATCATACCACTGCACTCCAGCCTGGGTGACACAGTGAGACTCCATCTCAAATTACATATAAAAAAAGAAATTCTGGCCCTGGCTCTGTCCTAGTTAAGTGGTATTGCCCCACCTAGGATACAGGTCTTGATTCCTAGCCAGAGTTCCTTTCAGTAAGGGACCCTCTTAGAGTTGTTTATTATGCAGTTAACAAGAGTAAAGTGGCTGAGTGTGGTGGCTCATACCCTTAATCCTAGCACTTTGGTAGGCTGAGGCAGAAGGATTGCTTGAGCTGAGGAGTTTGAGCTGCAATGAGCTATGATTGTGCCACTGCATTCCAGCCTGGGCAGCTGAGCAAGACCCTGTCTCAAAAACAAAAATACAAAAACAAACAAAAAAACAAGGTACAGTGATCATTTCTTGAATTTTGACTGAGGAATAGAAAGGAAACTTAAGCTTCTGTCCTCAAACCTCCTGTAGAGAACTGGGAAGGATCTACATCTGTTTTAGAGTTGGTTTCTATAAGGTCTTAAATCATAAAGCACTAGCATTGAACTGATTATCTTGACAGCTGTTCAACTATTGAGATTAATTTTTGATGACTCATTCATAGAAGTGTTTTTTTGATAATATATTTATGTTTATTTAATGAAATACGATTTGGGTAAAATACCTATAATTTTTACCATCTTGTGTCTTGCCAGGAAGTGGTCATAGTAAGTGCTACAAGAACACCCATTGGATCTTTTTTAGGCAGCCTTTCCTTGCTGCCAGCCACTAAGCTTGGTTCCATTGCAATTCAGGGAGCCATTGAAAAGGCAGGTCAGTAGTTACTTGGCTTTTTGTGTTAAGGGAGCAAAAAGATTCCATGGAAAAGATATTTATTTTGCATTAACTATGTATGTAACACTTAGAAATAACTTAATGCCTACATTTCTGCTTTCCCTTGTAAAGAAGTCTTTGTACTATACAGTTTAGATTGAAACTCAAAACTGACAAAAAAAAGAAACCATTCCTATTGTGTAATGTCACCTACCTTATTAGGTAATCACTGATTATTAAATTGAATTAAATGCCTTTTTGACTTTTTTTTTTTTTAATAAAGGGATTCCAAAAGAAGAAGTGAAAGAAGCATACATGGGTAATGTTCTACAAGGAGGTGAAGGACAAGCTCCTACAAGGCAGGCAGTATTGGGTGCAGGTACCTGGAAGACTTTTTTGCTTTTATACTTAAAATGTGTAAAAGGGGCCGGGTGCGGTGGCTCATGCCTGTAATCCCAGCACTTTGGGAGGCCGAGGCAGGCGGATCACGAGGTCAAGAGATGGAGACCATCCTGGCCAACATGGTGAAACCCCGTCTCTACTAAAAATACAAAAATTAGCCAGGTGTGGTGGTGCACTAATCCCAGCTACTTGGGAGGCTGAGGCAGGAGCATCGCTTGAACCCAGGAGGCGGAGGTTGCAGTGAGCCAAGATTGCACCATTGCACTCCAACCTGGGCGACAGAGTGAGATTCTGTCTGAAAGAAAAAAAAAAAAAAAAAAAAAAGGCTGGGCATGGTAGCTCACGCCTGTAATCCTAGCACTTTGGGAGGCCGAGGCGGGTGGATCACGAGGTCAGGAGATTGAGACCATCCTGGCTAACACAGCGAAACCCTGTCTCTACTAAAAATACAAAAAATTAGTTGGGCGTGGTGGCCAGCACCTGTAGTCCCAGCTACTCCGGAGGCTGAGGCAGGAGAATGGCGTGAACCCAGGAGGTGGAGCTTGCAGTGAGCCCAGATCGCGCCACTGCACGCCAGCTTGGGGGACAGAGTGAGACTCCGTCTCAAAAAAAAAAAAAAAAAAAAAAAAGTATAAAATGGCAAAATGAAGGTTATTTAAGCTTAAATGAAATATTAAATGCATGATATAATTTGTAGTTATATTGGCAGAAGAAATGTTGTAGTTTATAGTAACATGCTCTATTAAGTTCTGCAGTTGTGTTTGAGTATCGGTTTTTCAAAAGTGACTTATATTGGTTTTAGGCTTACCTATTTCTACTCCATGTACCACCATAAACAAAGTTTGTGCTTCAGGAATGAAAGCCATCATGATGGCCTCTCAAAGTCTTATGTGTGGACATCAGGTAAGAAACACCGTCCTTCCCATTTATTAATCAGAGTAATACCTAGGGCTAAAAGACACAAAAATCTAGGCATATTCATATTTTAGAAATGAGATTCTTTCTCATAAGTTAGTATGTTTTCTCACATGCTCAAGAGTGTCTGGATTTGCTAAGTCCATTTGAAGTATGGTCAAAATGATAGCGTAGGCTGGGTATCATGTCTGTAAGCACTTTGGAAGGTCGAGGCAGGAGGATCCCAGGAGTTTGAGACCAGCGTAGGCAACATAGCAAGCGAGACTCTGCTCTTTGAAAAAAAAAAAAGCCTAAGTGTCTTGTGTTACAAAGTTGTTTTTAGGCCCAGGCACAGTGGCTCACTCCTATAATCCCAGCACTTTGGGAGGCTGAGGCTGGGGGCAGATCACATGGTGAAACCCCGTCTCTACTAAAAATACAAAAATTAGCTGGGCGTGGTGGCAGGTGCCTGTAATTCCAGCTACTCGGGAAGCTGAGGCACAAGAGTCACTTGCATCTGGGAGGCAGAGATTGCAGTGAGCTGAGATTGTACCACTGCACTCCAACCTGGGAGATAGAGCAAGACTCTCAAAAAAAAAAAATTGTTTTTAGTCAAGGCATTTGGGTCTTTCTCTGAGGCTGGGTGACTAAAAATTCATAAATACTGTATTTGCCAGAATAAGACAGGTTTTCATTATAAAGGAGAACACGGTGCTTAACCCTGGGAATCAAATCATTGCTTGAGCCCAGGCTTGATGACTAATTTGTAGTCATTAAGTTAAGTTCTACAGGCTTTCTAATTAGCCTTGCTGATCTATATCTTGTCTTTACTTGAGATCAAGCAAGAGACAGGCTCCTTAGCAAAAATATGCTGTCATGTCAGGAGGTGAGACCTGGACACACAGAAGAATCAAGATTCTCTCAGATCTGAGCCCTTCATTTTTCAGATGAAGATTTTTTTCAGTGTGTCTGAGACAGCCACAGAGTTACAGGGCTGAGCATCTGCCATGTGACAGTCATTGGAAATAGAGTGGTGAACAAAACATTTAAAAAAATCTGTACATGTGCAGGTCTCTGTTGGAAAAATGCCTAAAAGAAATGCTGAGTCAGGATTTGAACATTTTGGTATTTGCAAATGCTTTCCATAAAAGTTGTACCAGTTAGACTTTCCAAAAATTGTGTGACTTGTCTGGATCTGCACCACCACTGGGTGGTACCAAACCCTTGTCAAACTGGTAGGTGAAAAACGGTCACCAGATTTAGTTTCAGAACTGTTTGTCATGGAAAGTTTTGTCTTAATTGAAGTATTGTGGTTCTCTAGCAAATGCCATTTGTACTATATTGAAATACTTTCATTTAATATTATTTTATTCATTTGTGGATATATACAGTGACTTATAGGCATTCTTGGAAGTGCTTTGTTTTGAATATTTATGACCTTAGAAAACAGTCAGTTTTACTTTATAATGAAGAATTGATACCTTATTTTCTGTCACTTATTATTGCCATCACCCCCAGTAAAAAGTACAAGTGAATAAAACTTAGATGAGAACTGATTAAGAATTTCTCTATTTCGGAATAGGCAAAATATTTATGTTTCTTTGGTATAGAGCTTGCTTGTCTGTATGCCTGATTAAAGACTGTAAGAAGATATTATTGGCTTTATGTTTACATTAATGTTTTATATTAAACTGTTTTTAACTAGCCCTTATAATGCAAGTGATTTTTTTTTGTTGACTTGTAAAGTAGTAACAAGTTGATTAATATTTATTAAACTTATATATGCCAGTTGCCAAGGATGTAAAAATATGACAGGGTGTCTGGCCTCAAAGGAGCATAGTCTAGTGGGAAGACTTGACATGTAAACATATAATAATATTAAAAGCATTGCATAGTAATTGGGGAACACAAAGGAGGAGAAACTGTTTCAAGAAAGGATAGAAATAAATGGTCAAGGCAGACATGAAGTAGTGTTCTGATTAGTTTTAAGAGAAATGTAGGTGTTTTACATGTTGGTGGATGGGGAAAGTGCAGAGGTATGTGTGTGAAATGTGCATGGTGTCTCTGGAGAGCTTTAACTAGTTCCATGTGACCTGAGGTATAGGTTAGGCTGTGAGACTGAAAAAGGGGAGAGAAGGGATACTGTAAAGGCTTTATATATTATGCTGAGTTATCTAAGGTGCGAAATGATCAGACTTACATTCTAGCCAAAATGAGTCAGATGAGTGTTGATGATGCTTTGGTGGAAAGGCTGCATGTCAGAAGATCAAGTGGAAAATTATCTCAGCTGTCCAGGAAGAGATGATGAGGATCTCAGTCAAGGAAGTATGATTATTTTCATGAACTGAGATTACTTCTAATCTTCTAGAGCACATTAAATTTTTAGCAGCATGAATGAAATGAAGGGTTAGAAGTTAAGAATTTCAGGCCAGTCATGGTGGCTCACACCTGTAATCCGAGCACTTTGGGAGGCTGAGGTGGGCGGATCGCTTGAGTCTGGGAGTTTGAGACCGGCCTGGGTGATATAGTGAAACCCCATCTCTACTAAAAATATTATACAAAAATTAGCTGGGTGTGATGGTGCATGCCTGTAGTCCCAGCTACTTGGGAGGCTGAGGTGGGAGGATCACTTGAGCCCAAAAGGCAGAGATTGCAGTGAGCTGAGATCGTGCCACTGCACTCCAGCCTGGGCAACAGCGAGACCTGTCTAAAAGAAAATTTAAGAATTTCAGAAGATGGTTTTACATGAAAGATTTCTGGTATTTTTTTTTTAAAGACAGAGTCTTGCTTTGTCACCCAGGCTGAAGTGCAGTGGTGCGATCTTGGCTCACTGCAAGCTCTGCCTCCCAGGTTCACGCCATTCTCTTGCCTCAGCCTCCCGAGTAGCTGGGACTACAGGCGTGTGCCACCAAACCCGGCTAATTTTTGTATTTTTAGTAGAGATGGGGTTTCACTGTTAGCCAGGATGGTCTCGATTTCCTGACCTCGTGATCAGCCCGCTTTGGCCTCCCAGAGTGCTGGGATTACAGGGGTGAGCCACCGTGCCCAGCCAGATTTCTGGTATTCTTATTAATGTCTGGTTGTGAACTTTTGAGACAGAGCCTTGCTGTCACCCAGGCTGGAGTGCAGTGGCACGATCTCAGCTCACTGCAATCTCCGCCTCTACTTTTTTTTTTTTTCTTTTGAGGAGTCTTGCTCTGCCCCCCAGGCTGGAGTGCAGTGGCACAATCTCAGCTCACAGCAACCTCTGCCTCCCAGGTTCAAGCAATCCTCCTGCCTTGGCCTCCCGAGTAGCTGGGATTAGAAGTGCCCACCACCACACCCAGCTAATTTTTGTATTTTTAGTAGAGACGGGGTTTCACCATGTTGGCCAGGCGGATCCAGAACTCCTGACCTCAAGTGATCCACCTGCCTCAGCCTTCTAAAGTGCTGGGATTACAGGTGTGAGCCACTGCACCCAGCCAACTTATTTCTCATTATATTATTTAACACCATTTCTTTTCATCAGGGTGAAGTGGTAAAGAGGGTACTTCCTGTATTCACTGTGTAACAAATGTTTAATAAATGCATGTAGAATACTTGTTTGGTGGTAGCTGTATAAAGGGTGTCATGGGTTTGCAAAATATTTGTATTAACATTGGGTTTTTCTGGTGTTTCTGCGCAGGATGTGATGGTGGCAGGTGGGATGGAGAGCATGTCCAATGTTCCATATGTAATGAACAGAGGATCAACACCATATGGTGGGGTAAAGCTTGAAGATTTGATTGTAAAAGACGGGCTAACTGATGTCTACAATAAAATTCATATGGTAAATGTGATTTTTAGTGGATAAATGCTATCTAATGTCCAATACTGTTTGATTTTTCTTACTCTATGTACTTTACAAACTGAACTGAAAGATGGGCTCTATAAATGTTGATTTTAGCCGTGTACTTTTGGAGAATATTTTTGTATGCCTATTGCATCGGCATGGCTCAGTCATTAAAGAAATTTTCCCACATTTAAATAGGGTAATTTCTGACGCTTAGCTGGCAACTGCTTGGCTAATTCAAGTATGTGAAGATAAGACATGAGTGGCTGGGTGCGGTGGCTCTGGCCTGTAATCCCAGCACTTTGGGAGGCCGAGGCAGGTGGATCACCTGGGGTCAGGAGTTTGAGACCGGCTTGGCCAATGTGGTGAGACCCTGTCTCTATTAAAAATACAAAAAAATTAGCCAGGCGTGGTGGTGGTGTCTGTAATCCCAGCTACTCAGGAGGCTGAGGCAGGAGAATTGCTTGAACCCGGGAGGTGGAGGTTGCATTGAGCCAAGATTGCACCACTGCACTCCAGCCTGGGTGACAAGAGTCAAACTCCGTCTCAAAAAAAGACATGAGTGAAAAGTGACCTGGTATAGAAAGAAATATATATGTGTGTGTGTATATATATATGTTATTATTATTTTTTTGAAATGGTGTCTTGCTCTGTTGCCCAGGCTGGAGTGCAGTGGCACAGTCTTAGCTCACTGCAGCCTCCGCCTCCTGGGCTCAAGCAATTCTCCTGCCTCAGGCTCCCGAGTAGCTGGGACTACAGGCACGTGCCCCCATGCCCGGCTAATTTTTAGTAGAGACGGGGTTTCACCATGTTGGCCAGGATGGTCTTGATCTCCTGACCTCATGATCTGCCTGCCTTGGCCCCCCAAAGTGCTGGGATTACAGGCATGAGCCACCACCTCCGGCCTAAGAAATATATTTTAAGAAACGTTAACTATTAAACACTATAAGTTAGGCAAAGTTAATAGATATTTTCTAAATTATGCAAAGTTAACTTTAAAATATTTCAACTTTTTATCAGGGCAGCTGTGCTGAGAATACAGCAAAGAAGCTGAATATTGCACGAAATGAACAGGACGCTTATGCTATTAATTCTTATACCAGAAGTAAAGCAGCATGGGAAGCTGGGAAATTTGGAAATGAAGTTATTCCTGTCACAGTTACAGTAAAAGGTAGAGATAATGTTCCAAAAAGGATGAATAGACTTTTCATGTTGCTGAATGTTTTATGCTTAAGTTTTAAATTAGGACATTATCTTGGTTCATTTCAACTGCTTATGGTTAATAAAAAGTGAAGAGTTGCCAGTTCAGAGAGAATATAAATCTACCCAACTTAATGTCAGATTTCAATCCATTTATAAGATCCCTGAGTATTACTTTAAATTTGAGAAATTTATTAGAACTTTTTCCTGTGACAGTCAATACGGTATTTTAAATTGAAAAGGGATTTACTAGAAGGTTACCGGGAGTGCCTCCAAGAACTGAAGGATGAACAGTAGCAACCATTCAGCTCTGGGAACTTCAGGGATTGGAACTGGGTGTTCACTACTACTAAGACATGCTCTCTTGGCTTCTCACACCTGCAGGCTTTTGTGCTTTATTCTCTCAGCCTTTCTAAAGTTGCTGCCTCTACCTCTAGGGTCACATATATAGGGTTCTCAAAAAGGAGAGACTTTCTCACCAGTTCCAGCAGAATAAATCCACAATGAAGACTCATTAACTTGCTTTAGGTTACAATTCTATTCCAGGAATGATTACTGTGCTCTAGGTGACAGAATACTAGAGCTTATCTAGTGTAGGTCAGACAGCTGCCTCTGGGGTCAGGAGAGTGGGGTCTGTGATCATAGAAGGGAGTTGAGGAAGAAAAGGGGACATGGAGGTGTAGAAGATTTAAATTTTGTGGCTGGGTGCAGTGGCTCACACCTGTAATCCCAACACTTTGGGAGGCCGAGGTGGGAGGATTGCTTGAGCCCAGGAGTTTGAGACCAGCCTGGGCAACGAAGTGAGACTTGGCCTCCACACAAAAAAATTAAAAATTAGCTGGGTATAGCAGCACACGCCTGTAGTCCCAGCTACTAGGGAATCCAAGGCAGGAGGATCAATTGAGCCCAGGAGTCCGAGGCTGCAGTGAGCTAGGTTTGTAGCATTGCACTCTATTGGGAGACTGTGCAAGACCATTTCAAACAAACAAAATTAGCTGGCTGTGGTGGCTCCCACCTGTAGTCCCAGCTACTTGGGAGGCTGAGGTGGGAGGATCACATGGGCCTGGAGAGGATGAGGTAAACTGTGATCATGCCAGCCTAAGCAGGAGAGGGAAACCCTGCCTCAAAAAAAAAAAAAAAAAAAAAAAAAATTGTGAAGCTACTTTGTAAGTTTCTCTTTTTAAGATGGTAACATAATAGAGGTTATAGTTAACAGATTCTAGATGAGTGTTTACTTGGGATGGTTTAAGTGAAGCAGGGATACAAAGGGAGGCACAGACTACTAGGCATCTTGTACAACAGTTGCTTGCTGAATGACTACTTGTTTTGAGCGATTTTACTTAAAATATTTTTATTTTAGGTCAACCAGATGTAGTGGTGAAAGAAGATGAAGAATATAAACGTGTTGATTTTAGCAAAGTTCCAAAGCTGAAGACAGTTTTCCAGAAAGAAAATGGTTAGTGTTAAGAAATGAAGCATAAGAAAAAATTGAGCCAGTATACCATATCTAGTTCTTAGAATTGCCTAAGGATTTTGAAAAATTCTAGAAAACATCTAGATGTTATTTAACATTTTCAGTATATCAGGCTCATGTAAAATTGTTTTGGTAGTTTATACCTTCAATATATAAATCCCAGGGAAGATATGTATAACATGACTATAGAATTCAGTTTTTCATATGTAGCAGTCTATGATAGGGTCTTCATTGGCATTGAAAAAAACAGATTTATTGATATAATTTATATACCATAATAACATTCTTCTATTTAAAGTGGTTTGGTAGTTTTTAACATTCATTTATATTTATCTCCAGGTGATTCTAGATAAGAATAAATATCTGATTTGAAAAATATGTAGTGAGTACCTGCTATATATTGAATAAGGAAAGTTAGACCCTGGAGACAAAAATATTAACTGGTCCCTATGTTTCAAGAGTTGTAGACGAGCATTTATCCAGTGCCATCATGCATGTTTGTGATGTTTGAGAAAACTGTTTTATGTACACAAAAAGGCATTCTTACATTGTCTTGCAGTTAGCTGTGTACATGTTTCCTGAGGGCAGGAATTGTCTCCACCCATATTTGTAATTTCTTTAAACATTTAGCAGCCCAGGCAATAGGTATTTGTTGAATTGAACCAAATACATTTATTGTGAAGGAATGTTTTGACTTCAACCTCATTTTTGCTTTCAGGCACAGTAACAGCTGCCAATGCCAGTACACTGAATGATGGAGCAGCTGCTCTGGTTCTCATGACGGCAGATGCAGCGAAGAGGCTCAATGTTACACCACTGGCAAGAATAGTAGGTAAGGCCAGGCGAGGTGGCTCACACCTGTAATCCCAGCACTTTCGGAGGTTGAGGTGGGAGGATTGCTTGAGCCCCGGAGTTCGAAATCAGCCTGGGCAATATAGTGAGACTTCGTCTCTACAAAAAGTTAAAAAATTAGCTGAGCATGGTGGCATGTGCCTGTACTACCATCTACTCGGGAAGCTGAGGTGGGAGGATGCCTTGAGCCCAGGAGTTTGAGGTTGCAGTGAACTGAGATTGTACCACTGCACTCCAGCCTGGGTGACAGAGCGAGACCCTGTCTTAAAAAAAAATAAGGTTTCTAAACATCTATAAGCTCTTCATGAAATTGAGTTTACTTGTTAGATATAGCCAACTCCAATATTAAGTATTACTACCTAGGTTGTACTTGTGGCAGAATTTAATTGATACATATTTCAATTGAGATAGAAGCTCCTTTAATATTTTCATTATACTTTATATAAGATTAAGCTTTAAGGGCTGGGCACAGTGGTTCACGCCTGTAACCCCAGCATTTTGGGAGGATAAGGCAGGATTGCTTGAGGCCTGGAGTTTGAGACCAGCCTGGGCAACACAGTGAGACCCCACCTCTGAAAGAAAAAAATTAGCCAGGTGTGGTAGCATGCCTGTAGTCCCAGTTACGTAGGAGGCTAAGGCTGACGATCATTTGAGCCCAAGATGTCAAAGCTGCAGCCAGCCTAGGCAACAGAGCAAGATCTTGTCTCTTTTTCTTTTTTTTTAAATTAAGCTTTAAAAAACTTCCTGTCCTGTATGATAAATAGCAGAAAATAAAGTACATGCATTTTCCTACAGAGGCAGCTATGTAGGAAAAAAAGAATATGGGATTAGGAGTCCAGAAATACAAAATTTACATGTGTGGTGTTTTAGTATTTATTAACTCTGTGGCCTTGGGCAAGTTCTCAATGTCCTTAAGCCGATTTTTAGCTGCAGAAATCTGTCTTGCCTTCTTCCTAAGGACTTAACAGATGCTATTTTGTTACTTTATAAAAAGCCTTATAACTTCATTTTTTTTCTTAGCTTAGATCATGGTTTCTTAACCTCAGCACTATTGACTTTTGCACTAAGTAATTCTTTGTTGTAGGGACTGTTCTATGCATTGTAGATGTTTAGCAGAATCCTTAGTCTTTACCCAGTGGCATCTGAACTATTCTGACAACCAAAAACATCTCTAGGTGGTGCCAATGTTCCTAGAGGCAAATACCCCCAAACTCCCCCCCAATGAAAATCAGTGTCTTAGATTACTGGAGTAATTTTATAAAGTGTAGAATCCTAGAAAAGGAAGACATATATTTACATATATTAAAGGGGCTAGGAAATGTGCATTTAATGGGCTAAACTTGGCTTGTGCATATTCTATACAGTAAAAAAAAAAAGATTTTAACAACCCCCCCCCCCCTTTTTTTAAACAGCATTTGCTGACGCTGCTGTAGAACCTATTGATTTTCCAATTGCTCCTGTATATGCTGCATCTATGGTGAGAACAAAGTGAGGGGCGATACTCCATTATGCTAGCTTCTGGTTTGCTTATACCAAGGTTGCAGTTTTTAAGATTTTAAATGTTATCTGCCAAAGCAGAGAGATAGCTTGGTTTCAAATCTTCCCATGTCTTCTCCTGAAAAGAGTAAGAGCAACAAGGATAACAAACAAAAAAAAAAAAATAAAGAACAGCTCACAAACTACATCTTCAGTAGAACAGGTAAAACTACACATCTGAATTACTTGTAAGTATCATACAGAACTCACACACCTGGTGTGGTAACCACAAAGCGGAGGGAATGCTGGCTGATGGTTCCAGATCTAGAATGGAAAGCAACTAGTCACTCCCCAGGAGAGGACTCCATTCTGAAAGGGAACAGCTGGCAGCAGGTCTTCAGAGTAAATAGTAAAACTAGAGACAGAAAACCTACATATTCCAAATTGTCAGTAAGGGCTATCCAAGTCTCAGTGGGAAATTGCTAAGCAGTCACAGGAAAAGAAAGTTTTAGGGGTTCAGGGTTCTTAGAAATCTTAAGTAAATATTTCCTTTTGAGAGGGCCTCACCCTGACAGTAAACTTCTGTAAGCACCCAGATAAAAAAAATTGCAGAATTTTAGTAAAATCAGATTCTCCCCACTGCCCCCAACCCCCGCAATGAAAAAAAAAACTGCAGAATCAGTAGGAAACAAGAATAGAGAAGATCAGAAACAAGGGGCCAGTGGAGTGATGATCTGCTCAGAGCTAGCAGATCTCAGAAAATGAAAGGAACACGCAGCTTCTGAAAGTGAGTAACATCACGTTGGAAAGCAAGGGTAATAAACAATTCTGGATTCTGAAGGTAGAATAACTTCTGAGAGCTACAGACATAGCTATATATGGGTACCATATTTTGTTTTGTGTTGTTGGAACAGTGGAAGCTGTTTGAGCTGTATAGGCTAGAAAGCTACCCTTAGTCCACTAGTAGAAGAGAGGAAGATGGAGGAAGAGTTCCACGTTAATTTTATTATCGCTCACAACAATCAAATTTCTTCTGTAAAGAAAAAGGGCACTCACTAGTAATGTTTTAGGGCACTCACTAGTAATGTTTTAAAAAGTATTAGCATAGGGATAATCACTGGCACAAATACACCTTCCTGCATAGCTGAGGAACTACCAAAACAAAACAGATCATATAGTGTAAGATTTTAAATAAATGACTTACAATGAAACTGCAACAGATGTAAATATCTGTGGCCCAGATAACCCTACAGTAACATTTATAAAGCAGAAACTGCAGGGGATGCATTAATATCACTAATATTAGAAACTAATATACCTCTTTCATTAACAGTCAAGAACATAGAAATGGCTGGGTGCAGTGGCGCTCGCCTGTAATCCCAGCGCTTTGGGAGGCAGATCGCTTGAGCCTGGGAGGTCAAGGCTGCAGTGGGCCATGACTGTGCCATTCCACTTCAGCCTGGGTGACAGAGCAAGACCCTGTCTCAAAATAAATCAACAACAACAAAAAAGAATATAGAACCAAGCAACACACAATCAGTAAAGCAGAGCTTAAGAATATATAAAGCATTATGTGCCCCTAAATAGAAAATGTACCTTTTCAAATATCTGTGGAAAGAAAATCAAATTTTCTGTCCCCTATGTCAAAACAGACATAATGCAAACAAAATTCTTTGATATAATGGAATAAGATGAGCAACTAAAAATCTGAAAATGGGCCGGGTGCGGTGGCTCACGCCTGTAATCCCAGCACTTTGGGAGGCTGAAGTGAGCAGATCACCTGAGGTCAGGAGTTTGAGACCAGCCTGGCCAAACATGGTGAAACCCTGTCTCTACTAAAAATACAAAAAATTAGCTGGGCATGGTGGTGGGCATCTGTAATCCCAGCTACTCAGGAGGCTGAGACAGGAGAACTGCTTGAACCTGGGAGGCAGAGGTTATAGTGAGCCAAGATGGCGCCATTGCACTCCAGCCTGGGAGACAGAGCAAGACTGTTGGAAAAAAAAAAAATCTGAAAATAGAGATCCTTCCATCTGAAACCAAGAACTTCCATATTTAAATAACTTATGTCAAACTGTAGTATTTCAAGGAAATGATGACAGTAAGTTGTGATTGCTAATTATTTGAACATCATCTGTCTTTTAAAAAATTTAAGGTTCTTAAAGATGTGGGATTGAAAAAAGAAGATATTGCAATGTGGGAAGTAAATGAAGCCTTTAGTCTGGTTGTACTAGCAAACATTAAAATGTTGGAGATTGATCCCCAAAAAGTGAATATCAATGGAGGAGCTGTTTCTCTGGGACATCCAATTGGGTAGGTAAAAATAATAACTATATCTAGGTTAAGAGCTGCCTTTGTGTTTCTAGCTAAACTTAAAACTGCTTCATAATTCCCATTGCTCTTAAGTTTTCCTTCCTACCCATCTTTCATAAGGCAAAAACCATTTCTGATAGATGGTATCCAATACTGAACAGAGACCTGTCACATCTGTTATTTGAAACCTAATAATGTTTTATGCTGAAGAAGAAAAAGTGTACATTTAGACTTTTTACCCCCTTTTTCTCCTTCCTATTTATTTCATTAGCTTTAGGGTACCGTGGGTTTTGGTTACATGGATGAATTTATAGTGGTGGGGGCTGATTTCAGTGCACCTGTCAGTCACCCAATATGTAGTTTATCCCACATCCCTCTTCCATTATACTCTACTCTTCTATCCATTATACTGTTCTGTACTTTTAAAAGATCTGTGACCTGGCCAGGCACGGTGGCTCACGCCTGTAATCCTAGCACTTTGGGAGGCTGAGGTGAACAGATCACGAGGTCAAGAGATAGAGGCCATCCTGGCCAACATGGCGAAACCCTGTCTCTACTAAAAATACGAAAATTAGCTGGGTGTGGTGGTGCACGCCTGTAGTCCCAGCTACTTGGGAGGCTGAGGCAGGAGAATCGCTTGAACCCAGGAGGTGGATGTTGCAGTGAGCTGAGATTCTGCCATTGCACTCCAGCCTGGCGACAGAGCGAGACTCCATCTCAAAAAATGATCTAAGATCTGTGACCCTTCCTGAAACAAGTCCTCCAAGTTTTAGTTTTAGAATAGTAGTAGTTAATTCAGCAAGTAGTAGTGGCTAGTAAGGTTTTCAAGAAGTTAAATTGGAATAGAAACATTTTGGTTAGTCATAAATTCTGTACTTCATTAAAGAAGTAAATGCTTTCTTAATTTTAGGATGTCTGGAGCCAGGATTGTTGGTCATTTGACTCATGCCTTGAAGCAAGGAGAATACGGTCTTGCCAGTATTTGCAATGGAGGAGGAGGTGCTTCTGCCATGCTAATTCAGAAGCTGTAGACAACCTCTGCTATTTAAGGAGACAACCCTATGTGACCAGAAGGCCTGCTGTAATCAGTGTGACTACTGTGGGTCAGCTTATATTCAGATAAGCTGTTTCATTTTTTATTATTTTCTATGTTAACTTTTAAAAATCAAAATGATGAAATCCCAAAACATTTTGAAATTAAAAATAAATTTCTTCTTCTGCTTTTTTCTTGGTAACCTTGAAAAGTTTGATACATTTTTGCATTCTGAGTCTATACTTATCGAAATATGGTAGAAATACCAATGTGTAATATTAGTGACTTACATAAGTAGCTAGAAGTTTCCATTTGTGAGAACACATTTATATTTTTGAGGATTGTTAAAGGTCAAGTGAATGCTCTTTATAGGTAATTTACATTTAGTAAATTACGGTAAATTAAATTACTTCTCTTTACAGTAAGAGTTGGCTATTCTGGACAAACTAGCAGTGCTTCATATAATCACTCAAACCACAGTGTGTGCAGCAGTACTAGAAACAAGACAGAAGCCCATGTCCTCAGGGTCTAGAGTGGGGGCAATTTCTTATAACCTCAACATTCAGGGTTGGGGGAGGTCAAGCAGAAAACCCTGGAGTTTGGGCTCTGAATTACTATAGCAGCATAGAGAGTGGGAAGGGAGGTAGAAACTGATATGCTGAATGGATATATAAAAAAGGGAACAGATCACCACTTCCAATACACGACAATGCCTGTTCTTAAGCAGGACAGACTGTAACAGAAGTATCTCGCATTGCATTTTATCTGGGAAAAAATTAATTAATTAAAACGCTACAGGCAGGGGCTATGCACACTACCCTCAATTGCAGCTCTGAAGAGGGAAAACTCCCCCTCAGGAAGAGGAGGGGGCAGTAAAGGTCATTGTGTACACATTATCTGTTGGCAAATAATGTATTGTAGATCTTTTGAAGGAGCAAAATGACAATATATGGGAGAAATAGATTAGATTGCTCTTCAGATTCAGAGGAAGAGTAGAGTATTTTCAAAAACATCTGTAATCATCACCAACTTTTGAGGCTTGTTATGTGCTTTATATGTATAAACTCATTTAATTGTCACAAAAACTTCTAAGAGTGGGTACCATTATTATCCCTCCTTTATAAACAAGGAAATTGAGGCATAGAGTAGCTAAATAAATTCCAAGGGCAAAAAGCTGGCTAGGATTCAACTCCAAGTTAGTCAAGCTCCAGAGCCCACGTTCTTAACTTACTATGCTTTAGTTAAATGCCTTTCAATAATTATCTGCCCCGACTTACAAAAACTTCTAACTGAACCAGGAGCTGGATAAGATATAGGAGAAAAGGAAACCCAAAACATGAGAATACTTCATTGAAGATAAGCAGAAACTAACATTGCATCCAAAGGTCATTGATCTGGAAAACATCTGAGAAGTGCTCTGACAATTCTGGGAAAAAATGGAAAAGAGAGAAGAAACAGAGAATCAAGTAAGTAGGTTTTTTAATTTGTTTTAAAGAGATAAGGTATTGCTCTGTCGCCTGGGCTGGAGTGCAGTGGCATGACCATAGCTCACTGTAACCTTGAACTCCTGGGTTCTCAAGTGATCTGCCTCCCTCAGCCTCCTGAGTAGTTAGGACTATAGGCACATGCTACCATGCACAGCTTAAATGGTGTTTCCTAAAAAAAAAAAAAAAGATACTCTGAAGCAATAATTTAATATAACAGAAAACATAAAGATAATAGAAAAACTCAGATTTTTAAGTCCTAAGGGGGAAGATTTTAAAGAGCATTTTTTTTTTTTCTTTTTTGAGACAGAGTTTTGCTTCGTAGCTCAGGCTGGAATGCAGTGGCACGATCTTGGCTCACTGCAACCTCCGCTCCCTGGGTTCAAGCGATTCTCGTGCCTCAGCCTCCTGAGTATACAGGCATGCGCCACCAAACCTAGCTATTTTATTTTCAGTAGAGAGAAGAGTTTTGCCATGTAGGCCTGGCTGGTCTCGAACTCCTGACTTCAGGTGATCCTTCTGCCTCGGCCTCCCGAAGTGCTGGGATTATAGGCATGAGCCACCACGCCCAGCCCTAAAGAGCATATTTTATTGGCAAAATTAATTAGCAGAAAATCATACTAAGACATTCTGGAGAAAATGTATTAAATTCCTCTAACATCTAGTTAGAAAAATAGGTAGCCACAGTTCTTATTTCTATTACATTCAATCCAAGAAAACAAGTGACAGGACATCTAACTGTTTTTAATGAAACAAAATAAGATACTAAAAGGTGTGTCTCAAACACAGAAAAGTTTAGAAAATAAAGTACTCTGATGTTTCCTCCAAAAATGACAAAGGTTTAGGCAAGCCCATGGAATGAAGAATTAAGAATTCAGTTAGGTGAAAGTTTCTAATTTTTTAAATGACTGCTTAAGGACTGGCTGGGGAAGAAGGAAAGGTAGTGGTTGAAGGAAATAAAAATGTTTTACCTCAAATTATATTTATTTGACATATTTTGAGATGGCTATCAGAGGGCCAGCAAACAGAAGTGGTGCTGCAAAGCTGTCTTTTTTGAAAGAAATCTGCGTCTATGGAGAATCTCCATTAATGCAGCCAGGACTTCCCTTGTCTGGAATCTAGAAAAGGTTAAATGAGAGCCTGTCTGACACCTTTAAAGGTCTTAAACATTTAACATCCATTCTCTCAGAAAGCTTCTAACAAGACCACCTTTCCTAGCCAGGTCTCCTTTCCCTACCCGTAACCTGTGTTGCCACTAAAACCTGATTTACCAAAATAACATGTTTTTGGCCATGCTGGGAGCTCACATTACTTCTGTAACCTGAAGATGGTATAAAGTTCCTACACCTGGCCGGACACAGGGGCTCATGTCTGTAATCCTGGCACTTTTGAGAGGCCCAGATGGGCAGCTCACCTGAGGTAAGAAGTTCGACAGCAGTCTGGCCAACATGGTGAAACCCTGTCTCTACTATAAATACAAAAATTAGCCGGTCGTGGTGGCGCATGCCTGTAGTCCCTGCAACTCAGGAGGCTGAGGTGGAAGAATCGCTTCAACCCAGGAGGCAGAGGTTGCAGTGAGCCAAGATCACACCATTGGACTCTAGCCTGGGCAACAGAGTGAGACTGTCTCAAAAAAAAAAAAAAAAAAAAGTTTCTACACCCCACTGGGGGCGGGGTCAGGTCTTTGTCTGAAGGCCCCCATGTATACAACATTAAATAAATGTATATTCCTTTTCTCCAATTAATCTGCCTTTTGCAAACAGCTTTATTTTCCAGCAAACCTTCAGAGGGCCAAGGGGAACTTCAAGGTTACAGTGAAATGATCCTGCCACTGTACTGGGGGACAGAGGGAGACCTTGTCTCTTAAACAAAGAAAAGAAATACCATTTACTTTCTGGTTCTCTATTTTTTCTCTTCCTTTCCATTTTTTCCCCAGAATTTTCAGAGCACTTTTCAAATGTTTTCCAGATCACCAACCTTTGGATGCACTACTTACCTTCAGTGAAGTATTCTAAAATATGTTGAGTTTCCTTTTTTCCTTGTATTTTCCTTTTTTTTCTTGTGTTTTACACCTACCTCCTGGTTTCCCTTGGCCTTTACATGGTGAAATATCGGTAACATGTTATCTTTATCTGCTAAATAAAGGTAAACGCTAGTAGGACAAGTTCTGAGACTGCCCTCACGGGACTTACAAGAATTGCATGCTGGGTCCTGGACAGAAATATAGTTATAACTAGGCACTAAACAGGCTGCACCTTGGCCCACTTCCTAAACCCTCGGGGAGAGATTTGAAGTTTCCTCCAGTCTCCTCATTCGGTGGCCCTGCAATTAAACATCTTTCTTTGCTGCAGCCCAGGGTCTTACATACTGACTTGTCATGCACAATGGGCAATGGACCTGTTATGGTTACAGTTCCATATCTTAAGTTACTATAAGACAACAGCTTTAAAATCCAATAATAAAGTAAAAAGAGGCTGGGCGAGGTGGCTCACGCCTGTAATCCCAGCATTTTTGGAGGCCGAGGCAGGTGGATCATCTGAGGTCAGGAGTTCGAAGACCAGCTTGGCCAACATGGAGAAAACCCGTCTCTACTAAAAGTACAAAATTAGCCGGGCGTGGTCGTGCATACCCGTAATCCCAGCTACGTGGGAGGCTGAGGCAGGAGAATCGTTTGGGCCAGGGAGGTGGAGGTTGTGGTGAGCTGAGATCATGCCACTGCACTCTAGCCTGGGCAACAAGAGCGAAACTCTGTCTCAAAAAAAAAAAAAAAAAAAAAAAAAAAAAAAAAAAGTAAAAAGGGTTGCATGTATCATAAATTATGAGAAGGCAGAAACTGTTAAAATGGGGAAAGAACTACTTTTTATGATGGTCTACTTTGTACTTTTTTTTTTGGCAGAAAAAAAGCCAAAGCTATGACCAAGATAATAATGTTTCATGGATTAAACAAACACTTGTGAAAAAAGTATTAAAGCAAAGACAGGATTCAAACAGTATAAGACTGAATACATATCAAACTTTACCTTTCTAAACAATACCTATTTCTTTTTTAACTTTTTTTTTGAGATAGGGTCTTGCTCTGTTGCCCAGGTTGTAGTGCAGTGGCATGGTCTCATCTCACTGCAGCCTTGACTTCCTGGGCTCAAGTGATACACCCACCTCAGCCTCCCTGGTAGCTAGGACCACAGGTGCATACTACCATGCCTGGCTAATTTTTGGTAGAGATGGGGGTTTCATCATGTTGCCCAGGTTGGTCTCGAACTCCTGGGCTCAAGTGATCTGCCTGCCTTGGCCTCCCAAAGTGCTGGGATTACAGGTGTGAGCCACCATGCCCAGCCAACATTACCTATTTCTAAGCCCCCGTGCAACATTTATAAAACCTGCAACTTATCCTGACCACAATAATAAAAATTTTAGGCAAAAAAGAGCCTGGTATCATTTATTGTAAATAGTTATGTATGAATATTAAAAGTACTTACCCAAATTTTGCTGAAAGTTGAAATCAGAAGCAAATTCACAGCCTTAAATGCTTACATGGTTTAAGAAGGGGAAAAAAAAATCAGATAACTGTTTATTAATTTAAGTTAAATAAACATGCAAAAAGGACCCTGAGAAAGTAGGAAGCACAAAGAATAGGCTCCTATACAACTGTTGAATCTAAGAAGTGTTTTTGACAGAAAAAAGTTAATTGTATCTTAGAGAACAAAAGCCAAAATTAAAAAAAATGTGATATTTGACTCAGGAAAAAAAAGGTCAAAGCCTGAATAGATAATCAGCCAGGAAGAAATTTAGGAGAAAAAAAAATGGAAAACTGCTTAAGCAAAAGGCTCCAGGCCTAGATAATTTAGTAGTGATTTAGTCTCAAGGAACAGTTATTTCTCATTCTAAATAAACTGTTGCAGAAAAAAGAAATAAAAAACAGCATCAGCTATAATAGCAACTAGTTCTTAAAGTGCTTATTATGTTCCAGGCATTAATCTAAGTGCTTTTACATATATTGTACAATTTAAACTTCACACTTTAGCACTGGTACTATTTATTATCCCCAATATTCAAATAAACTAGAAAAAGAAGGAAAGGTTTAAAATTCATTTTAAAAACTGGCATAAGTTTGAAACCAATCTCATTAAAAGTAAACTTTTCATTGGGTGTGTTGGTGTGCACTTGTAGTCCCAGCTACTCATGAAGTTGAGGCAGGAGGATCCTTTGAGCCCAGTAGTTCAAGGCTATAGTGGGCTATGACTGTGCCCATGAACAGCCACTGCACTCTAGCCTGGGCAATATAGCAAGACCTTGTCTCAAAAACAAAAACCAAAAACATTTAAATAAAATATTCACAAAGCAAACTTACTTAAAATAATCACTAATATAAAAAGAAATTCATGAGTTCAATGAAAATATTTTAATTGATGCTTAAACGTGGCAATTAAGTTGAACAGGTACTTCTGATGTAAAATCGTAAAACTCTACCAACAAAAGCAAACATTATACTTAATAAAAGCAAACATTATACCTAACATTGCCATTAAAATGGGGAACAAGACAATGAAGCAGACTTTGATCATTATTAGTTGCACTGGAAGTGCTAATATCAGTGTAGTAAAAATAAATAAAATTGGAAAATAATTATTTACAGATAATACTTCACAAATTAAAAAGTAGCACTGGTAAATCCATTAGTACTAACAGACTTCACTCAGTATAGAAAATAAATAGAACTAAAATATAAAAGATTTTGGGACTGGCACAGTGGCTCACGCCTGTAATCCCAGCACCTCGGGAGGCTGAGGTGGGTGAATCACCTGAGGTCAGGAGTTCAAGACCAGCCTGGACAATATGGTGAAACCCTGTCTCTACTAAAAATACAAAAATTAACTGGGTGTGGTGGCGCACAACTGTAATCCCAGCTACTGAGGAGGCTCAGGAAGGAGAATTGCTTGAACCTGGGAGGCGGAGGTTACAGTCACCAGAGATGACACCAATGCCCTCTGGCCTGGGCGACAGAGTGAGACTATCTCAAAAAAAAAAAAAAAAAGATTTTCAACATTAATTAAGACAGTGTGTTATTAGCACATCTTAAAGAAAGCAGACCAATGGAACAGCATAGAGTCCAGAAACAAACCTACACATTTACCAGCTTATGAGAAAAGTAACTGTGCAATGTAGTTGGGAAAGGATAATCTTTGGTAATAAATAGTGTGGGTTAATTGTATATCAATGTGGAAAATCAATTCCAGATAGATGGTCAAATCAAAATGAAATAGGTTGAACCATAACGCTTTCAGAAGAATAACAAGGGAGAATACTCAGACACCTAACATCCATCCGAAAAAGGACCTGTATCCAGAATACAGAAAGAACACGTAAAAATCAGTAAGAAAAAGGCAGACACCCAATACTAAAATGGGCAAAAACCTTGGACTGTCCACAAAAGATAACCCAAATAGTATTTGAAAAGGTTTTCAACTTCATTAAAAAAAAAACAAAACCCAAAAAACCAACACCAAATTAAAACCAAAACATATACCAATACACACCACTAAAATGGCTAAATGAAAATATCTAACATCAGAAATAACACAGAGTATCGAGAACTTATTATACTGTTGAGTGCAGCATAAGTTGTTACAACCATTCTGGAAAATGAAAAAATCTGAATGTCTGAATATATGCAACTGTGTTCCAGCAACCCTATTCCTAAGTATTTATCCAACTGAGAAGTGTAATGCATTCATAAAAAAATGTGCAAGAATGTTCACAGCACAGTCTGTTCACAATAAGCACCTTTTACCATCTATAAAATGGATTAACTGTAATATAATACAATGAATATATACACAGCATTGAGCATGACTGAGCTGAATTATACAAAACGAGTGTTTCTCACAGATTATATACTCCATGTATCCACTGATATCGTTAAGGAAAACAAAGCTAAATCTCTGGTGCCAGAAGTCACAATAATGACTACTCTAGGGTACTGGTAATGTTCAAAGTGATTATGTGGATGTATTTACTTAAAGAAAATTCACTGAAGGGCATGAATTTATAGTGGTGCACTTTTCTCTTTATGTGTCTCCATAAAAATTTTATATTAATAAAGCAAGACCATCCCTACATAACAGCAATAACCAGTTAAAACTATGAAATGAAGAGCTTTCTAAAAATAGTAACAAACAAAAACATCCAGTTTAGCAAGAAATTTCTGATAGGGATAACTATAACACTTTGATACATACCATATGATCGTTACCCTTTGCTTCTTTATGAATTAGCTTATGACATTAATGTAGTTCAAATATTCCAATAGAAATTTAACCTGAAATAATTCAAGTGATTCTAAAGTTCACCAGGAAGCATAAAAGGGTGAATACTTGAAAAAACAAAAACAGTAACAGTGGACACAAAAGTTATAATGATTTAATCAGTGGCACAGAATAGACGATACACATACCATATAGTGTGTATATATGTGTGTACATTTAATACAAGTCCAAAATCTTTGATCATACACACCTTTGGGGTTAGCTGGGGTTCATAAATCAGAATATTTTGGATTTCTAAAAAATAACTCAAATGTATGCACCATATGCCCCCCAGTTGAGTCTGGAACAGCAGACTAATCAACATTACTATAAATGAGATAAAGACTGTTAAGTAGCCTCGTGTCATTTCAGGTCAGGTTTGCCACAGAATGAGTTCTGATGTTAAATCTAGGGGAAAAAAATTGGTTGCCGGAACCTTTTGGGTTTTAGAATTGTGAATAAGAGATTGTTAATCAGTGTAGGATAAGACAGACATCTTAAATAAATGAGCAGGGGAAAGGAAAGCTTATCTGAACAAACTGTGCAGTGGTTAAATTGTCAAGTGAACAAATTGTCAAGCAGTTAAATATTTAGGGAAAAAATGTACATTGACCCTTTTTTCATATCAGGTACCAAAACAAGTAACAAATGGATTAGGAGCTAACTCCTAATTTTACCAAATCAGGAAACACAAACCTAGAAACAGGTGATGATATAGGTGAATATGCCTCTGGAAATGGATAAGCATATGCTATGCAAAAAAATGACAATTTGCTGGTAGAAATGTAAATTGACGCAAGTTTAATAGCAGCATATGGCAAAATGTACTGAGATCCTTAAAAAAAGGTACACTAACTTCTTGATTTGGTAATTCTACTCTCTAAAATTTCTAAGGAAATAGTTAACATAAACAAATGTTTATAAAAATGCTCACTGCTGTTTTTGTTTGTAATAGCTAAAAAAAGGAAAAAGCTTTATATTATTGGAAGTAAAAGCAGCAGCTGGATGAGGTGGCTCACATGCCTGTAATCCCAACACCTGGGAGGCCGAGGCAGGAGGACTGCTTGAGTCCAAGAGTTTGATATCATCCTGGGCAACATAGTGAGACCCCATCTCTCTGAAAGACAAAAACAAAAAACAAAAAACAAAAAAACCAAAAAAACCCAAAAAACTGGGTGCGATGGGATATGTCTGTGGTCCCAGCTACTCGGGAGGCTGAGGTAGGAGGATCACTTGAGCCTGGGAGATCGAGGCTGCAGTGAGCCATGATTGTGCCACTGTACTTCAGCCTGCAACAGAGTGAGACCCTCTCTCAAAAAAAAAAAAAAAAAACAAAACAAAAAGCATTAGGAAGCTATATGTACCATGTGTTCAACAATGTAGATACAAATTTACGAAAAAAAGACAAAAGTATGACAAAATGATAACATTTATAAAAAGAAAAAAGTACACAATGAGTCCATTGCTTAAAGGAAGCAGCAAAATAACTAATAATAAAGTCAAAACTTATGTAATTTCAGAAAGCTGGGCCTGAGCCTAAAAGATGATGACCAGAGAAAGGATGAATGCAGAATATATAGTAATATGCTTTTGAAATTACTCCTAATAGTCATGACATGTAGCCTTTGCATGAATGCTGATGGATGCTTTTCTTATGCGCAATTTCAACACACTATAGTTCTAATATATCCAGGGCTAAATCTGTAACAAGATTTTACTTAACAACACTTCTCAGATTTGGCATACACTGACTGCATTAACCTCTAAGTAATATCCAAACAACAGACTGGATCCTCATATGTAATTATAAAAACAGCCATGGATTGTTGTAGTATACATCAACCCTGAAATGCAGTCACTGGGCATTTAAGTATTCAAATAGGTTACCAGGTACAATAGTATAATTAAGTTCAGGACCTGTGGACTTTTAAGGTAAAATGGGGATATGATTTTGCTCTTGAACATAAAAGCTCCAAGTACAAGTTATCTTTCAACTTTACTTAGCAGTTCCTGGTTAGTTAACTATGAATCTTGAAGAAAGTAAACTTATTTTATTTGTATATGAATTTTCAGTGCTTAGTACATACAACTATGAATTGAATAAGAAGAAAACTGTGATTTTCAGCATTGTACAAACTCCCAAAAAGAACTGACTTGCAAAGGAATTTAATCAGTTTCTAAACAAGACTGCCAATGTAAAGTAATTCAAACTTTTGAAGTTAATGAAAATATTTATTCAAACCTAACTGTAGTACAGTCTCAAGCTGAGTTAAATAAACATTAACTATATGATATTTAGTTCCTTAGGAATAGACCACTGCCACACCATACAAATTTCTTACATCACAAGTTTTTGCAGTAAGGTTCAGCAATTAAGAAGACATGATTTCTACACTGAGAAATGTTGTGTTAAAGTTGGATGGATTTATTTTTTTAAAGGCCCAGTACAAAAAAATGGTTGAGGAAAGTGACTCTTCAACAAAATATACACCTGTAGAAAAAAATCCCTAATATACTGATATTTAATTGAACGGAAAGTACTAAAGAGAACATACTTTAATATCTAGGCACAATTGGTCAGGTACTAATTATAATTTCTGTTCTCATTTAAAAGTTTAAACCAATTCTTCAACTGGACTGATGTGTGTGAGTCTAATACAGAGAAGGCACCTCTCTCATCTCTCACTCTCCTTAAGGACCTTTTGAGAGAAACTCTTTGTAACACTTTAAGGGACACAGACAATGCACTATATCTAAGTATAGATATAGTTATTTAACATACCCATTGTAGGAGAAACTAAAATATAAAACTATGATTTCTCTTTTTACATCTTATGATGGACACAACACCAGAAGATAATCCTCCACATAAACTCTCACATAGAACACAAGATTTAAATTATATGTGCATTGGTCACTACAATGTAAAGAGTTCTATGAATTAGTGCAATTCTTTAAATCCCCAGCATTTAGGGGAAAAGTACATACCGAGAAATCTCTACTACAAACCAAAATTTTATGGCTCAATAGTCTAACCACTTAAAGTTCTGTAAAAAATCTTAAGTTATAAATGAAAGATCAGAACATTCAATAAATGGTTTACAAAATTCTCTCTTTAAAACAAAGAGAACAGAGTGATCAGAGTAGGTAAAGTGTGAAATTCCAGAAATATAATACTTACAGCAATTATAAGAAAGGGGTAGTATTCACTCTAGGAAAAAAACTCATCAAACTGTTGATTTCTAATTAGATATTTTGCTATCAGTTGAGGTGGTTATTATTTTGTAGTACTTAGTGATTGTGTATTTAAATGTCTTATTGAATAGTTACTGAAGGTAATTTATAAGAATAAGCATCATTTTCCTCCAAAACAAGTGAGAAACTATTCCAGATGAGTAAGTCTCAGAATTAGGGATCATAAGAAGTCAAAAAACACAGTGTAAGAACATTAGGTTGATTTAACCTCTATTTCAACAAGATTTACACAGTATTTACAATATGGAATTGTCAAAGCTATACAGTTTTGCAGATTGGCTTTACTTACATTTCTGCAAACGTTTTTCCCAAAATAAAAATATACCAAGTAAGTCTATTTACAAACTAGGAAGCTGTTTCAGAAACAGCATGATTTAGATATAAAGTGAAGTTTCAGTACAATGAAAGTGCAGGTCATGCTTTCAGATTCTGTCAATATCCCATTCCCTACACTCAGTTTAAGGGATATGAGTTTTTAACACCTACTGTTCTTATGTGTCCAGAATGTTTACTCATCATAATGCAATGATAACAAAAATTTGTCTACATCCATTCCTGCTGGAAATGAACTGGGAAGCTTCTTTTTCTGTTGAAAAAGAGAAAGAAAAAATAAACTCAAAACAAGGCCAAAATGCTTTCTTAGTAAGTCACCTAAAACAGTATATTGGGTTCTTTCACATACTACTAAAATTGTCAAACTTTTTTAGTCTATTAGAATTTTACTTCTATAGAGAAGTAGAGACAAGTTTTATAAACCCAAAGTTACTTAAATATACTTCAATGGCACCTGAATGTTAGTTTATGGCAAAAGACATGATACAAATCCAGAGTGTCTGAATGTTGAATGAGACAAGATAGAACATGCTTTCTATGTTAGGTGGTTATTACTGCTTAGAAAGCTTTACTAACAGATGTTTAGGGTTACAGGTACTTATCAGTTCCAAAACTTAATATACACTAGATACTTTATGTATACTACATTTAGACTTCACAACCTAAGATACCTGGTAATATCATGTCAAGTGATGAGGCTGAGACTCAGAAAGGCTACAGACTTAACCATGATCACAGGACCAATAAGCAGTAGATGCAGGATTCAAACCCAGACTTGTAGGGCAACAAAGCCTAAATTATTTCCCTGATACCATACTTCCTCTATGATATTTTAAGCACTTTCTTTCTATTCAATCCACTTACTAAACAGCTAACCAAATCGAAAATAAATGGATTTCATTTATCAATGCTATCCCTGCACTGCCTTCCTAGAGACAACCATGCTTAAATAAAAAACATAAGGCCAGGCGCAGTGGCTCATGCTTGTAATCCCAGCACTTTGGGAGGCCAAGGTGCGCAGATCACTTGAGCTCAGGACTTCAAGACCAGCCTGGGCAACATGGCAAAAGACTGTCTCTATAAAAAAAAAAAACCAGAAAAAATGACCAGGCGTGGTGGCTCATGCCTGTAATCCCAGCATTCTGGGAGTCCGAGGTGGGTGGATCACAAGGTCAGGAGTTCAAGACTAGCCTGGCCAACACGGTGAAACCCCATCTCTACTAAACATACAAAAATTAGCTGGGTGTGGTGGCAGACACCTGTAATCCCAGCTACTCAGGGGGCTGAGGCAGGGAATTGCTTGAACTCAGGAGGCGGAAGTTGCAGTGAGGCAAGATCACGCCACCGTACTCTAGTGGGTAACAGCGCAAGACTCTGTCTCAAAAAAAAAAAAAAAAGGAAAAAATATTAGCCAGATGCAGTGGCGCATGCCTGTAGTCCCAGCTACTTGGGAAGCTGAGGTAGGAGAATCACTTCAGCCTGGAAGGCGGAGGCTGCAGTGAGCCAAGATCGTACCATTGCACTCCAGCCTGGGCAACGAGAGTGAAACCCTCTCTCAAAAAAATGGAAAAACATACGTAAATTTGATTTTTCCACTGCTCTAATATGCTAACATTTTTAAGGGCCTATGGAAGAGATTACAAGACGTGGGGGAAAAAAAAAACTGAACATCTAAGAACAAAGTCATTTATTACTTGGTAGTTCTACACAATAGTGTTTAATATTGTTTCCCAATCTTTCATGACTATGTCACGCTCATGAAAAAACTTGAGTTCTACCAAGAAAGAAAGAAAAACTTTTTCTTTTCCCCCGGAAAGATGTTTATAAACAAATGCCTCAGCAGTTTTTCCTGAAAATGCTGTTTCACCTAGACACCTTGTGCGTACTACACTAACACTGCTGGACTGCTTTGTTGCCCTACAAGTCTGAGTTTGAATCCTGCATCTACTGCTTATTGGTCCTGTGATCATGGTTATGTATTTTGTCAATGAAAACTAAAAGCTGTCTTAGCCATAACGTTCAGTCAAGTTGTTGTGGCAAGAACTGCTGAATTCGCTAATCACTAAAGCGGAAAAAAAAGGTGTGGTTTTGAAATTAAAACTTTCAAACTTGCCTTAATTTTCTTCTTTTTCATTGGTATTGATGAATTTGTAAGATTTTTACTAGAAGGACGAGAGTTTCGCTCACGTTCATCTAATTCCTCAATTTTCCGCTTTTTTGTGGTGCTCCTTGAAGATGCTCTAAACTGTTGTGTGTTATCTTTCAGAGGAGTTGCTGAAGTAGTCCTAGAAATGGCTGCCCTGGAGAGAATCATTAATGTGTGGGCAGCCATATTTACACTGTTTTCACTTCCTGTTTCACTGGCAGGGCTGCAGGCAGGCAAGTCTGGGGTGACAGGAGGGACCATTACTTTTGATGTACTACTGTCTTCACTGAAACGCCTACTAGAGGGGGCCTTGATAATATCTATAGGTTCTTCTTTATGTTTTTCCCCTGCCCCTGAGCCAGGTGTCCGGGGCACAGGTAAATCACTACTATCAGCAAGCCTACTTACTGAGCTGTGCCTCTGTATATCCTGTAACATTTCTGTGGTAATCAAAGAACTGGCGGATTTAGTTTGTTCTTGTTTTAGATCCTTCACAGCTGTACCTACTGAAAGTACATTTTTATTGTTTGAAGATGTGCCTTGTTTTTTGGTCATTTCTTGCAGTGAAGCTATAGATTTCTCACTTCGCAAACCCCCATTTTGCTGCCCAATAGATAGTTTTGAATTTTCTGGATTTTTCTGTCTTTCTACATCGCTGCATAATTCATTCTCCTTATTAGCTGTTGCTTTATGGAAAGATTCAAGCACAATTTCTGTTGGTGAAACTTTCTTTTCTGATTGAGTTTCTCTTATGGTGGTATGCCGGCTAATGGCACTTTCCGATTTAGATAAAATCTTAGGCAGAGGAGGCTTCTCTTTCTCTCTTTTGATAGCATTATTAGAAGGGGGTTTTAAGGTGGAGGACACATTGGGTGAGTCAAGATTAGGAAAAGAGACTGCATTCCTTTCTTTGTTTTGGGACACCATCTTATGGTTTGGCCCCTGCGTATTTGCCACAGGAGCAGTAGTGCTGTCGAAACAGAGTACACGTCTGTGGCATGGTTTAGCAGCTGGAACTATACTCTCTTCTGGGAAGGGAACTGTGGTTTCTTCTGATTTTTTCCCAAGATCTGTGGCAATACTTTTGTCAGAAACTTCAGTTCTAAAACAAAACAAAACAAAACTATTTCTAGCAGCATAAAGAAATCCTTTATGTTTTAAATCTGAGCATTCAAACAATCTATGATAGAAACTACTTTATACTCACTTTTGTGCATGACATCCAACTGAATGACCTGACGAATCCACCAAATTATTTACTTGTTTTCCTGAAATTATAAATGAACATTCCTGAGAAAAAGAATATACTCCTCTGAAAGAGGATAGAACAGATGACAATTATCACATATCATGAGAAAAAATTTTAAATGGTAGCTAATGTACACACAAATAGAACACGTTGACAAAGCAGCTTTTAAAAAGCAGCTTTGAAATAAGTACAAGATGGCTATTTCCCCACTGCTACAGAGGAAATCCAGATATGGAATAAATGACATGCATCAACTTCAGGCAAATATTATGTTTGTCTGTTTTTCTGAGACAGAGTCATGCTCTATCACCCAGGCTGGAGCGCAGTGGCATGATCTCGGCTCACTGCAACCTCTGCCTCCTAGGTTCAAGCAATTCTCCTGCCTCAGCCTCCCGAGTAGCTGGGATTACAGGCGCCCCCAACCATGCTCAGCTAATTTTTTGTATTTTTAGTAGAGATGGGGTTTCGCCATGTTGGCCAGGCTAGTTTCAAACTCCTGGCCTCAAGTGATCTGCCCACCTGGGCCTCCCAAAAGGCTGGATTATAGGCGTGAACCACCGCGCCCGGTTCAGGCAAATATTATAAATCCAGTCTTTGGATCTACAAATTACAATGCTCAATATAGCACATAATGTACTACTTACATCCAGGTAGTCACTTAAAGAAAACAACAGATTATATCTATTTTAAAATTCTGTCCCGGTACCTATCATGTTTACAAGCCTATGTCACTCAGAGCACATGCTCTGGAGTTCTAATAGCCATATTTTAATTTCCACGAGCTTCAGCATTTATGTGGGAGAGCAGCAAGATATCAAAACTAGAAAGAAGAGCAAAGATGAGATTATGAAGAAACTTACATATTATGCAAAAGGTTTCAGAGGCAATCCTTTAAGAGATTTATTTATTTATTTATTTATTTATTTATTTATTTTTGAGACGGAGTCTCGCTCTATTGCCCAGGCTGGAGTGCAATGGCATGATCTTGGCTCACTGCAACCTCCACCTCCTGGGTTCAAGCAATTCTAGTGCCTCAGCCTCCCGAGTAGCTGGGATTACAGGTGCACGCTGCCACGCCTGGCTAATTTTTGTATTTTTAGTAGAGAAGGGGTTTCACTACGTCAGCCAGGCCAGTCTCAAAACTCTTGACCTCAGGTGATCTACCCTCCTCGGCTTCCCAAAGTGCTGGGATTACAGGAGTGAGCCACCATGCCCGGCCCCTTTAAGGGTGTTAAATAGGGAAGATGCATGAATAGGTTTATGTCTTTGGAAGATCTGGCAATAATGTGGAAGATGGAACTGAGAAGACAGAAAACTGGAAGTAGAAACTCTATGTAGATGGCTATATTCCAGGTAAGAGATGATGAGGGTCTGAGAGACAATAATGGGCATGTACATTTCCAAAAGTAAAGGAAAAAAATAAATTGTGACATTAACCAAGGGGAAAAACACTAGGCAGAAGAAGTCTTTGAGGAAGAGAGGTGAGAAATATGTAGTTTGAAGGCCTTGAGTTACACAAAATTAGCAAGGGTGGAGAATAGTTTAGTTATGGCTCCAGAAGCCACCATAGTATCAACAGTTATAGAGAAAGCAAAGTAAGGTAAGAATGGAAAAGTTTCAATGCATAATGCAATATTAGGAGGCCACTGGTGACTCTAGTGTAGACAGTTTCAGTAGATGCATGAGAAAAGACAGTAATTTGAATGAAGAAATGGAAGATTAAGAGAGGTTAAGAGATTAACATAAAAAGTCAGCAGGTGGGACAAACCTATGTTTATAGCCAGGGAGAGAAGCCAAACAGGAAAAGTTGAAACATATATAGAAGATAAGAAACTGGAGCACATGTAGACTGCATTAACCTTAGAAAGAATGAAGGACAGTTATTTCTTTAAGAAAGAAGGATGATTTTGGAAGCAGAATAGGTTATGTACTGAATGAAAGTGATGATCAGAAAGTGAAGTTTAATACTGGTAAGATGGAAAATAAAACCACTAGCTAAGAGTGAGGAGGAGCAGGACTAGATTTGAGACGTGTTGTGCAAGACTGGAATAGTTTGAAGGAGGAACAGAAGAGAAAGCAGACACGCAGATATTTAAAATGATTGCCAAGTGGAAGGTGGGTGAGAAATACATTTTTTTTAAGTGGTAGGGAATGGTAGCACTTCTAAGGCAATGCTAAGAAGCCCAGGTGTAAAAGTTGAGATGGCTGGCTGGACAGATCAAGGGCTATAGAGTAGCTAGTGGCTATGTAGAAGAATGTGGATATGTAGGTTATTAAGAAAACTGGCCAAAGTGGCTGATGTGGTGGCTTGTGGGCTCTAGGCTGTTTAGTAAAGGAAGTGAATCCGGAAAGAAGACACAAGTTCAGGTAAAAGGTGAGGATTCAAGTAAGAAAAGCTATCACTGGTTGAAGAGGAATTCAATGGGTATATGGAAACAAGTGTGTTTTGAGACACATCACTGGCCTTTAAAAATCTTGTAAGTCTAATAAAAAGGTGAAAAATTCAAGGTGTGGCTATAGGAGAGGTTGGCTGAAGTAAAAATAAGTCTTAGTAGTGGAAAGGATCTAGGCCGGGCGCAGTGGCTCATGCCTGTAATCCCAGCACTTTGGGAGGCCGAGGCAGGCAGATCACCTGAGGTCAGGAGTTCGAGACCAGCCTGGCCAACACGGAGAACCCCGTCTCTACTAAAAATACAAAAAATAGCTGGGCATGGTGATGCGTGCCTGTAGCCCCAGCTACTCGGGAGGCTGAGGCAGAAGAATTGCTTGAACCCAGGAGGTGGAGGTTGCAGAGAGCTGAGACTGCCACTGCATTCCAGCCTGGGCGACAAGAGTAAGACTCTGTCTCAAAAATAAAATAAATAAATAAATAAGGAGTGGAAAGGATAAACTCTGAGGGTTAGGGTGGTGGGTAGATTTACAACATGGGCATTTTGTCATTCACAATGATGAAAAAATGTAGGGAGAGAAGTCTGAGAACCAGGTAACACAGTCATCAAGGTTCTGAGTAAAAATCTGGTGTTATTTTGTGTATGGTGTCTTTTGTTGAACAGAAACTTTAAATTCTAGAGTAGTTCACTCTATCAATTTTTTCCATTTATAAGTTATGTATTTCTCATTTTTAAATTTTATTTATTTTGAGACAGGTCTATGTTGCCCAGGCTGGTCTCAAACTCCTGGGCTCGCATTCCTCCTGCCTCAGCCTCCCAAGTTGCTAGGATTGCAGGTACATGCCACTGCACCCAGTTTCTTTTATTTTCTTCTATTAATATATACACACACATATGTATTTATATATATATATATATATATTTTTTTTTTGTGATAGGGTCTTGCTCTATTGCC
Source organism: Homo sapiens (assembly GCF_000001405.40). NCBI lineage: Eukaryota > Metazoa > Chordata > Mammalia > Primates > Hominidae > Homo > Homo sapiens. Next base: position 108,165,507 of record NC_000011.10, read on the forward strand.
CAGGCTGGAGTGTAGTGGCATGAGGACAGCCCACTGCACTCTCAACCTCCTGGGCTCAAGTGATCCTCCCACCTCAGCATCTCAAGTAGCTGAGACTACAGGTGCACACCACCACACCTGGCTAATATTTTTTTTTTTTTTTGAGACGGAGTCTCACTCTGTCGCCCAGGCTGGAGTGCAGTGGCACGATCTTGTCTCACTGCAAGCTCCGCCTCCCAGGTTCACACCACTCTCCTCCTGCTTTAGTCTCCCGAATAGCTGGGACTACAGGCACCCACCACCACGCCTGGCTAATTTTTTGTATTTTTAGTAGAGACGGGGTTTCACCGTATCAGCCAGGATGGTCCCGATCTCCTGACCTTGTGATCCGCCTGCCTCGGCCTCCCAAAGTGCTGGGATTACAGGCGTGAGCCACCACGCCCAGCCCATACCTGGCTAATTTTTTAAAAAAAAATTCTGTAAAGACAGAGTCTCATTATGTTGCATAGGCTGATCTCAAACTCCTGGGCTCAGTGATCCACCTGTCTTGGCCTCCCAAAGTGCTGGAATTATAGGAGTGGAGCCATTGTGCCCAAAGTCTTCTCATTTTAAAAAAAGAAATCCCAGGCCAGGCGTGGTGGCTCACGCCTGTAATCCCAGCACTTTGGGAGGCCGAGGTGGGGGGATTAAGAGGTCAGGAGTTCAAGACCAGCTTGGCCAAGATAGTGAAACCCTGTCTCTACTAAAAATACAAAAATTAGCTGAGTGTTGTGGCATGCACCTGTAATCCCAGCTACAAGGGAGGCTGAGACAGAAGAATCGCTTGAACCCGGGAGGCGAAGGTAGCAGTGAGCTGAGATCATGCCACTGCATTCCAGTCTGAGTGACAGAGCAAGACTCCCATCTAAAAAAAAATAAAAAAATAAATAAATCCTTTATCCTAATGTCATAAAAATATTCTCTTATACATTCTTCTATCATTTAATTGTTTGACTTTTTACTTTTAGGTCTTTAATCATCTTGGACTTCATCTTTGTATGAGGAAGGGATCTACTTTCTTCTCTATATATTGTATATTTAATGATCAATACATTTCATATATTATACCATCCATCTTGCTCTGACTTCTGATGTTAACATTACCATGTACAAGGTCTCTTTCTAAACTATCTTGTTCCATTTGTCTTTTTGTTTTAATTACTGTGGCTCTGCAATATTTTACCATTTGGTAGAATGAGTCTGTCCTCTGCTCTTCTATCTTGGCTAGTCATGGACTTTTATTCTTTCTCATAGATTTTATAGTTTTTCCCATCTCCCAAAATATTCTACTGGGATTTTTAAGGAAAATTACATTGAATTTTTGATTCAACTTGGAATAATTGCAATCTTTACACTGTTAAATTTTCAAATCTATGAACATGGTTCTCTTCTATTTATACATCCTTTATGAAAGATTTCAAATATTCTCCATTTCTAACATTTTTGGTTAGGTTACTTCCTTTATACTTTATCATTTTTGTGGTCATTATAAACAGTATCTTATTTTGTATAACACTTAATAGGTGTTTATTGTTGGCACCTAAAACACAATTTTAATTAACCATACCTGGCAACTTTACTGAATTATTAGTTCTATTAATTTTTCTATTAACTCCCTGTGGCTTTATTGTGTAAAAATCACATCATTTTCCATAACAGTTTAATTCCCTCTCTTCAAATCTTTACACCTATCTCTTTTCTTTTCTGAGACAGGGTCTCACTGTTGCCCAGACTGGAATGCAGTGGCATGATCATGGCTTACTTACAGCCTCAACCTCCTGGACTTAAGCAATCCTTCTGCCTCACCCTCCCGAATAGTTGGGACTACTATCTGCCACCACAGCTGGCTACTTTTAAAAAATTTATTTTCTAGAGATGTGGTCTCACTATATTGCCCAGGCTGGTCTCAAACTCCTAGACTCAAACAATCCTCCTGCCTCAGCCTCCCAAGGTGCTGGGATTATGGGGATGAGCCACCATGCCCAGCTCCATTTTCTTACTGTATTGTCTGGAACCACATATGTATGGATGTATGGGACCTTGTTTATGGTGGAAGTATAATCAGATGTCAGTGGGGCAAAAAACTGATTACTTAATAATTAATTTACTGGTGTTGGAAACACTGGCTTATTACATACAGGGTGGGAATGAGTATCTTTGTGTTATTCACAGCTTTAAAGGGAACCCATGATGTTTACTATAGATAGCCTTTAAGAGCTTTTATCATAAATGGATGCTTAACCTCACCAATGTTTTTTTCTGGTATCAACTTTGTAAGGGATAAAAACAAGTGTCAGACTGTGAAGACATCTGTGATATGTTACTAATAAAAGTATAACACCTCAACAGACAGGAAATTTAATAGAGAAGTAGGAAAAGGATATGAATAAGCAATTCACAGAAGGGAAAATATTATTTATAGTTATAAGAGAAGATTCCAAACTTTATTAGTAATCAGAATAAAGTAAAAGAATGATATGAGATACTACCACTTTAAATCCATCATAGTGGCAAAAGTTAAAATATCACATGGTATCAAATATTGGTAGTGTTGTGAGGGAAGCAGGGAAAATAATGGTAGAAGTATAAATTTTCTTCTCTATGACTCAGAAATTCTGGGTCATAGAGAAGATATACTTCTTCTCTATTATACCCAGTATACCCAAAGATTTCTGGGAATAAGCCCCCAAAGAAACTCTCATATGGGTTCACACAGAGGCATTTACAAAGATGTTCCTCATATCATTGCATGTCACATCGAAAACATCTGAAAAGTCCACTGATAGGACATATATAAAATACATTTATGCAAGTGATAGATATCAAATGGCCATTAAAAGGAATGAACTAGTTATAAGAAAGAACATAAAAATAATATAGAGTAGCTATAACAGGACATAAGTCTAAGAGGGTGCCTCAATAAGTCAAAATGCAACTTAAGCCTACATCAATAGATGTATACTGTTTAGTTTAAGGAAAGGCTGATTTGATAGCAGTTAGTTGAGTTCTCTGTATAATGAGTGCATTTAAGATACTCAGACTACTGAGAAGAAATACAATGTAATGTGTTAAGTGCTGTAGCATAGGTATCACTAAGAATTAAAGAAAAAAATAAAACCGGAATATCCACCTCAGCCACCGCTGGTTAAAAATGCTTCCTAGGAACATTTAAGTTAATTTCGAAGGATAAATAAGAACCAGATTGAGGGTAAGAGTTGGGTAAGAAGGGGGAATTCTAGGTAGAAGAGATAGCATTGGTAAAAGGTACAGGGACAAGAAAGATCACCAAGTATAAGGTGAGCAGCAACTATAGTTTGTACAAAGGGTCCATGCTGGGAAGTGGTAAGAGATGAGATGGAGAGGTCGAGAGTGACTAGATGACAAATGTATGCACATATGTCACCCTGAGAAATTTCAATTTTATCCTTTGGGCAAAGGGGAGTTGCTGAAAGTTTTTAGGCAGGAAAGCAACATATTCAGATTTGTATTTTAGGGAAAAAAAGTCACTCAGCCAGCAGATATGAGGTGAACTGAAACAACAGAGACTAAAAGAAGGGAGACTACATGACACTATTGATACAACTTAGATGAAAAATGACAAATACTTGAACTAAGAAGGAGAGGAAAATGTGTTTTAAGAGTGACTACCAGGTTTTTCACAAGTAAACAGATGGTTGGGACAATGGCTAAAACAGGGAACACAGGAAGGTAATTTGCAAACTTTAAAGCCTTGCTTCAAGTGTGGTCCAGTACCAGCAGCACTGGCATTGCTTAGAAGCTGTTAGAAATGAGGAATTTCAGGTGCTGTACCAGACCTATCAATTCAGTACCTGCATTTAACAAAATCCCCAAATAGTTCATATACACACTAAACTACAAGAAGAACTGCTCTAAAGTCTCATACAATTATACGAGGCATTCATTAAACACTTGAAAGCTGTTGGGAAAAATAGGGACTATACTTAATTTAGGGAAGCTGCAAAGAACAAACCAAGGACTACTGGGCAAAAGCTAACAGATTCAACAAAGGAGACAATTTTCTCAGAACCAAAGCTGTTCAGTAACAGTTGGCTGCATTATGACATCTGTTACTAGCAAATGTAGGGTGATCACTTGTTTTAAAATGGTTTAGGTATTCAGAAAGAAAACATTTAGGTGTTGCTGCAAACAAATGAACATACAAACATAAAGTTAACATTAATGAAATTAAAAATGGTACCTATACAAGGCTTGTTTCTTAGTCCCTGAGCCTTCTGAGATTTTGGAGGGACGGGGAATTGAGGGATACTTCTATTGCATACAGGTGCTGTCAAAGGCATATGAAGAACCTGGAAGAGAAAAAGCCATTAATTACACTAAGCTTGAAAAGCATCACCACACCATTTTCAGTTCATAAATCTTACCTGCCGAGGAGGAGTAGAAAAGTTATTTCCATTCTGTCCAACCACAGATACTGGGATCATCCCTACCATTCCTTGGAGTACAGGCTGGACTGGAGAGGCAATTATTATGGCAGATCCTAAAAAAACAATTCTTGTTAAAAAAAGATTTTCTCTGAAATGTTTTGGCACAAAACAAACAAATGTTTGGCACAAATTAATTACTGCTTTGAAATAAATTCTATGAACAATCCCTCTTCCTTACGATCCACTCTCCAAAAACAAAACAAAACAAAACAAAAAAAACGAAACTGAAACAGTTTTAGGAAAAACAGCAAGGCTAACAAATTAAGAAAAAGTCAATCCAAATATTAAGGTGGTCTTAATGTTATTCAGTCAGTGAACCATGCTGATCAAGCATAAGACTCTACAGCCAAGACATCATATTACAATCATATCTGGATTCCTCTAGAAATAATGAAACTAGTTAGAAAATGAGTGGTGAATGTTTCAAGTCTGAACCTTACACCAGAAAATTACAACCCCAACTGAATATTTATACCCAGGACTACACTTGTAACCCCAACCTATTACATATCTCAATGGTATTGATCAAAAGGGGGTAAGGTAAGCACGTAACTGGTCAAAACTATGGAGGGAAAATTACAATGTCTACATGGTCCTCAGAAGTCAACAACATAGTTTGTGGCTACTGTAATTTAGTCCTGTCCATAAACAAACTTTTGCCTAATACACTACTGTCAGGTTGATCCCCTCATTTTCATGCAACCTACTACGGTCTCTCTGTCTATGCTGGTGCTGCTTCTCTTTATAACTTACAGATTTTATAAGTTATAAAAACTTCCTTGCTTTAACTCCAAATCCTACCTTCATTCTTTAAGCTTTAGCTCAAGCCCCACATTCTCTATTAATTCTGACCTCTCCTTTATGTAATTTGTAACAGCACGTAAAACAGACCCATTAGGTTTAATACTAATTGTTGATATTTAATGAAATTTTATTGTATGTCTATAATGTAACAAAAAGGGAAAAGAGGGAAGCTTGGGAACCAACACATAAGGAAATGTAAATAAATGTGCCATGAGCACTATCTCTGAGGAACATACAATAAAAAATTATCAATATGATAGGCATATCAATCACTAACTACATATAACACAGCACGCAATAAATGCCACAAGAGCCCCTATGAAAAAAGGATTTTTTTTTTTTTTTTTTTTTTTGGAGACAGAGTCTTACTCTGTCACCCAGGCTGAAGTGCAGTGGTGCGATCTTGGCTCACTGCAACCTCTGCCTCCCAGCTTTAGATTCTTCTGTCTCAGCCTCCCAAGCAGCTGGGATTACAGGTGCCCACCACCATGCCAATTTTTGTATTTTTAGTAGATACGGGGTTTCACCATGTTGGCCAGGCTGGTCTTGAACTCCTGACCTCGGGTGATCTGCCCGCCTCGGCCTCCCAAAGTGCTGGGATTACAGTCATGAGCCACTGAGCCCAGCCATAAACAAAGGATTTTAAAGACAGAGATCAATTAGAAAGGATTTTATAAAGGAAGAAATTCAAGTTTTTTTTTTTTTTTGAGACAGAGTCTCGCTCTTGTTGCCCAGGCTGAAGTGCAATGGCATGATCTTGGCTCACTGAAACCTCTGTCTCCTGGGTTCACGAGATTCTCCTGCCTCAGCCTCCCAAGTAGCTGTAATTACAGGCACCTGCCACCATGCCTGGCTCATTTTTTTGTATTTTTAGTAGAAATGAGGTTTCACCATGTTCTCGAGGCTGGTCTCAAACTCCTGACCTCAGGTGATCGATCGGCCCACCTCGGCCTCCCAAAGTGCTGGGATTACAGGCGTGAGCCACCATAACCGGCTGAAATTCAAGTTTTTCTTGAAAATTTCTCCAAAAAGATGATGAATTCCCTGAAGACCATGACTATAAGAGCTATTTTTAAAAACTCCCCCACAACATTGGGTTTTATACAACTATGTGATGAATTAGTCTGTCTTTTCTGTTTATTGTAACTTACTAGCACATAGATTGAGAAGTATTTGTGAAAAGAAAAAAGAAAAACCACTAAAGCCCATAGCTTACTAGCAGATTAAGAAAAATAAAAAAGGTTTGAATTAGCTAGCATAAAGAAGCAGCGTAATCACAAATTTCAGAATCTTTTCTCATACCATCTACTCATTAGTTATTACTTCGCAGTCAATAACATCACATACAAAAGAAATTAGATCCCAACCCAGAGAAACAAATTTCAATTATGTTATTAAAGTTACCTTGTGAAAAGTTTGGTGACACAGCTTGGTTGACAGCAAATACACTGTTTGACCTTGGTGGTGTCTGTAACTGAGGTGGTAGAGGTTGAGCAGTCATAGGTGCAGAATTTCCAGGCAACACCACTACATTAGACTGACTTACAGATGTTCCTAACGCTGTTGGATCAGTCACACAGGTAGCTATCAGAATGTTATTTGAATTGCCAAAAGCTGTGCTTGTGGCTGGCATCAACTGTATATATCCTCCATCCTTGGAAACACATGGTGTAACATTAGCTGAAAAAGCAATGCCATCTTCATTCTGAGTATTGTTTACTGCAGAGTCTTCAGATTTGAATGTTAAAAGACTCTGTTCCATTGAGGCTGAATCCCCTACTTCGGCATATACAACAGCACCTACAGTTTCTTCTGAAGATAGGCATTTAACTAGTTCTGCATTTTTAGTAGGTGATTTAGTAGGAGAAGACAAGATTATAGTTGGCAGGTTTTCTCCATTAATACTAGAAACAGCACTGGTAAGTTCAGTATCTGAGGAAACAAATGGATCATCACTAATGATAACTTTGAGAGAGACGATATTTGATGCATCTATCTCTGCTGAGTTGTTGCTAGAAGGTTTATCATCAGTATTTTGGGACTCAGGGTGAGAATCTCCCACTGAAGAACACACAGATTCTGGAGGAAGAGAGTGACTGTTTTCTACAGGAGTGCCTTCTGGAGGCGTCAGTGCAACTTTCTCACAGTTAGCATTTCCACCTAAAGAGAGAAAAATAGTATTCTCTTCTTTTACAGAAGATGAAGGCTCCTGTGAATTCTCAGACTTGGATGCCTGAGCTTCATTTTCTGTATGATTTAACTCAACAGATGCTGAATCATTAGATGGTTGTTTAGTAGAAGACAGCGAATCTCCAAGATGAATTTCTACTTGTCCAGATACATTTAAATGTGAACTTTCAACAGACACAGGTAGTATTTCACTTTGAAGACAAGAATTATCTTGGCAATTTGATAGCTGTGACATAACTGGTTCTAACACATTAATTTCTATTTTACTCTTGTGAACTTCACTAGAATCTGATGACTTGGAACCATGAAAATTAATTTTAAGTTTTACTGTATCATTAGAATTTTCACAAAATTGACTTTTTTTAGATGGCTTTCCAGTTAATGAAGTATCTTGGGATAAAAGTTGAGAACTCTTCCCAGAGAGAATTAAGTTTTCATTGTTAGCTTCACAACCAAGTGAAACAAATGAAGTTATTGGTATATCAGGCTGATCAGGCTGTAACTGAGATTCACTCGGTACATTTGAAGACAAAGAGTTCTTTTCAATCCCTATAGCCATTTCAGTTTCAGTGGACATCTGATTGGTGTATAATTCAGCACAATGTGGATTACATTCAGCATTAGAATTCCCTCTTTGGTTAAAGTCATTCAAATTAGGCACGGACTCAAAGGTAATGTCAATGTCACACTTCTGTTCAGTGGGTACAGCTGTTTTAAAGGCCTTTTTCTGTATGCTGGTACTTATTTGGGAAAAATTTTCCTGGTCTTCTTGTCTAAGCACATCATGGTTGTTGCTATTCTTCAAAGCATTTAATGGGTCATCATTCTGATAGGATGTACAAAAAGCGGGCTGACCAGACTGACCATCTGCAAAGTATCAGGCAGGTAGACAGATATGGTAAATATGTTCAGCTTCTGAGGTAGTCATTTTTGCCATAAAACTTATTTTGCCAAGAAAATAACTCATCTTTGCATACCAGTAAGTGGAAGTCTGATACGCTGTGTTTCCCATTTACTGAGTATCAAAAAATTTACAGGTACTTTCTAGTTACTGATGACTTTTTACACAAGTGTCAATTTGTTTTCCAAGCTTGGAAGACAGATGATACAAAGAAGGAAAAAGTAAAGAGGTTTAATATTTCAATAGGTAAAAAACATACTGGCTCCAAAAATGAAGTTTATTTTGAAACACTAACTTTTCAACTTCTAACATTTCTTCTGACTTTAATTTATCTACTGTCTCGGCCTCCCAAAGTGCTGGGATCACAGGCATGAGCCACCACACCCAACTTATCTGACATATTCTTAAAGGTGAGATGGGGCCAAGTACATTTTGCATGATTGACACTTGATCTCATTGTGTACTGTTTAACATTAAACACATATTTACTGAAGACCAACCATACTTGGTTACTGGGATACAAAGATGAATGATCCAATCTCTAATCTTGGAGAGGTTAGTCAAGGAACCAACTATAGAACAGAAAGTCATAAGAAAGCATGGTAAAAACTGTAACAGCATAGGAACAAAAGGTACCATGAGAAAAAATTATAAAGGAGGCACTGTATGAGAAGATCTTAAAAAAAAAAAAAAAAAAAGAGTATGATATGAGTAAGGAAAGAGTATTTCCTTTTTTTTTTTTTTTTGAGACAGAGTCTTGCTCTGTCGCCCAGGCTGGAGTGCAGCGGTGCGATTCTCAGCTCACTGCAGCCTCTGCCTCCCGGGTTCATGTGATTCTCCTGCCTCAGCCTCTTGAGTATCTGGGATCACAGGTGCGCGCCAGCCACCACACCTGGCTAGCTTTTGTATTTTTAGTAGAGGCGCGGTTTCACCGTGTTGGCTAGGCTGGTCCTGAACTCCTGACCTCAAGTAATCTGCCCTCCCTGGCCTCCCAAATTGCTGGGATTACAGGCATAAGCCACTGTGCCTGGCCTGGAAAAAGTGTTTCAGAAAACAACAATACAGCATTCACAATTTAGGACAGAAAACATTAACTTGAATCAGTATGAAAAATATTTTTTAAAAACCAGAACATTTATGTCAACTAGCATATACAGCAGTCTCCCATTATCTGTAGTTTTGCTTTCTGTGGTTTCAGTTACCTACAGTCAACCAGCCTAAAAATAGGTGAGTACAGTACAATAAGATATTTTGAGGAAGACTACATTCACATAACTTTTATTACAGTATATTGTTATAACTGTCCCATTTTATTATTAGCTATTGTTAATTTCTTACTGTGCCTAACTTTAAATTAAACTTTACCATAGGTATGCCTGAAAAGGAAAAAACAGTAAATACTATATAGGCTTTGGTACCACCCAATTTCAGGCACCCACTGGGGGGCTTGGAATATATCCCCCATAGATAAGGGGGGACTACTCTAATTCTGTTAAATGTGACACTTGCTGCTGAGTACAGAGCACATCTGAATCCTTATTGTGGGGAAAACAGTAGAAATTGTATAGAGGCCACATAAATTCAGGATAAGTAGTTCCTCAGTGAAGTAGGATGACTTTCTCAGAAAACGGAATTTCAAGTTTCACTTTGTACAGGGAAGAACTTAAGTGAAACACAATCTTCTAGACATAATATATACTGCAAAAAACACAACCCACTATAATTCAGCCTAAGAAGAAATGGAGAATTGGACTTGATTGTTGGCAGAGGAATTAAAGGAGGCACACAGTCTGAGATTCTCCAAGGACAGGATGTGAATGAACACTGGAAGCCATCAGATTTTTTACTGGTGGGAGCAGGTGATAACATTTAAAAACAGGTGCACAAAAAACATGTGCCTTAATAAAAATAAATGTTACAGACTTTTGAGCAACTGAACAACATTAATACTAAATTGTACATGTCAAGAATTGAATTATAAAGGAATGAGGTTGAGTGTGGTGGCTCACACCTGTAATGCTACCTCTGCTTCCCAAAGTGCTGGGAGCATCGTTTGAGGCTGCATGCAGTGAGCTATGATTGTGCCACTGCACTCCAGCCTGGATGACAAGAGGGAGACCTTGTCTCAAAAAACAAACACACACCAACAAAAAAAGCTTATAGTAAAAGAATGAATACTGTAAATTTTCTTTTAATCAAACTACCAAAGATTTATAATTGTTTTTAACAGAGAGAAAAATACAAAAATGACCTATAACAATCTGAACAACTTCTACTTCCAAATTAATATTTTCTGCCTTTGAATTTTGAGACTAATATTAAGATTTGGATTGATGATATTAACAAAATTAAATTCTTACCAGATTCTTCTGTTTCAAAAGAACCTTTAACTGCTAGATTAGTTTCATCTGCTAAGACTATACTGGGATTGGATTCCATAGGTTGACTGGAAATACTTTGTGATATATTTTTATTATTCTTTGTTTTGCCTGTTAAAAAGGGAATATGGAAATAATTAAATGACCAAAACAAAAAATAAACATCAATGAATACAGCTTGTTGGTGATTACGCAAATGTTAAACTTCGATTTAGGGTTTTATGGATGTTTAAAAAATGTTGCTTTTAATATCATTTACAAGTACAAAGATTTTCCCACTAGACAGGTGTTTCTTAAACTTTAGCCCAGTAATTTGCATTTTCTAACGAGTTCTCAGATAATGCTGAGATTGTTGGTTTGGGGGACTATACTTTGAGAACTACTGCACTAAATCATAAGATTGAGGACAATGGCCAATTTTTTGTATTCCCTTTGTACGATTCAATTGTGTTTAACACATTTGTATAGTGGTAGACATCAACACATTCCCTGATGACTGGCAAAAATGCCACAAAAATAAAAAACAAAACTACTCTCCACTTTAACAGCTAAAGTTTCTCAGCTAAAAACAAAACAACAAACACTCCTTTAACATATCCATATAATGTTTGATGAAATGAAAACAAGAACTTTTTTAGATACTCTGGGGAATGTTGATTCACTCTGGTTAAGTTACCAAAGAAATTGTAGAAGCCTTTTTTTTCTGTCTTGAAATAAATAGTCTCCTTACCATAGTCAAAGAGATCAAAGAGTGCCTGAAATGCTGGGTCTGATTCTGTCTGTTCCAATATGTCCTGTATAGCTTCTTCAGACATGTGAATTTCACTCTGCAAGAAAGGAGTGGCGTGAAGGCATGATTCTAACTGAATTTATATATATTTACATATTATATATATATAAGACAGGGTCTCACTCTTTTGCTCAGGCTGGAGTGTAGTGGTACAGTGGTAGAGTCACTGTAGCTCACTATAACCTGAAATTCCTGGGCTCAACTGATGCTCCTGCCTCAGCCTCTTGAGTAGCTGGGACTACAAGTGCACCACTATGCCCAGCTTATTTTATTATTATTATTATTTTTGATAGAGATGGGGTTGCTACCTTGCCCAGGGTAGTCCAGAACTCTTGGGCTCAAGTGATCTTCTTGCCTCAGCCTCCCAGAGCACTGGGATTATAGATGTGGGCCACTGTACTCAGCGTGAATAATATGATTTAATACCAGCAAAATAATTAGCAGACACTCGACTATTTCTGACTTTTTATGTAGTAGCATTCCCCCACTCCAAGAAAATTTCCAATGACATGCTCATTTAAAACAAATTAAAACAAAACTAGATAGGTGTTTCCTAATCCTACTTCTTAGAGGTAAGAACTTTGGTGAATATATTCCTAAACATTAAAATGATATAAAATGAATATACGTATATAAATGGAAATAAAATCATACTATAAAGTTCCCTTTTTTTTTGTTTTGAGACAGGGTGTCACTCTGTCACCCAAGCTGGAGTGGAATGCAGTGGCGCAATCACAGTTCACTGCAGCCTTGACCTCCCGAGCTCAGGTGATCCTCTCACCTCAGCCTTCTGAGTAGCTGAAACTACACATGTGTGCCACCACATCCAGCTAGTTTTTATATTTTTAGTAGAGATGGGGTTTTGCCATGTTGCCCAGGCTGGTCTTGAACTCCTGGGCTCATGCGATCCGCCCACCTCGGCCTCCTAAACTGCTGGGACTACAGGCATGAGTTACTGTGCCTGGCCCATACTATAAAGTTCTATAATCTACTTTCTTTACATTACTCTATTGTAGACTGCTTTATAGGTCCTTCAATATAAATCTATTTTATCCCTTTTATCTGTCTGCTCTGGGTTCTTCATGTAAAATGCTTTCCTTAAATGCTGCCAATCCTTATCTATTCAGCTTTAAAAGTAACATGCCAAAACCTACCTCAAAAGCCCTGTACCAATGGTGGAGGTGAGCTTGTCAACTACAAGCTAAGCTATGGAATTATGTTGTAGAACCATTTGTATTTTTAGTTCTTTTGAGTTAGATTTCTTGCTGGGAGGGCTCATGACTGACAACAGTGTTTCTGGGGGAGTATGAGAAATAGGGAGTAGATACAGTTTAACTCCTTCCTTAATTTTGCACCTTATTATTATTTTTGTGTGTGTGTGTGTGTTCATGAATTTCAAGATTTAATATTGCTAAGATTCCCATACTATTTAAAACCTATAGATTAAATGCAATCCCTATCAAAATTTCAATAGCATTTTATAGAAACAGGAAAAACTACCTTAAAATTCCTATGGAATCTGGGCCCAGTGCAGTGGCTCACATCTGTAATCCCAGCACTTTGGGAGGCCAAGGCAGGTGGATCACTTGAGGTCAGGAGTTCGAGACCCGCCTGGCCAACATGGTGAAACCCCACCTCTACTAAAAATACAAAAATTAGCTGGGTGTGGTGGCGCATGCCTGTAATCCCAGCTACTTGGGAGGCTAAGGCAGGGGAATCACTTAAACCTGGGAGGCTAAGGTTGCAATGAACCAAGATGGTGCCAGTGCACTCCAGCCTGGGCAACTGTGAGTTGAGTGAGACTATCTCAAAAAAACAAAAACAAAATTCCTATGGAATCTCAGAGAAAAGCAAAATAGCCAAAACAATCTTGAAACAGAAGAACAAATTTGGAGATCTCACAGTTTCTGATTTCAAAACTAATTATAAATTGATAGTAACCAACACGGTATGGTACTGGCATAAAGGCAAACATGTAGACCAATAAAACAGAATACAGAGATCAGAAATAAACTCAGGAAAATGTAGTCGAATGGTCTTCAACAAGAGGACCAAGATCATACAATGCAGAAAGGACAGTGTCTTCAAGATATAGAGTTGGGAAAATTGAATACTTACATGCGAAATAATGAAGTTGGATCCTTACCTTACACCATATATGAAAATTTACATTTAAATATTCCATTCATTTTGAGCTAATTTTCATCTTATAAATTTCATATTATACTTTTTTTTTGATGGAGTGTTCTCGTTGCCCAGGCTAGAGTGCAATGGCGCAATCTCATCTCACCACAACCTCCACTTCCCAGGTTCATGTGAATCTCCTGCCTCAGCCTCCCAAGTAGCTGGGATTAAAGACATGTGACACCACACCCAGCTAATTTTGGTCTCAAACTGGCTAGTCTCGAACCCCTGACCTCAAGTGACCCTCCCGCTTCAGCCTCCCAAAGTGCTGGGATTACAGGCGTGAGCCACCACGCCCGGACTCATATTATACTTTGAAGCCTTACATTTAAATCTTCCATTTATTATGAGTTAGACCTAAAAGTATAAAATCATAAGGAAGGGTGGCTTATCCTCGTTTGAAAAGGGGAAAAAAGAAATCATAAGGGAGGCCAGGCATGGTGGTTCACACCAATAATCCCAACATTTTGGGAGGCCAAGGCAGGAGGATGGCTTGAGTCCAGGAGTTCAAGACCAGCCTGGGCAACATAGGGAGACCTCACCTCTATAAATAGAAATAAATAAATAAAATAAAATAAAAAGAAATCATAAGGGAAAAGCTTCATGAGGTTAAACAGCCCATGATTTCTTGGATTGACACTAAAAGCTCAAGCAACAAAAGCAAAAATAGACAAATAGGACTACATCCAATGTTAAAACCTATGCGGATCAAAGAACACAAAGTGAAAGGCAAGCTATGGGATGGGAGAAAATGTTTGCAAATTCTATCTGATAAGGGGTTAATATCAAGAATATATAAAGAATTCCAACTGGGCACCGAGGCTCACACCTATAGTCCTAGCACTTTGAGAGGCTGAAGTGGGGAGATCACTTGAGCCCAGGAGTTCTAGATCAGCCTGGCCAACATGACAAAACCCTGTCTCTGTGAAAAATACAAAAATTAGCCAGGCATGGTGACACACACCTGTAGTCCCTGCTACTTGGGAAGCTGAGGTGGGAGGGTCACCTGAGCTCAAAGAGGTTCAGGCTGCAGTGAGCCAAGATTGCACCACATCACTCCAGCCTGGGCATGCAGCGAGACCCTGTCTCAAAAAATAATGTAAGTCACATAATATATAAGAATTCCTATAACTCAACAACAAAAAACCTGATTGAACAATGAACAAATAACTTAAACAGACATTTATCCAAAAAAGGCATACATGTGAAACGATGCTTAACATCACTAATCATTAGAGAATTGCAAATCAAAAGCACAGTGAGATATCACCTGACACCCATGAGGATGGCCACTATCAAAGCAACAAAAAATGACACGTGTTGATGAGGATGTAGATAAGTGAGAATTCTTGTACACTGTTGGTGGGAATGTAAAATGGTACAGCTGCTATGAGAAACATTAGAAAGCTTCCTCAAACAATGAAAAATAGAATTACCAGGTCCAGCAATCCCACTTCTGGGTATATGCCAATAGAATTAAAAGTAGGATCTCAAAGACGTATTTGTACACCCATGTTCATTGCAGCATTATTCATGATAGCCAAGAGAAGCAACCTAAATGTCCATTGATACATGAATGGATAAACAAAATGTGGCATATACATTAAATGGAATATTATTCAGCCTTTAACAAAGGAAATCCCATCACAGGCCATGTAGAACCTTGAGGATATTATACCAAGTGAAATAAGCCAGTTACATAAAGTAAATGCTGTATGATTCTACTTATGTGAGGTATGTAAAGCAATCAAACTCATCAAAACAGAAAGTAGAATGGTGGTTGGCAGGGGATAGGAAAAGGGGAAATCAGGAGTTGTAAATAAGAGCTTTACAGATCAAATTGTGTCCCTCCCAAATTCACGTGTTGAAGTCCCAACCTCAACAGGACTGTATTTGCAGATAAGACCTTTAAAGAAGTAACTATGATTAAATGAGCCTATAACTGGCTGGGTGTGGTGGCTCACACCTGTAATCCCAGCACTTTGGGAGGCCGAGGCGGGCAGATCACCCGAGGTCAGGAGTTCGAGACCAGCCTGGCCGACATGGCAAAACCCTGTCTCTACTGAAAACACAAAAAATCAGTGAGGCGTGGTGGCACATGCCTGTTGTCCCAGCCACTTGGGAGGCTGAAGCAGGAGAATCGCTTGAACCTGGGAGGCAGAGATTGCAGCAAGCTGAGATCACACCACTGCATTCCAGCCAGGGTGACAGAGCGAGACTCTGTCTCAAAAAAAACAAAAACAAAAAAAACTTACAGCTATCTATTGCACAACAATGTGAATATAATTAACATTACCAAACTGTACACTTAGTAATTGTCAAGATCGTAAATTATATATTTTATTTTTACAATTAAAAATTAAAAAATAAACACTCCCCTTTGGGCTTCAAAATGGTAGGCACTTCTTTCACCAGTACCACAATGTGCTTGTTGTTCATTTTCCTTTATATCACACTAATTTTGCATCCAAGGAAAGGAGGCCTGCATCGAGGTCATAATAAAAAAAAAAAAAATCCTCCTCCTAAATCTAAAGCCTTGGTGAGCTTCCCAGCATGTGAAGCAAAATCTGAAAATCTTCACTAAGAGGTTATTCAGGTCATGGACTGTCATCTGCTTAGAAAGACGGTATCTTTTCCTGAGAATCTGTGGCAGACAGAAGTTAACCTAAAAAGCTTGAAGTTTATCCATAGTGCTGTCATGGTCAGTCAAGTAGTGTGATGGCTTTTCAAGGGGTGGGGCCTGTGCTGCCACCTGTGTCTCAGTTTGTCCAGGATATGCAGGTCCTTTTACAAGGTTCCCATCAGCAATAAGAGACTGGAGACACTCATTCCAGCATTGCATAGAGAGAGCTGTGTCTTGCTGACCCAGACCCTGCCATTGCTGTTTAGGGTCACCAGGCTGAGGCTGAGCCAGATTCTTAAAGGGCAGCACTACCAGGCCAGTGTGCTTTTTCCCCTTGTCACCTTGGCATCTTCCTTGGTATGGGGGTCAGAAAGGAGTCTGCATATGTGACAGCCCCACTCATAGAATTGGTACTATTGACACAGGACTTCTAAGTGTCAAAGAAGAGTGAGAGCTCTCTCCCTGCACACCCTGGGTAGGCTGAAGCATCATGACCCCTGGAATTTTACACCTTATTATCCTGTTTGTAGCCTCAGCTTTCAGAGGGACTTTCAGACGTCCTGGTGCTACTTCTCGAGCCTTTTGGGATTTCTGTGTTACAAAATTCCCTATACTGTCTTAAAAACTGTTATTTAAATCTTTTCTTTTTAGTTCTGAAACGGAGTCTCACTCTGTCGCCTACGCTGGAGTGCAGTGGCGCGATCTCGCCTCACTGCAAACTCCGCCTCCCGGGTTCAAGCGATTCTCTTGCCTCAGCCTTCTGTGTAGCTGGGATTATAGGTGCATGCCACCACACCTACCTAATTTTTGGTAGAGATGGGGTTTCGCCATGTGGGCAAGGCTGGTCTCCAACCCCTGAACTCAGGTGATCCACCTGCCTCAGCCTCCCAAACTGCTGGGATTACAGGCGTGAGCCACCACACCCAGCTAAATCTTAATTCTTAACTTTCTACGAATACAGTATTATGAACAACCAAGAACAGTAGGTTGTGTCTTTACTTTCTTACAATCCTTCACAGTGTTTAACAGAGTACCCTGATTATGGTAAGCACCTGATGTATTTATAAAGAAACAATAAGCAAAAAGTTGGAGAACACAAAAACTTAGAACAGAGCATACATATTTGTTTTTTGGTTTTGAAACAGTGTCTTGCTCTGTTGTCCAGGCTGGAGTATAGTGGTGAAATCAGAGCTCACAGCAGCCTTGAGCACCCAGGCTCAAGTGATCCTCCCATTTCAGCCTCCCGAGTAGTTGGGACAACAGGTACATGCAATAACACCTGGCTAATTAAAAAAAAAATTTTTTTTGTATAGATGAGGTCTCATTATGTTGTCCAGGCTGGTCTTGAACCTCTGGGCTCAAGCAGTCCTCCTGCCTTGGCCTCTCAAAGTGCTGGGATTAAAGGTATGAGCCACTGTGCCTGGCCCATATTTATTAAGTGGTAAGATAAGAGAGGTTTTTGAAAGAAGTACTGGTAGAACTGACATAGAGAAAAACAATTCAAGGGCTCAATGGCTTTACTCAGAATTCAATTGAAAGAAAACCTGCTCTAATACACTCACATGGGCATGCCAATAAAAATATTTCTATTGTCCAATGGTCCAAGTAAAAAGATGTCCTAAAATCACAATTGCAGCTGCTCTTCAAAAAGGGTACTTGGGTCAGGTGAGATAGCTCATGCCTGTAATCCCAGCACTTTGGGAGGCCGAGTTAGGCAGATCACTTGAGGCCAGGAGTTCAAGACCATCCTGGCCAACATGGTGAAACCTAGTCTCTACTAAAAATACAAAAATTAGCCAGGCGTGGAGGTGCATGCCTATAATCCCAGCTACTTGGGAAGCTGAGGCAGGAGAATCGTTTGAACTCAGGAGTTGCAGTGAGCCAAGATCGTGCCACTGCACTCCAGCCTGGGTGACACAGCGAGACACCACCTCAAAAAACAAAACCAAACAAAAACCAAAAATTAGCTGAGCATGGTGGCATGTGCCTGTAGTCCCAGCTACTCAGAAGGCTGAGATGGGAGTATCACTTGAGCTGGGGGAGATCAAGGCTGCTGTGAGCCGTGATTGAGCCACTGCACTCAAGCCCGGGCAACAAAGTGAGACCCTGTCTCAAAAAAAAAAAGTAAATTAAAGGATAGTTGCACATGAACAAATCTTAAAACATAGACTGTTATATTCCTCCCTTACTAGCTCACTCTCTTTTGTATTTACTACCAATAGCAACAGTGACCATTGTCCCCATCTTTCTTCTCTTAGTATTAAGCCTCACAGGCAAGTTGTCATTTGGTTAGCAATCTTTCTTTTTAAAAAGGTCTTGCTCATTTTATTGGCCGGGCACGGTGGCTCACACCTGTAATCGAGCACTTTGGGAAGCCGAGGCGGGCAGATAACGAGGTCAGGAGAGGGAGACCATCCTGGCTAACATGGTGAAACCCCGTCTCTACTAAAAATACAAAAAAATTAGCCGGGCATGGTGGTGGGCGCCTGTAGTCCCAGCTACTCAGGAGGCTGAGGCAGAAGAATGGCATGAACCTGGGAGGCAGAGCTTGCAGTGACCTGACATTGTGCCACTGCACTCCAGCCTGGGCGACAAAGTGAGACTCCATCTCAAAAAAAAAAAAAGTCTTGTTCATTTTATTTTGTTAACTATTACTTGGATTCATTACATATTTTTTCTTATTTTTTTGAGACAGGGTCTTGCTCTGTCACCCAGGCTGGAGAGCAGTGGTGCGATCCCCGCTTACTGCAACCTCCGCCCTCCCAGATTCAAGGATTCTCCTGCTTCAGCCACCCGAGCTGCTGGGATAACAAGCATGTGTCATGATGCCCATATAATTTTTGTATTTTTGGTAGAGATGGGATTTCACCATGTTGGCCAAGCTGGTCTCGAATTCCTGGCCTTAAGTGATCTGCCCTCCTTGGCCTGCCAAAGTGCTGGGATTACAGGCATTGAGCCACCATGCCTGGCCCCATTACATATCTTTATTGTATCATTTCATTGTTTCTCTAAATTATTATACAATTTGTAGCAGTGTAGAAGAAATGTAATTTATATAAACACTGTATTACTGTTTATTACACACAAATATACCCACTAATAAATGTTTAAGTATTGAATACTTAGGAATCCATGACTGTGGATGCAATATAGATTCTATTTTAAGTCATCATCCAATGTGTTTTTCAGGAACAGACTGCATTCAATGAATGAAGAAAAGTTTTATCTTACTATTGTAAATCATTTTATCTAATTAGATGGCAAATCATAACATCTTATGTTGGCAATGGTTTTGAAATGAAACCAAAATTACCATCAATCTTAAGTATAAGTAACACACACGCACCCATGCACACCCCAACCACCCATACCGGAAGTCCTAGGAATTCATCAATTGAAGTCTCTGGCTCCGTAGGGTTGTTATCTGTTTGCTTAGGTACTTGGGCAATATTGTTATCACTGTTAATAAAGAAAGAAAAATCTTTATTATAGTTATGCAATTAGGCAAAAACAATTAGGCATTTTAAACATATATAGCTTACCTAGTTAAAAATTTATTTATGTTTTCTGCTAGCTTTTCTTGAAGAGATTTGTTGCTTAGTATTTTTTCTCGTGCATTTTCAATAACCATTTGCTGGAAAAGAAAGCCACTGTTAGCAAAAGGACAATAAAGAGTATTCTGCTATTTAATATTTATAAGAAAAGAACAAACCGATAAGAGCTGGATAGTTTTAATAAACCTAAATGGAAACTCAGAAGTTGTGATGGCTCCCTCCATATTAATACCTGAATACAACACTTCATAATTTGCAAATGTTTTCACAGATCTTTCACCAACTCTTTCTTATACAGTTCCACACTCATCATCAAACCCCAGTAAATGCCCTATTTTTACAGTGTCGCTCTATAGCCCAGCCTGGAGTACAGTGGCACAATCTCAGTTCACTGCAACCTCCACCTCGCAGTTCAAGCAATTCTTGTGCCTTAGCCTCCTGAATAGTAGCTGGGATTACGGGCGTGTGCCATCACACCCAGCTAATTTTTGTATTTTTAGTAGAGACAGTTGTCCAGGCTGGTCTTGAATTCCTGGCCTCAAGAGATCCGCTGGCTTTGGCCTCTCAAAGTGCTGGGATTACAGGTACAAGCCACTACTCGCCGGCCAGTTTTTTTTTTTGAGACAGGGTCTGACTCTGTCACCCAGGCTTGAGTGTAGTGGTATGATCATGGCTCACTGCAGCCTTGACCTCCCAGGCTCAAGCAGTCCTCCCATCTCAGCCTCCCAAGCAGCTAGGACTACAGGCACGTGCTACCACACCTAGCTAATATTTGTATTTTTTGTAGAGAGGGGGTTTTACCATGTTGCCCAGGTTGGTCTTGAATTCCTGAGCTCAAGCAATCTGCCCACCTCAGCTTCCCAAAGTGCTGGGATTACAGGTGTTTGCCATAGCACCTGGCCAGTATTTTATTAAATGATCCAACAACAACAATGTATTTACAGATATCTATAAACTTACTCCTGTTTCTTTATTTGATACATACACACATACATACATTTGTGTATATATCTGTATTTTTAAACTCAGGAATATTTTAAGTTGCAAAGTTTGGCAGAGTCACTTACTTTTTCTACTGCAAAAGCGTTTGGATCTTGGAAATTCCGTATTGTTGAATGAGGGCCAGACAAAGTGGTACTTTTTCTCTGAGATTCACTGAAACACATTTTAAAAGCTTTTCTTTTAACCACTATATTTAACAGATTTAAAGATAAATACATATACAGACATAAATTTTAAGATCACCATAACAGAACAGATACAGTTGTCCCTGTATCTGCAGGGGGCTGGTTTCAGGACCCCCAAGGATATCAAAATCCACATGTACTCAAGTCCTACAGTCTGCACTAGGAAGCCCATGTATTCAAAAAGTCAGCACACTGCATATAGGCAGGTTTTACTACTAAATTTTTAATCTGTGTTCGGTTGAAAAAAACTTGAGTATAAATGAACCCATGCAGTTGAAACCCATGTTATTCAAGGTCAACTATATTTTCTCTATTTGTGTTAGGAACAAAGGGAAGTACAAAAAGTATTAGTAGTCTTGAATTCAAAAAAATGAGTTTGAAGTCTAGCTTTACCACTTACTACCTATGGTCTGAAGCACAGCAAGCTCTGACTCTCTAACCTACTTTATAATGACCAACTGCATTATTGGGTTTACTAAAGAATGGAATGAAATAAAGTATATATAAAGACTTTATTTAAAAAGTCAGGGTTCCTATAAATGTTAAATATTAATGTTGCTCTTTTATGGCTGGGCATGGTGGCTCACATCTGTAATCCCAGCAATTTTGGAGGCCAAGGTGGGAAGATCACTTGAAGCCAGGAGTTTCAGACCAGCCTGGGCAACAAAGTGAGACCCCCATCTCTACAAAAAATAAAAAAATTAGCTGGGTGTGGCGGCATGTGCCTGTGCTGCTGGCTACTGGGGAGGCTAAGGTGGGAGGATCTTCTGAGCCCACAAGTTCGAGGCTGCAGTGAGTTATGATTGTACCACTATACTCTAACCTGGTCAAGACAGCAAGGCCCTATCTCTAAAAATAAAAAAATGGATATTGCTGTTTGTTATTTTATATGGTGAAGTGAGAAAGGCTCCAATAAAGGAGGCTAACTAAGGTCAGTCTTGAATGAAAGACAACCAAAAGTAAAAACTCTAACAAAAATACCCAGGGCTTGGGAGCTAAGAAACTAGAATAAACATTTTAAAACTATTATCTCTTTCAAAAAATATCCTTCAAACAAAGACACACTTTTCTCAAAAGTGTTTTGGGAAAAACACTTTTCTCAAAGATTGTGCCTGGAAAAATTCCATCAATTGATCTTAGGACTTTAAATGTGTGTGGAGCATAGAACATAACTGTATTATTTACATTCAGTTAAAAAACATGGATTGCAAAAAATCTCAGATAACATCATTTGTAAGATATACCATTATTTTATATACCATTACAGAATAAACATATTTCCCATGAAACAGTGATATGCCATTAATTGAGAGATGCAACCCAATTTCAGGCAGGTTAAAATGTGAAGAAAGACAATGTATTTTGGAATAGTTCTAATATAGATCAGAACATAATCTGGTCCTATTAGTTTATTCACAATGTAAGTATCCTGATGTAATTCTTTTTTTTTTTTTTTAATGGATACGGGTAACTTGTCTCTTTTAAAAAGCATTTACCTTTTGCGTCTACCGGGAGACATTAAACTGGCATGTGCTTTCTTTTCCTGAGCACCAGGAATGACATTTAAAGCTTCTCCAGCTGTATTTCAAGAAAACATAACAGTAAGCCAAAGAAACTGAATAGTTTTCTAAACTTGTAATGGGATAAAAAGCATTAGTGATTATTATTTTATATTAAATTCAATTAACATGTACTGAGTGCCTACCATGTGTAAAGCATGGTAAAAGACACTAAGATTAATAAAATACAGTCTTTATGCCTTAAGGTTTTACAATAAAATCCAAAGTACAATATAGTCTCAACAAAAAATAATACAGTAGAATGGAAAAAGTCTAAGAAGTATAAACTAAGCATTCTGGGTGTAGAAAAGGATTTGGAAAAGGTGAAAATGAGGGAGATCTTGATGGCAACAAATTTTAGCTGCACAGAAAGATAATTGGTTTGTGAACTGAGAGTGCTAACTCCTGAATTCTAATCCCAACTCTGTTATTAACTAGCTTCTTATCCCTTAACTACCATGTGTTTTCAGAAGTTTCAAGTATGCAACAAATAAGATATACCACACACTCTCTAAGGATATTCCTAACTCTAAGGTTCAGCCAGGCATATGTAGGATTTCTAACATGTAAAGATAGAGAAGTAGAAAGGCATTCCTCATTCCAGGAGGACAGACTGACATCAACAAAGGCAAGGAAGTAGAAAATATAATGTACATTCCATTTAAAATCAAATACAACAGCTTCTTTTTCTCTTAATGCCAAAAATTGAGAATTAGAGAGTTGAAGACTTCAATTAGCGTAGAAATAGGAAGAACCCTAGATTAAAATGCCTTAAAGATTTTATATGCTTATAGCAAATCTAGAAGTCTGTTCCACTTTTAGTCTCTCTCATCTTTTATGGGGGGGGCCATAATTTTACACTATGAGTATAAAGACATTAGTATATTATCTCATTCATACAATTTGATTAACAACAAAATTTAAGAGAACAAAATGTAAACTTACTGGTTACAGTATCTTGTGACTGTGAGTGGTTGACCACTACAAAATATGACCTCGATGGATCTGAAATTTGGCCACTTGGTCGAGTAACCTGTGTACCTGTGGAAGGAGGAGTGGTAAACTGTCCTGAAAGGTAAGGTAAAGTGAGCAACTCTGCACTGGCTGGAGCTGTTTGAGATGCAAGCTTTCTCTGCCGTTTGATTTCTGCAATTCCAGTTCTCGTTCGGGCTGAAACATATAAGCATTTAAAAAACAAATTCAACGTCAGGGTAGTTTGGGAATTGTAAGAAGTCAATATGATGCAACCTATTATATAACAACGTGTTACATCCACAGATTGAAGAATGATTCCTAAATATATCAACTAAATTTATGCGACTTTCAGAAGAAACTAAAATGAATACAATCAAGCTTTATAAATCCAAGATTATATTTGTTCTGCAGTAATTAATATTGATAACACCATGAATTAAGAAACCTGAACTTGGCCGGGCGCGGTGGCTCACGCCTGTAATCCCAGCACTTTGGGAGGCCGAGGCGGGCGGATCACGAGGTCAGGAGATCGAGACCATCCTGGCTAACACGGTGAAACCCCGTCTCTACTAAAAATACAAAAAATTAGCCGGGCGTGGTAGCGGGCGCCTGTAGTCCCAGCTACTCGGGAGGCTGAGGCAGGAGAATGGCGTGAACCCGGGAGGCGGAGCTTGCAGTGAGCCGAGATCGCGCCACTGCACTCCAGCCTGGGCGACAGAGCGAGACTCCGTCTCAAAAAAAAAAAAAAACAAAAAACAAGAAACCTGAACTTATGAAATGAGAATTAAAACATTCTACATGAGTCAATGTGAAATGTAGGGAGTATTTACAAAATATTTTAATGATAAATGAAAATATTAATTAACATAACTGTACTTAGAAAAACGGTAGTTTGGCCAGGTGCGGTGGCTCACGCCTGTAATCCCAGCACTTTGGGAGGCTGAGGCAGGCGGACCATGGGGTCAGGAGATTGAGACCATTCTGGCTAACATGGCAAAACCCCATCTCTACTAAAAATACAAAAAAAATTAGCTGGGTGTGGTGGCACACGCCTGTAGTCCCAGCTACTTGGGAGTCTGAGGCAGGAGAATCGCTTGAACCCGGGAGGTGGAGGTTGCAGTGAGCTGAGATCGTGCCACTGCACTTCAGCCTGGGCGACAGAGCGAGACACTGTCTCAAAAAAAAAAAAAAAAAAAAAAAAAGAAAGAAAAACAGTAGTTTAAGGAAAATATATACTTAGCACATGTGTACAATGAATTAAAATGTTCATCTGATAGTTTAAGTTTGAAGTAATTGTGAACATTGTTTAAAGTTGGATACCAACCTCTCTGACTGCCAGCAAACCTTGGGGAACTTTGCATGCTCCTAACAAAGAAAACAAAGTAGTTATCCATCAAAAAATGTTTGTTGCTGACATCCACTATGATTTAGTTACAGTCAGACCTCAAGTTAGTTATGAGGTAAAAGGCAAAAAATCTCTCTCAGACAAAAAAGACAAACACACACATTTTTTGGGCAAGCAACTGTGATTTGCTTTAGGAGAAAAATAGTGGCATGTAGACACACTCACAACACACATAATTTTCATTAAGAAGTTTCTATCCAATGTAATAATGCATTAGAGTGCCTTGACATTACGTTAAGAATGCAATCTGGGCTGGGTATGGTGGTTCATGCCTGCAATCCCAGCACCCTGGGGGGCTGAGGTGAGAGGATCACTTGAGGCCGAGAGTTCATGAACAGCCTGAGCAACATAGCAAGACTCTGTCTCTATAAAATGAAATAAAAATTAGCCAGGTGGCATGTGCCAGTAGTCCTAGGTACTTGGGAGGCTGAGGTGGGAGAAACTTTTGAGCTCAGGCGTTCAAGGCTACAAGAGCTATGATCACACCACCGCATTCCAGCTTGGGTAACAGAGTGAGACCCTACCTCTTAAAAAAATGAACAGAAGATAATTTAACTTTAGAAACTCTACATATTAACATTTTTGAGTAAGAATATACAAAGTATACATTTTTTATTATCTTTCACAATTATAGAGATGCCTTCCCACAGAGAAATTCTGATTTCACATGACTCCATATATAAATACTTCAGAATCCCCAAGTTGATGTCAGAGGACATCCAGCTTTTATAAAATTTATGACTATGAAATTATTTTATTGTACCTCTAAAGAAGATGCCAACAAACATGGAAAAATTCACAGTACAAGTTAATTCTTTTAGTATGAATTAGAGTGGCCCACCCCTTTATTCGATAAAGTCACAGACACGGTGCCATTATCATAAAAAATATGTCAAGTAAGTCTCCAACAAGATCCACAAAACTCGAGTCAGGAAAGAGAAATATAAAGATAAGACTACCAAGTAAGATGTGGTCCAGAGTTAAGAAGAAAGCATTTGGAGCCATTTTAGCAGGTTAAGCAGAGGAAGAAAATGAAACCCATGCTGAAGTTAGGTGGGGTAGTCACTTATAGCTCTGAAAGAAAGGTTAAGAGACTATGGTTTTCATAACAAATTCTATAGTCAAATATGAGATTTTCATAAAATTGATAACAGAAGATTTCAGAATTAGCATTATTCTTCAAGCTTTTTTCTTTACAAGTTAAGAAACCAAGTGGGCATGGGTTCAACGCATCAATTCTGTGAATATGTAATAAAGAGACAGTTGCCTAAGGGAATTCACAGTGGCCTGGGATTAGGTGATTTGTATTCTAACAATATATCTGCCTTTAAATTGCTATGGAAACTTGGAAATGTCATTAAACTACTACATATCTTAGTTTTCTAAATATTTTATTAAAAGTATGCTATTTATTTCAAATTATGTCAGTCAGTAACCTCCACAGTACCAGCAACCTCTAGAGTAATTTCAAAACTGGATGAGTGTTATATAAGTACACTGTGTAGGTCTTAAGAAGATTTAAACCCAAAGTGTATTTGCATTCCAAAATCATTAGGCACATTCTAATAGCTTATTACCTGATCTGAGAAAGTGTATGGTCCAATTTCTTCCATAGAGATGACATTATTGCTGGGACATTATTTGATGTTTCTAAATCATAGGAGAAAAGGTTCTTAATAAACCCAGCTGAAGAAATTTCATCATTCATTCTGAACAAAGACACACAAAAAACCTTGTCTCTCAATTATTGACAGTATGTTGGAAAATGAGAAATAAATCTATGTTGTAAAATAGCTTGCAAAGCTATAATGCGGTTGCTTTCTCTTCTAAAGCCACTGAGTATCAGATACAATATGAGTAGAAATGGACATCTGTAAAATCTCTGAAGCATTTTTTGGCCAATAATTTTACACCTTCATTTTATTAAAAAAAGGAGAAACAATTTTTTGATCTTTGTTCTATCTGATATCATGTGACATATGAAAGTGAATTAAAGTAATCTGTCTTATAATAATTATCATAAAGGTTATGCAAATTCCTTATAAGTGTGGAAATTTAATCCTCAATTTTCTCATATTTAAAAATGGCTTTAAACAATCTCTCTCACTGGGTTATTCTAAAGACTAAATGAGAGGCCGGGCATGGTGGCTCACGCCTGTAATCCCAGCACTTTGGGAGGCTGAGGTGGGCAGATCATGAGGTCAGGAGTTTGAGACCAACCTGGCCAACATAGTGAAACCCTGTCTCTACTAAAAACACAAATATTAGCTGGGCATGGTGGCGTGCGCCTATAGTCCCAGCTACTCGGGAGACTGAGACAGGAGAACTGCTTGAACCCGGGAGACGGAGGTTGCGGTGAGCCGAGATCGCGCCATTGCACTCCAGCCTGGGCAACAGAGCGAGACTCCCGTCTCAAAAAAAAAACAAACAAAGAAAAGACTAAATGAGAAAAAAAACATATGAAAGCACGTAGCACAATGCTTATACACAGACAATGTCAAAAAATGTCAAGCTTCTTTTCCTTTGTTATCATCTTATGCGAATTCTTTAGTGCTAATTGTTTTGTTAATGTTGTAAGCTATTGAAAATAATCAATATTAGAGAATAAGCAGTCAAAACTTTCCCTCTAAAACATCCTTAATTTAGGCAAGTAGAATTTTATATTCTAGTAACTATAAGCCAGTGTATGACTGGCTTCTGTGTTCAGACTTAGACTACATAGAATTAAAATTAAAATGTCAGTTTAAAACTTTTTAACACATAGTGATGTCTGTTTATCAGTGTAGATAACACAGAGGTAAGAGTTTTATTTTACATATTTTTTAAAGGTAGTTTTTGGGTTATTTTTGCTAACATAAAGATTGTTGCAATTTATGTACCACTCAATGTAAACACAAACAAATGGCTGGGGGCAGTGGCTCACACCTGTAATCCCAGCACTTTGGGAGGCCGAGGTGGGTGGATCACCTGAGGTCGGGAGTTCGAGACCAGCCTGACCAACATGGAGAAACCCTGGCTCTACTAAAAATACAAAATTAGCCGGGCATGGTGGCGCATGCCTGTATTCTCAGCTACTTGGGAGGCTGACTGAGGAGAATCGCTTGAATCCAGGAGCTGGAGGTTGCAGTGAGCTGAGATTACGCCACTGCACTCCAGCCTGGGCAACAAGATTGAAACTCCGTCTCAAAAAAAACCAAAAAAACAAAAAACAACAACCAAAAAAACAAAACAAAACAAAAAACCAAAACCCACAAACAAATTAGATGTGTCCCAGAAAAATTTATCTCATTACAACAGGGACAAGTTTTTTCAAGGCTTTTATGAGACATTAATAACCTTTAGAAATCATTTTTAACTAAATCAAGTAGATAAATATTGTATACATCAGCAAAAAAACTCCAAATCAGAACTCTTACCTTTTGTTTTCATAGCTACATACTCATTTAAAATTGTTGTCAAGTTTTTTCCAAATAAGGACTGAAAAGAAAAAGATCAAATATTACCAAAATTGTATAATACTACCAATAATTTCTCACAAGAAAAGATTCTACCATTCAACTTAATAAAAGATCTGACTGCAGAGTAGCGATGAGGAAAGGGTAAAGAAGCAGGTAATCGAAAATGAAAATAGCCACTGAAATTAGGGTTTGCATCCAAGCTTCTAAAGAATCTTGCCTGTTTGACTAGGACATTATAGCTACTTGGGTATCACTGCTTCCAGACCCTCTCAGCAGACAGCTATACATACATGTACAAATGCATATACACAAGCATTTGTATCATCTAGCTGTATATATATATATTAAAATAACTACAGTGTCATACCAATATCTCAGACTATAACCCAACACCACTGGTTTCATTATTATGTTTATTTGTATCTTCTTCCTCACACAGTGAGAAATCTGGCTCCCACTATCTACAATTTGTTATTTGTTCAGAATTGTTAATTTAGAAGAAATCAGAAGGATTTATTTAATATTCATCCACGTTATTGTGTGAATCAATAGCATGTTGCTTTCTATTGCTGAGTAGTGGAGTATTGCTGTTATGAACACATCAGAGTTTGTCAATTTTTGAAAGACATCTTCGTTGTCACCAGTTTTTAAAATTTATTTTTATTTTTTAGAGACAGGGTCTTGCTCTGTCACACAGGCTGGAGTACAGTGGCTGCTCACAGCTTACTATAGCCTCGAACTCCTGGCTTCAAGCCATGTTCCTACCTCAGCCTCCCACAGTGCTGGGATTAAAGGTGTGAGCCATCACGCCTGGCCTGTTTTCAGTATTTTTTTTTTTTTTTTGAGATGGAGTCTTGCTCTGTTGCCCAGGCTGGAGTGCAGTGGCACAATCTCGGCTCACCAAAACCTCTGTCTCCTGGGTTCAAGCGATTCTCCTGTCTCAGCCTCCCGAGTAGCTGGGACTACAGGCGCACGCCATCATGCCCAGCTAATTTTTGTATTTTTAGTAGAGATGGGGTTTCACTATCTTGGCCAGGATGGTCTTGAACTCTTGACCTCGCTATCCACTCGCCTTGGCCTCCCAAAGTGCTGGGATTACAGGTGTGAGCCACCACACTTAGCCTGTTTTCAGTTTTTAGCCACTATAAGCAAACACCAGTGTCTAGGTTTTTCTGTGAGAACAAGTTTTCCAATTGATTTGGGTAATGTGAGTGTTGGTTCACATGAGGAGTACATGCATAATCATATAATCATGTCATAATCATGTCAAACTGTTTTCAAAAGCCACTGTATGACTTTTAATTCTTACCAGTAAGAAACAAGAGTTCCTGCTGCTCTGCATATTTGTGGTGAAGGACTTGCCAGTTTTTAAACCTGTTTTCTTATTTTAGCCATTCTAACAGGAATTAGTATCTCACTGGGGTATTAATTTGCATTTTCTTAATGACTAATGATATGGAAGATCTTTTCATATGCTTATTGCCATCTGTATATTTTCTTTGGTAAAGTATCTTCAGATCTCTTATCCACTTAAAAAATTGTTTGGTTTTTGTTGTTAAGTTTTAAGAATTCTATACATATGTTCTGGGTACAAACCCTTTATCAGACATGTAAGATATAAATATTTTCACCCAGCCTTTTTTTTTTGGGACAGGGTTTTACTCTGTCACCCAGGCTGAAGTGCAGCCGTGCAGTTGTGGCTCACAACAGCCCTGACCTCCTGGGCTCATGCAATCCTCCAGCCTCATCCTCCCAAGCAGCTGGGACTAAGTGCACCACTATACCTGGCTAATTTTTAAAAATTGTTTTCTAGAGATGAGGTCTCACTATGTTGCCCAGGCTGGTACAGAACTCCTGAGTTCAAGCAATCCTCTTGCCTGGGCCTCCCAAAGTGCTGGGATTATAGGCATGAGCCATTGGGTCTGGCCCAGCCTATTTCTTCTAACGTGCCTCTTGTAGAGCAAGTTTTTAATTTTTTATAAAGTTGAATTTGCCTAATTTTTGCCTTTATAGCCCATGCTTTTGGTGTCATATATAAAACTCACTGTCAAATCCAACTTTGCACAATTTTTTTCTTATGTTTTCATTTAGAAGTCTTACGGTCCTGTGTTTTACATTCTGATCCATTTTGGTTAATTTTTGCATAAGGTATGAGGTATTTGTAGAGGTTCTTTTTCTACATATGGATGTCTGAGTGTTCCAGCAACATTTGTTGATAAGACCATCCTTTCTGCAATGAATTGTCTTTAATCCTTTGTCAAAATCAGATGTGTGGGTCTCTACATGGACTTGTATGTGGTTCCACATGCCTAAACTATCAAAAATGCCCCTTCATCTCGATTATCATAGTTTTTTAGTAAGTCTTGAAGTCTGGTAATGTGAGTCCTCCAAGTTGTTCTTTTTCAGAAACTGTTTAGGCTATTCTAGTTTCTTTTCCATTTAAAACTTAGAATTCAGCTTTGTGTTATCTATAAAAATGCTTGCAGGCATTTTGACTGTGAAAAATCTATAATTAAATTGGGAGGAACTAACACCTTAACAATATTGAGTCTCTCAATTTGTACACACAATACAATTCTCCTTTTATTCAGGCCTTAGATCTCAGGCAATTTTGAGCATTTGGATTTCACACATATTTTGTTAGATTATCTCTAAGCATTTTGTTTGTTTGTTTGTTGCTATTATAAACGGGTATTTTCAAAATCCAATTGTTCATTGCAGGCATACGGAATATAATGGATTTGTGTATATTCTGTATTCTATGACCCTGCTTAACTTTAGTTTTGCATCATTTTCAGTTTCCTAAGCAGACATTCATGTTATCTGTGATAGCCTTTAAGGAGCCATGATTAAAATAAAATGGCAAACACCATGTGAAATGATGTAGTTCTGGAAGGTATCCACTATGTACCAAATGATGGTTTGTTGGTCTAGTGATATTTAACAAAAGAGATGACAATAATATATCAAAATATCTGTTTTATATTTGTCTAAAAGGAGCAGCCAGATACAGGTCAGGAAGAAAAAAAAAGGCTTGGAGACAGCAGCAGCGAAACTAATCAGAAACGAGGGTGTCATTTTGAAACTAACTCTCGGAGTCAAAGTTGTAATTCATTTAATAGTTTTGGCATAAATTTGTAAAAAGAAAAGCTGGTCTTCTTTGGGTCTTACCAGTCATGCATGAATATAAACCACCAAATTTCTGCCAATTTCAATTTTTTTTTTCTGATAAGCTGATTTTATGACTATGTTTTTAGTCTCTTGTGTTGATGAAATATTTCCCTTAAGGAACAAATAACTCACCAGTAAGCAGGCTGGAATAAACCCTTCATCTGTACAATGTTCTGCATATTCTTTTAAATCTGAACTTTCCAAAATAAAAGTCTGGCAGGTAGAAATGAGGTTTTCTTGCTGTAAGTAACCTAAATAAAAAATAAAAGTTTAGGTACTTATACTAAATTCTGTACTTTTGGTTAAAACTGCTATTGAAAATGCTGTAGCATGTACTGATGTCACAATTGAAACCTTAGGTGGAATGCTCTAGTGTTTGGCAGCCTTGAACAGAAACACCAGGTTGTGCTGCAATACAAAGTACAGTTCATAGAACAGGTGGCCCTTTCACAAGAAACAATTCTAGCTAAACTAGTAAAATAAAGTGTTTAACAAAGTATAATTACTTCACAGTACTTACAGGAGAACCAATAAATTAATGATAAATAACTATGTCCCTCTACTGCATAACTTCCATAAAGACCAAGTCAGTTGATGGTATAAATTCACTTACTGCGTTATCAGAAAACTATGTTCTCACAACACTGCTATGTATTTGTATACTTCATTTATTTGCCAAATGATTTATAAAAAGAATGAACAGAAGACCTACTCTGCATGAAAGTTGAGACAGGAACTCCCTTAATTCTTAATTTATGCCCTTTGGGAATCAAAGCATTATCAATTCCAACAAGAACATCAACCTTAACTAGTGAAGGAAGGCTAAGGCAGAGTGGGTCAACTGCTTGGCTGAACTAAAGCATGCCCCAAAGCACACACAGACCCCCTTGGCAAACAATGGGATATTAATTTGCTCCCAGTAGTTAAGGAAATCATCATCCAATCAGAGTATCAACTCTTCACAGAATATAGACTGCATAAAATTAGTTCAGCAAACTCACTAGACAAACAGCAACAGCTAAGACAACAACAAACATGGAAGAAGAAAAATCTAATCTCAAGAGTTGTCACATTATATTATTTAAAACATCCTATTTTCCACAAAATATTATGAGATATGCAGAGAAATAAGGAAGTATGGATCATACAGAGTCAAAAAACCAAAAATCTGCCTAGGGAAATCCAGACATTAGACTTGAGACTTTAAATAAGCAATTTTAAATAAGTTGGAAAAACTAAAGGAATCCACGTCTAGAAAATTATGAGAATAATCTCTCACAACATAGAAAATATGAATAAAGAAATACAGTTGATAAGAGCAGGAGACAAACTCCCAAGCAGACGGGTAGGGTACCCGGTGAAACCCGACAACTTTCAAGCCAAAGACAGTCTGAAGCCTGAAAACTGGACTGCCAGTTCTGTGTAGAGCCCATGACCAGAGTGAGAACTTCCTAGATGTCTTTTAGCCAATCAAATGGTGCTTTTTCCAGGTTCACCCATGGACCAATCAGCCTGCACTCTGAGCCCATAAAAACCTCCATTCTGAGCCCATGAAAACCTCAGACTCAACCACACATGGGGACTACCTGCCTTTGGAATCCCCTCTCACATGGAGCTCTACTCACGTTGGGTCCCCTCTCGTGTCGAGAGCTGTTTTGTTGCTCAAGAAAACCCTCTTCCACCTTGCTCACTCCCCAGTGTCCACATAACCTCATTCTTCTTAAACGCAGGACAAGATCTCAGAACCTGCTGAATGGTGGGTGTGAAAGGAACTCTTAACATTGTAGCCCTTCAGCCCTCCGCTGGCACTGGGCAGCTACCCAACAGGAAGCAGGAGTGGGGCTGGGCCAGCCCAGGACTGAAGCAGACTGAAGCAGGGTAGAGGGACGGAATGAGCTGTAACACAAACGAGCTGAAACATGCGCTCCCCTGCCACCTCCGTTTGCCATGCTGTGGGCGGTGGGAAGGAGACAGAGTTGTAACGGTCCTTGGGGGCTCAGACCTCAGAACTCCCTGGGCAACAGCTGGGGCTCTGTGGTTGCTGGTATCTCCAAGTTTTTGGGCGCTGCTGTGTCACCCTCACCCAGACGCCGGCTCCCAAGGTGGAAGACAATCATGGCACAACTGGACCAGCTGCGGGGCTTAATGCAGAGCTGCAGTGGGCATGGAATCCGGGCCAGAAGCAGTCTGCTGGGTCAAGTGGGCAGAGAGGGCCCAGCAATGAGCCTAGAGGCGAGCGAGGCCCAGGCAGGCGCGCCACAGGCCACAGAGATGCTGGACAGCATAGCGGCACTGAATGGATCCTGTGTCATTTCTGGAGGCTTGTCTGGGATCTGTGCAAGGGTAAGAGTGGACCTCTTACACTTTCATTTCTGAGGCTTCTTGCCTTCACATTTTTTTTCCAAAAACGGATGAAGCACTGGGCCTCTGTCAGCCAGTTAAGAGCGAATGGCACAGCTGCAAAGGACAGGCTTGCTGGGGAAGATTTTGTCAAGCCTCTGCCATCACCCTCGGGTACTGGGAATGTTGGCTTTGTTTCAATCCAGTCTCCCTTCACAGAGGTCTAGCCAATGCATAGGATCGGAATAAGGTCCTCGGGCAACTGAAGGCATCTGGCTGAGGCTACACCTCAGTGTTACCTGAAGGCTCCTGGACTGGCCCCAATCCCCAACAGCCCGTTCGGGTGTCAGTCAAGACCTCCAGTCTTTCCTATAGCATTTTCTTTCTCTCTTCCTGGCTCCTATCTCTTCTTCATACACAACGTTAAGGGTGTTGCTGCAAACCACAGTGATAATATTATTGAGTGGAATGAGCATTTTGCTTAGTCATCAGCAGTGTAATTCAGAACAACTTGGTTTTTGTCTGTTCTTAGAAGCAAGAAGGATGCAATGACTGAGAGTTTTCTTTCCCCTGTTGAAGGAATCCATTTGCATTGGGCAAGAGGTTATTTCCCTCAGGCAACTTCCCCTACCTGCGTTTAAGTTGTTTCCGCCCCCGCAATCATGTCAGGAGTCAGCACAGTCCTATGACTACAGGGAGCTTTGCTATGTAAGAGACTGATTTTTTTCCCTCTTGGGAGGCAACTTATTAGGCCAGGCCTCCCCTTCCTTTCTTAGTGTGACTGTGAGGGATGTCTCAGGAAAGCCTTTAATCTGATATTTTTCCCAACCCCTTAGTTATAGTTGAGGGGACCTTTTGTTTACCCATGCCTTTTAAATCATGCCTGAAAGCCCAACTCCTCTGCTAGGCAGGGCTATTTTAGCTGGTACGGGACCCATCATCCTTATGGCTCCAGGACAGACTCTTTGTCTCACCCTAGTGCAGACCAATATTAATTAACCCAGAAGTCTGGGCAACTGAAAGGAAAATTGGTGCAGCCACAACTGCCATACTGGTCTAGGTCCACCTTAAGGATCCCACCTCCTTCTCTAACCAGAGACAATATCCCCTAAAACCAGAAGTTAGGAAAGGGCTAGAAGCCATCACTGATAACTCAAGGATGCAGGGCTTCCTTAAACCCTGCAACAGCCCTTGTAATACTCTGATATTGGATGTACAAAAACCCAACAAAGGAAGGAGACTGGTCCAAGACCTCTGCCTCATTAATGAGGCTGTGGTTCCAATCCATATGGTGGTTCCCAATCCCTATACCCTACTAACTCAAATACTTGAGGGAACTAAATGGTTCACAGTCCTGAACCTAAAAGACATCTTTTTCTGCATACCATTACACCCCAACTGCCAGTATTTATTTGCATTCAAAGATCCATCCAACCAGACCACAAAGCTAACCTGGATGGTGTTACCGCAGGGATTCTAAGACAGCCCCCAGCTGTTTGGGCAGTTCCTTTATCCTCAGGTGAAAGTTTTACAATATGTAGATGACATTCTCCTTTGCGTTCCAATTGAGGAAGTCTCAGGAGGACAGTAAGGCTTGTCTTAATTTTCTGGCTAACAGAGGATATAAGGTCTCAAAATCTAAGGCTCAGCTCTGTCAGACTTCAGTGAAGTACCTAGGTCTAGTCTTGTCAGAGGGGACCAGGGAACTAGGTGAAGAAAGAATTAAGTCCATCTCCTCTTTTCCTCTCCCCAAAACCCTCAAGCAACTGAGAGGATTCTTGGGGATTACAGGACTATGGATACCTGGGTATGGTGAAATAGTTTGTCCCTTATATCACATAATAAAGGAGACTCAGGCAACTAAGACTCACTCCCTAATTTGGGAACCAGAGGCTAAAAGGACCTTTGACCAACTGAAACAAGCCTTGCTTGAGGCACCAGCCCTTAGTCTTCCCATAGGGAAGACATTCAATCTTTATGTATCAGAAAGGAAAGGAATGGCCCAGGGAGTTCCAACTCAGGCCCAAGGTCCAGCCCAGAAACCTGTAGGTTACCTAAGCAAGGAGCTGAATTTGGTAGCTAAAGGATGGCCAGCCTGCCTCCGGGCAGTCACAGCAGTAACCTTGTCAGTACCAGAGGCCACTAAGGTGACCATGGGGTATAACGTAACCATTTATACTCCACATAATGTGGCAGGACTGCTGTTCTCTAAGGGGAGGCTCTGGGTAGTGGATGACCATCTCCTCAAATATTAAGCTGTGCTATTAGAGAGATCTGCAGTTAAGAATCTGTCCTTCCCTAAACCCAGCAACTTTCCTCCCAGAGAAAGCTGGGGAGCTTGAACATGACTATGAACAGATAGTAGTGCAAACCTATGCGGTCAGAGAGGACCTTGAAGAAACCTCCTTAGAGAACCCAGACTGGACTCTCTTTACAGATGGAAGTTCTTTTGTGGAATAAGGGATCCATAAAGCAGGGTATGCAATAGTCACCCTAAATGATATTATTGATAGCATGCCTCTCTCCTCAGGCACAAGTGATCAACTAGCTGAGGTAACTGCCCTCACAAAGGTGCTTGAATAAAGCAAAGGGAAAGCAGTTAACATTTATACTGATTCTAAGTATACTTTCCTAGTCCTCCCTGCCCATGCCACTATCTGGAAAGAAAGGGACTTCCTCACAGCTAATAGGTCTCTCATACCACCAGGAAATTAAGATATCATTATCCTCAGTTTTCCTTCCATGGGAAGTGGCAATATTACATTGTAAAGGCCACCAAAAGTGAACAGATGAAATAGCTGAGGGAACTAAGGTGGCAGACCAAGCAGCTAAGTCGGCAGCAAGAGGGCCCCAGATTTCTGATCCACTTGAGGCCCCTCTGATCTGGGAGGGCTCCAAGAGAAATAAAACCTCAATATTCTCCTGTGGAAATAGAATGGGCCACCTCTCAGGGACACACCTTTCAGCCCTCGGGATGGCTGCAATCAGAGGACAGCAAACTTCATCTACCAGCTACCAGCCAGGTAGTTCTTAAAAGTTCTTAAAATCCTTCAGCAAGCCCTCCACCTAGGTAAGCATAAAACCTATCAATTGGCCCAAATGTGGTTTTCAGGTAAAAATCTGCTAAAAATGGTCAAAAAGGTCACTAATGCTTGTGAGACTTGCCTTAGAAATAATCCCCTCAAGCAACATCTTCTCCCTTCTGGAACCCAAATAATGGGAGGTTACCCAGGGGAAGACTGGCAGATAGATTTCACCCCTATGCAGAAGACGAGAGGCATCCACTACCTCCTAGTGTGGGTAGATATCTTCACTAACTGGGTAGAAGCATTTCCATGTTGGACACAGAAAGCCTCTGAGGTGATAAAAGTACTAATTAATGATGTAATTATTCGTTTTGCACTTCCTAAACACCTCCAGAGTGATAATGGGCCTTACTTCAAGGAGGCTGTCACCCGGGGGTCTCAAAGGCAGTAGGCATACAATACTATCTTCATTGTGCTAGGAGACCACAATCTTCAGGAAAGGGAGAAAAGACAGATGATATTATCAAAAGGTACCGCAGAAAACTGTCTTGAGAGACTCATCTGCCCTGTATTACTTTTCTTCCCATAGCCCTACTACATGTCAGAAACACCCCTTCAAAGCTGGGTTTAATTCCCTTTGAAATGATGTACAGACGACCTTTTCTCACCAATGATTTCTTGCTAGACCAAGAAACCTCTGATTAGATTACATGTATAACATCTTTGGCCCATTTCCAATAGGAACTGAAACAACTGTCAGAGGCCCAATTCTGTGAACTAGGGCCATCTCTATTCAACCCAGGGGACATAGTACTGGGTAAAGGCACTTCCTACCCTCTCTCCCTCTCTAGGTCGGCACTGGGAGTGACCTTATACCATACTTCTTTCTACTCCTATGGCAGTAAATGTCACTGGAAAATATTCTTAGATTCATCATACTCGAGTAAAGGCCTGGGAAAACTGACGGAATTATCTCTGTTGACCTGTAACAGTACCCGAAGTACCAGTGTGAAAAAATCAGAGACCTCAAGCTAAATGACAAAAGGTTAAGTGTCATTAACCTACCATGAACATCCTCTTTATAGTCTCTCCTAGGCTTGCTCTTCTCACCCTTGTTCTGTTCCTCACAAGGCATCTTTGCCAAGGACCCCTTAATCCTGAACCCCCAAGGGATTATATACTCCCCTAAACAGTTATTTTTCTTCTAAAGTTTAACTGTCCCCATACAAGATTTAATTTCTTTCACTAGGGTGAAACAGCTCTAGCCATAACATTGTTTCAGCATGTTTAGTCTATTTTGCTCCTTATTTCTGTTATCTTTGGGACTACATTTTTCCCTTCTAGCTCCTCTTTGTATAATACACATATTTGGTCCATGTATATTTAACCTCCTTGTAAAATTTGTTTCTTCTCAATTAGAGATCATTAAACTCCATATGGTCATGCAAATGGAGCCTCAGACGATGGCTCCCTTTTACTGGGAACTCTTAGGCCTCTGAGAGAGATCAGACTGCTGTTTTTGCAAAACAGCACCCCGTCAGCAGAAAGCAGCAATTGTGGTCATTGTCCTTATCCTAATGGCAGTTAGATGTACTTCTTCAGAGGGAGGATTGATAGCAGCAAGAGACAAATTCCCAGGCAGACAGGGGTGGGTCCATGGTGAAACCCAACATTCAAGTCAAAGGTGGCCTGAAGCCTGAAAACTGCATGCCAGTTCCGGACAGAGTCCACAACTAGAATGAAAACTTCCTCGATGCCTAAGGCCAATCCAATGCCCGCCCACAGACCACTCAACATGCACTCCCACATTCTGAGCCCATAAAAACCCTGGACTCAGCAACACGTGGGGTTACCTACCTTTGGGACCCCTATCACACAGAGGGTTATCCACTTTGGGTACCCTCTCATGTTGAGAGCTGTTCTGTTGCTCAATAAAAATCCTTTTCCACCTTGCTCAGTCTCTCATGTCCATGTAATCTCATTCTTCTCAGATGCGGGACAAAACCCTGGAACCTGCCGAACCTGCCGAACCTGCAGAACCTGCCGGTGGGAAAGGGGCTATAACATTGTAGCCCTCCTGCCTTCTGCCAGGAGCGGACAGCCGCCCCACATGACAGGAAGCAGTGGCAGGGCCAAGCAGGCCCAGGAGCCGCAAGCCAGAGTGGGGCAGTGGGCCTGAATGAGCTGTTAACACAAATGAGCTGAAACACATCCCCCTATCATTCGCTGCCTTGTGGATGGCACGAAGGAGACAGAGTTGTAACAGTCCTTTGATCTGAGGAATGGAAACAAATCCAGAATGATGAAAAGTGAACAGAGTCTCAGAGACCTAAGGGATGCCATCAATTTTACCAACAAAAGCATAATGGAAATCCTAGAACGACAGAAATGCCAGAAAGAATATTTGAAGAAATAATGTCTAGAAACGTGCAAATTTGAGAAAAAACTTAATCTACACATGAAGGTAGCTCAACAGTCTCTAAGTAGGATAAACTAAAAGAGATCCATACCTAGACAGACCATAATCAAACTGAAAATACAAAGACAAACAAAATCGTGAAAGCAGTGAGAAACAACTCATCACATACAAGGGTTTCTCAGTAAGACTGACAGCTGATTTCTCACCAGAAACCAGAAGTAGTGAGATGATATTCAAAGACTTGATATTTACTTTGATTGTTGAAGAAAAAAGATAAAAAACTGATAGCAAAAAAAGGTCAACCAAGAATTTTCTTTTCTTTTTGAGACAGCGTTTCACTCTGTTGCCCAGGCTGAAGAGCAGAGGAACCATTATAGCTCACTGTAGCTTTGAATGCTGGGGCTCAATCGATCCTCCCACCTCAGTCTCCCAGGTAGCTGGGATGACAGGAACTCACAACTATGCCTGGCTAATTAAATGAAAAAATTTTTAATAGAGATGGTGTCTCACTATATGTTGCCTAGATAGGTCTTGAACTCCTAGCCTCAAGCGATCCTCCCACCTTGGCCCCCACAAAGTGCTGGGATTACAGGAGTAAGCCACCACAGCCAGCCTCAAGGAAGAATTCTATATCTAACAAGACTCCAAACTAAAACTTTAAAAATTGTATGTTATCAAATAAACAACTAAAAGAATTAGTTGCTAGCAGATTTTCCCTGTAAGAAATACTAAAGGGGGACTCCTTCAGGCTAAAATGAGATGATACTGGAGAGTAACTTGATAACAACATAATATAAAGCAGTATAGGTTAGGTGCAGTGGCTCATGCCTGTAATCCCAGCACTTTGAGAGGTTTAGACGGGTGGATCACTTGAGGCCAGGAGTTTGAGACCAACCTGGCCAACACAGCAAAACCCCATCTCTACTAAAAATACAAAAAAATTAGCTAGGTGTGGTGGGACTCGCCTGTAATCTCAGCTACTTGGGAAGCTGAGACATGAGAATCTCTTGAACTGGGGAGGCAGAGGCTGCAGTGAGGCGAGATCATGCCAAGGCATTCCAGCCTGGGTGACAGAGCGAGACCCTGTCTCAAAAATACATAAATAAATAAATAAAAATAAAATAGTATAAGTGTTTGTTGTACGTAAACTTTCTTCCCCAACTCTGCTTAAAAAGATAACTGTACACAACAATATGGGCATATAATGTATGAAGGTGTAATTTATATGACCTTAAAAACATGATCCAACTATATGCTGTTGTCACAGGATCCTTAGGGTGTCGCTTTTCCAGTTCGAAACCTCTGTGGCTGGTGGTGCCTTTGCCTGAGTTTTGCTAGGGCCTGCTGGGTTTGTTCCGCCCACTTGGCCAAGCAGGCTGTGTTTGGCTCATGCTACTGGGCCTAATCCCATGCCTGCTGGTGGTGAGCCAGGCATGAAGCAGTGAGGGGTGTATGAGTGAGCTCAGCCACCGAGCATAGTCAGGCATGTTGGATGCAGTAGGGCGGGCATATCCAGGCACTGGCTCCCTGTGAGGTTGCATCTGGATCAGACATACCACAGTGGCTTCCACTGTGGGTACTGGGGAACGTAGTGGCACCCTGAAGCTTGGAGACATCAAGAATCCCAGAGCCCCAAAGAGGGTGTCACAACCCTGGTTTGGGGAGCTCTTAGGTCTGGGCTCCCCAAAGGGCCTCAGCTCTTCTTTCCTTCTCATTGTCTGCAACGTGGTGAGCAAGGGGGCATGTTTCAGCCCTGTTTTACAGATCTTTCAGTCCCGCCTTTCAGTGGGTCCCATGTTATTATCCTGCGTCCAGGAAGAATGAGGTTCACGGTCAACTGGAAGGTGCTCAAGGCGGAGAGGAGCTTCACTGAGTGACAGAACAGCCCTCAGGAGACCTGCAGTGGGTAGCTCCTTTCCGTAGGCAGGTCGTCCCCACGAGTATCCAGCTCTCAGTGGAGAGGATACCCACAGTGGGAAGCTCCTTTCTGCAGTGCCTTTCTGTGCAGGCAGGTCATCCTGATGAGTGTCCAGCTCTCAACAGAGAGGAGACCCACAGTGGGTAGCTCCTTTCTGCAGGCAAGTCATCCTGACGAGTGTCCAACTCTCAGTGAATAGAGCTGCAGTGGGTAGCTCCTTTCTGCAGGCAGGTTGTCCCAACAAGTGACCAGTTCTCGGTGGAGATGAGACCCACAGTGAGTAGCTCCTTCTCACAGCTGGTAGTCCCAACATCTCTGTGAGTCTGGCTGAGTCTGGGGTTTTTATGGACCTCAAATGGGAGTAAGTATGTGCTGATGGGTCCATGGACAGCCATGGGTGGGTGCAGAAAAAGCACCATAAATTCTCACTCTGGGCCATGGATCTGCAGTCTGGCCCCCAGGCTTTAGCTGTCTCTGGCTTGAAGGTGTGGCTTCACCAGGGGCCTGCCCCTTTCCACCTAGGAGACCATCTGCCTCCTGCCACCATCAACCTGACATCCAAGGTGCCCACGGTGCTTAGGCTGTTCATGCCAAGGGGCAGGCCCATGCCGAGTTGCCCTCAGCCTCACCCTTGGCCTCCCTCATGTGCTCATCAGAGCTCAAAGTCCAGAGGGGGACCGAGGCAGCATGAGGCTGGTGTGTTGGTGCTGCCCCTAGTGTGCACACACCCAGCCAGGTCCCGACAGCAGCAGGCTCAGCCTCAACTTTACTTTGAAATCGGAGTGGGCACCGGGAGCAGGGAGAGGCCAGGCAGCGGGAGTAGGCGCTTCCAAGCCTGCAGGGAAAGGGGGGCTTCCCTGGCCCCCGAGAGTGCAGGGATGCCTGCTCCACAGCTGCAGCTGCACCTGGGAGGGCAGGGCTCCTGCCCATCCAACTTGGAAGGGGACAGGGCACCCATCTGTTCCCAGCTCCTGCTGCCCTGTGGAGCACACAGCCCTGGCCACACCTCCCGTGCTGCAGCCGGCGTCTTGGCACCAGGTGCTGGACTGATTCAAAGACACAAACAGGGTGAAAGTAAAAGGATAGGAAAGATGACTGGATTACACCATCCAGTAATCAAGTAAGACTTAAAGTTGTTATGTTAATACAGGTTGAGTATATCCCTTATCTGAAATGCTTGGGACCAGAAGTGTTTCAGATTGTTCTCCCTTTCAGATTTTGGAACATTTGCATTATACTTACTGGTTGAGCATCGCTAATCTGAAAATCTGAAATGCTCCAATGAACATTTCCTTTGAGGGTCATGTTGGTATACAAACAGTTTTGGTTTTGGAGCATTC
This sequence comes from Homo sapiens, assembly GCF_000001405.40. Taxonomy (NCBI): domain Eukaryota; kingdom Metazoa; phylum Chordata; class Mammalia; order Primates; family Hominidae; genus Homo; species Homo sapiens. The sequence continues at coordinate 108,208,213 of NC_000011.10, forward strand.
TGAATTTTTGCATTAGGGATACTCAACCTGTCTCAAAGTAGGTATTAAGACAAATATTGTTACTAGAGACAAAGATAATGACAAAAAAGGTCAATCCACAAAAAGATAACATGGCTGGGTGAAGTAGCTCACTTTGGGGAGGCTGAGGTGGTAGAATCGCTTGAGCCTAGGGTTCAAGACCATCCCGGGAAACCTAGTGAGAACCCACCTCTATGGTTTTTAGAAATTAGCTGGGCTTGGTGGTGTGCACCTGTAGTTCCAGCTGCTCTGGAGGTGGAGGTGGGAGGATAGCTTGAGCCCAGGAGGTCGAGGCTGCAGCGAACCATGACTGCACCACTGCACTCGAGCCTGGGCAACAGGGTGAGACCCTGTCTTTAAAAAAAAAAAAAGAGAGAGAGAGAAATAACACTTATAAACATAAATACACCTAACTGAGCCCAAAGTATAAAGCAAACTCACAGAAGGGAAAGGAGAAACAGATAATTCAACAATAAAAGTTGAAGGCTTCTATACCACACTTTCAGTAATACATAGAACAACTAGGCAGAAGATCAATAAACAAACAGAAAATTTAAACTGTAAAGCAACTAGACCTACCAGATAGCTATAGAACATTCCAGTCAAAAACAGCATAATACACATTTTTCTCAAGTGTACATGGAACATTTTCCAGGGCCGACCATATATTAGGACATGAAATAAGTGTCAATAAATTTATGAGATGCAACTAAAGCAGTGCACAGTGGAAAATTTACAGCTATAAACACCTGTATTTAAAAAAGAGATGCCAGGCATGGTGGCTCACGCCTGTAATCCCAGCACGTTGGGAGGCTGAGGCAGGCAGATCACCTGAGGTCAAGAGTTTGAGGCCAGCCTGGCCAACATGGTAAACTCCGTCTCTACTAACAATATAAAAAATTAACTGGGTATGGTGGCAGGCGCCTGTAATCCCAGATACTCAGGAGGCTGAGGCAGGAGAACTGCGTGATCCTGAGAGGCGGAGGCTGCAGTGAGCCAAGACCATGCCACTGCACTCCAGCCTGGGTGACAGGGCAAGACTCCATGTCAAAAATAAATAACTAAATAAAATAAATAAATAAATAAAAAGATAAGCCAAGCATGGTGGCATATGCCTATAATCCCACCTATTTGGCAGGCTGAGGCAGGAGAGTACCATGAGGTGAGGAATTCAAGAGCCTGTGTCTAAAAACATCTCTTTAAATTAGGTAGGTGTGCTGGCACGTGCCTGTAGTCCCAGTAGTTCAGGAGTTCAAGGCTGTAGTGAACTATGATCGCGCCACTGCACTCTAGCATGGGCAACAGACTGAGATCTTGTCTCAAAACAAACAAACAAGTAAACAAAAACCTTAAAATTTAAAATCAATTACCACATTGGGCCAGGCACGGTGGCTCACGCCTGTAATCCCAGCACTTTGGGAGGCCAAGGCAGGCAGATCACGAGGTCAGGAGATCGAGACCATCCTGGCTAACATGGTGAAACCTCCTTTCTACTAAAAATACAAAAAATTAGCTGGGTGTGGTGGCAGTCGCCTGTAGTCCCAGCTCCTCGGGAGGCTGAGGCAGGAGAATGGCATGAACCTGGGAGGCAGAGCTTGCAGTGAGCGGAGATCATGCCGCTGCACTCCAGCCTGGGGAACAGAGTGAGACTTCATCTCAAAAAAAAAAAAAAAAAAAAAAAAATTCAATAACCACATCATCTACCTTAAGAAACTAGAAAAAGAGCAAAGCAGAAGGAAATAAGCAGAGTATACATAAATGAAACAAAAATAGAGAAAAATGAATAAAAACAAAAGCTAGTTCTCTGAAAACGTCAACAATGTTGACAATTCTGTAGCTAGACCAACCGAAAAAAAAAAGAGAATACTCAAATTATACTAGATCAGAAAAGTAAGAGGGGATATTACTATCAATATTATAGAAATAAATGGGAATGTAAAGGAACAGTATGAACAGTTGTTATCTCAACAATTTAGAGAATCTAGATGAAATGAGTAATTCTTAGAAAGACCCTCATGTAGTTTAGATGTTGCTCCTGCTAAATCTCACCTTGAATTGTAATCCCCAATGTTGGAGGTGGGGCCTGGTGGGAGGTGTTTTGGCCACAGGGGCAGATTCCTCATGCCCTGGTGCTATCCTTGAGATAGTCAGTTCTCACAAGACCTGGTCATTTAAAAGTGTGTGACACCTCTTTCTCTCTTGCTCTCACTCCTGCCATGTGAGAGGCCAGCTTCCCCCTTCACCTTCTGCCATGATTGTTAAGCTTCCCAAGGCCTCCAGAAGGCAAGCAGATGCCAGCACCATGCTTCCTGCAAAACCTAAAGAACTGTGAGCCAATTAAAACCTCTTTTCTTTATAAGTTACCCACTCTCAGGTGTTTCTTCATAGAAACACAAGAACAGACTAATAGACCCAAACTATGAGAACTGACTCAAGAAGAAACAGAAAATCTGAACAGACCTATAACAAGAAATGGAATTTGTAATAAAGAAACCTCTCACGAGGAAAAGCCCAACTGGGATCAAATGCCCTCACTGGTGAATTCTACAAAACATTGAATGAAACACCAATCCTTTACAAACTCTTTTTGAAATAGTAGGAGAGGACTTCTCAACCCATTCTTTTAGACCAATATTGCCCTGATACCAAAACAAGAGAAAGACATCACAAAACTACACGCCAATAATCCTTATGAAACTGGACATGGGAGCCAGGGTCAATGGCTCATGCCTATAATCCCAGCATTTTGGGAGGCCGAGGTGGGTGGATCATGAGGTCAGGAGATTGAGACCATCCTGGCCAACATGGTGAAAACCCATCTCTACTACAAATACAAAAATTAGCTGCGCCTGGTGGTGTGTGCCTGTAATCCCAGCTACTCGGGAGGCTGGGACAGAATCGCTTGAACCAGGGAGTCAGAGGTTGCAGTGAGCCGAGATCGCGCCACTGCATTCCAGCTTGGCAACAGAGTGAGACACCGTCTAAAAAAAAAAAGAAAAGAAACAAAGTGAACATAAAAGTCCTCAACAGGGTGGGCACAGTGGCTCACGCCTGTAATCCCAGCACTGTGGGAGGCCGAGGCAGGAGGATTGCTTGAGCTCAGGAGTTCCAGACCAGCCTGGGCATAATGGCAAAAATGCCATCTCTACAAAAAATACAAAAGTTAGCTGGACATGGTGGTGTGCACCTGTGGTCCCAGCTACTTGGGAGGCTGAAATGAGAGGATCACTTGAGCCTGGGAAGTCAAGGCTGCAGTGAGCCATGATTGGGCCACTGCACTCCAGAATAGGTGACAGAGTGAGACCCTGTCTTCAGGAAAAAAAAAAAAAAAAATCCTTAACAAAATACTAGCAAATCAAGTCCAGCAACATATAAAAACAGTGATGCACCATGACCAAGTGGGATTTAATGCAGTAATGCAAGGTTGGTTGAATAAAAATAAATCAGTGTAATATACTATATCCCTAACGTAAAAGACGAAAGTCACATTATCATGGAAAAAGAACTGAACAAAATCCAACCAATCTGGGCAATATAGTGAGACCCCCATCTCTGCAAAAAATTAAAAATTTAGCTGGGTATGGTGGCATGTGCCTATAGTTCCAGTTACTTGGGAGGGTGAGGTAGAAGGATAGTTTTAGTCTGGGAGGCTGAGGCTGCAGTGGGCCATAATCATGCCACTGCAGTCCAGCCTGGATGACAGAGTAAGAACCTGTTTCAAAAGCAAAACAAAACAAAACAAAACTCTACCAAAGAAACCAAAAAAAACAAAATCCAACACCCTTTCATGATAAAAACACTAGAAATAAAAAGAAATTTCCTCAACCTCATAGAGTTATCTATTAAAAAAAAAAAAAGCCAAGTAACATCATCTTCAATGGTTTAAAATTCAAACCTTTCCCCATAAGATCAGGGAAAAGGTAAGAAGGTCTGTTCTTGTCATTTCTATTCAACATTGCATGTATCCTCTAGCCAGGGCAATTAGGAAAAAACTTGAAATAAAAAGCATCCAGGCCGGGTGCAGTGGCTCACACCTGTAATCCCAGCACTTTGGGAGGCCGAGCTGGGCGGATCATTTGAGGTCAGGAGTTCCAGACCAGCCTGCTCAACATGGTGAAACCCCGTCTCTACTAAAAATACAAAAATTAGCCAGGTGTGGTGGTGCATGCCTGTAATGCCAACTACTCAGGAGGCAGAGGCAGGAGAATTGCTTGAATCCGGGAGGTGGAGGTTGCAGTGAGCTGAGATAGGGCCACTGCACTCTAGCCTGGGCAACAGAGAGAGACTCCGTCTCAAAAGAAAAAAAAAAAAAGCATCCAGATTGGAAAGGAAAAAATCAAGATTACCCCTATTTGCAGATGACATGTCTTATATAGAAAATCCTAAGGAAGCCATAAAAAACAACAACAACAACAACAAAAAAACTATTAGAGGCCAGGCACCACGGCTCATACCTATAATCCCAGCACTCTGGGAGGCCAAGGCAGGCAGATTGCCTGAGGTCAGGAGTTCGAGACCAGTCTGGCCAACATGGTGAAACCCCGTCTCTACTAAAAATACAAAAAAATGAGCCAGGCATGGTGGTGTCCACCTTAATCCCAGCTGCTAGGGAGGCTGAGGCAGGGGAATCACTTGAACCAGGGAGGTGGAGGTTGCAATGAGCCGAGATGGTGCCATTGCACTCCAGCCTGGGCAACAGAGCAAGACTCTGTCTCAAAAAAAAAAAAAAAAAAAAAAAAAAAGGAGTTAAGAAACCTCCCTGGGCGGGGCATGGTGGCTCATGCCTATAATCCAGCACTTTGGGAGGCCAAGGCCAGCAAATCACCTGAGGTCGGGAGTTCGAGACCAGCCTGACCAACATGGAGAAACCCTGGTGCTACTAAAAATACAAAGTTAGCTGGGCAAGGTGATGCATGCCTGTAATCCCAGCTATTCCAGAGGCTGAGGCAGGAGAATCGCTTGAACCCGGGAGGCAGAGGTTGTGGTGAGCCAAGATTGCGCCATTGCACTCCAGCCTGGGCAACAAGAGCGAAACTCTGTCCCAAAAACAAAACGAAACAAAACAAAAACTATTAGAGCTAATAAATGACTTCGACAAGGTTGCAGGATACACAGTGAATATATAAAAGTCAATAAATCTCAATGAACTACCAAAAATTAAGAATGCAATGCTAGTTACAATAGCATCAAAAGAAATAAAATACTTAGGAATAAGTTTAACAAAAGTAAAGGACTTGCATACTAAAAACTGGAAAACGTCACTGGAGGAAATTAAAGACCTAAATCCACGCAAAGACATACTGTGTTCATGGACTGAAAGGTTCAATATTGTTAAAAACTCAATACTCCCAAAATTCACCGATACATTCAACACAATTCCTATCATAATCTCAACTGCCTTTTGTGCAGAAATTGACAAACATCCTAAAACTCCTAAGGTAATACAAGGGGGCTGGAATAGCCAAAATAATCTTGAAAATGAAGAAAAAGTTGAAGCACTTACACTTACCAATTTCAAAACTTACTGTAAAGCTACAGTAATCCAGACGATGTACGGGCATGAGGTTAGACACAGAAATTAGTGGAACAAAATAAAAAATCCAGACCTTTCTTATTTATCTAGTCAACTCTGAAGCATGGAATCCAGACATTTATGGTCAGTTTATTTTTTTTCAGAGACAGAGTCTTGCTCTGTCACCCAGGCTGAAGTAGAGTGGCTCAATCATAGCTCACTATAACCTTGAACTCCTGGGCTGAAGTGATCCTCCCACTTCAGCCAACCCAGTAGCTAGGACTAGAGGCATGTACCACCAAATAAATGCCCAGCTAATTACTTACTTATTGGTACAGATGGGGTGTCTCAGTATGCTGCCCAGGCTGGTCTCGCTCCCCTGGCTTCAAGCAATCCTCCTGCCTTGGCCTCCCAAAGTGTTGGGATTACAGGGTGAGCCATTACAGCTGGCCTGCATTTTTCATAACAGTGTCCATTAATGAATGGACAAACAAAATATGGCATATTCATATAATGAAATATTCAGCTATAAAAAGGAATGAAGTACTAATACCTGCTACAACATGGAATAAGGCTGAAAACATTATGCTATGTGAAAGTCAGACACAAAAAGCGAAATATTCTATTTCATTTATGTGCAATGTCCAGGCAAGGCACATGTATAGATACAGAAAGTAGATTTGTGGTTGGCAGAGGACGGGGCAAGGGGGAATTGGAAGTGACTTAATAGTATAAGGATTCTCTTTGGAGTGATGGAAATATTGAAATTACTGGTGATATCTGCACATTATGAATCCATAAATATCCTGGATTTTCATACCCTGAAAAACAACGAAGTTTACATTTTGTAGTATGTGCATCATATCTCAATAAAAAAATATGATTCCAATTTTTTTTTTTTTTTTTTGAGATGGAGTCCCGCTCTTGTCACCTGTGCTGGAGTGCAATGATGCAATCTCGGCTCACTGCAACCTCTGCCTCCCAGGTTCAAGCGATTCTCCTGCCTCAGCCTCCCAAGTAGCTGGGATTACAGACGCCTGCCACCATGCCTGGCTAATTTTTATATTTTTAGTAGAGATGGGGTTTTGCCATGTTGGCCAGGCTGGTCTGGAACTCCTGACCTCAGGTGATTTGCCCGCCTCGGCCTCCCAAAGTGCTGGGATTACACGCGTGAGCCACTGCACCCGGCCTATGATTTCAAATTTTTAATGTGTCGTATGAGGTTCTACTTGCTTTGTACCCTAATTTCCTCTTCAGCCTATGTTTTACCATTCCATCGCTTCCAGCCAAACTGGTCTTTCAGTCCCACAGATACACATTGATTATATTTCAAGGCCATTGTTTATTCTATTTCCTTTGCTTGGGCAGCTAATCTTTTCTTAACCTAGCTATCTTCAACTCATTCTTCACAGTTTAGTATAATTACTCCCTATTCCCTACTATTAAATATTCCCTTATAGGTATTACTTAATACTTATAAGTATTCCCTTATATTTTCCTTTGAAGTACACTTATCTCAGTGCTGGCATAATAGTCAGTAAGTATTTGTTAGCTACTGAAATTATAAGTGGGAGCTAAAGGATGAGAACACACGGGCACATAAAGGGAACAACACACACTGGGGCCTATTGGAGGTGAAGGGTGGGAGGAGGTAGAGGATCAGGAAAAATAACTAATGGGTTCTAGGCTTAACACCTGGGTGATGAAATAATACGTACAACAAACCCCTATGACACAAGTTTACCTATATAACAAACCTGCACATGTACCCCTGAATTTAAAAGATAAAAAAAAGAAATTATGTCTAACGTCTCTTCCAACTTTATAACGTTCTACTCTCTTCACCTGGAACTGTATCGTTAACCAGGTCCAACAGGTGAAAAACCTAATAAGGTTGCCTACAAAGTCATTATACACTAAGGTTTTAAAAAGGAAAGGGCAAGGATATGGTCATCTCGTTACAGGCAATGCCCTAGCTGTGATTTGGGAATCAACTCACCACTCTCTACTTGTTGATGAATCTGTTTTCCAACCTCTTGCTAACTAATAAGAAGAAACAAACAAATATACAAATCAAAAACCAAAGGCATTGTGTTTTGGAGAAAGCATTTGGATATCTGAAGAAAGCTTTATCTCAGATAACATGACTTCAATCTTCCTATCATTGAACATCAAACCACAGATGTGAAATTAATTAGATCAAAGATACACTGCAATGTTTTCTTCTCTTTTTGTGAAAACTAGCTGGCTGAAAAGTAATTTTTATGATGGCTGGCTTTCCGACCGTTATAATATTTGGAATAGGTGAGTTAGCTGTTACTAGCTTTTTGTAAACACAAAAATTTAAAACTTCTACAGACTATTAGAATCACCTTAAAATTAGGACAGTTGGAGCTTTTTCCTCATATGCTTCAAGATTTAGATTGAACACCTCAAATATACTTCCTTTTCATGGTGGAGTTTCAAGTACTTATCACCCTAGATGCCTTCAGTCACTTGGGGACTTCTGATAGACGGTGGTATTAAAATCTACTATAGATTTGCAGTAGATTTTTATCTATCTTAAAGTAGATTTGCTTTCCCCTAGACCATGCATTCTCAAAAGGAGTCATACTGCCCTAAGAGGCTGAAAATTGGTTCTGGGGCAGGGAGGAATGAAGAAAATCTCCCTCTTTTTATGCATAAATCACAGATACACATGATATATAAACATATACAATATATTCATGACACTAAAACATTAAACTTTCGTGTGGGGAGGAGAGGAGGGTCAGGGAAAAAAAAAAAGCCTAAGAAGATTCCTTAAAGTTGTGTAATGAAATAAAGGTTGAGAAACAATGCCCCAGACAGAATACAGTGATACACAGTAAACCTTTTTCAGAAAAATATTGTCATTTGTGCTAGCATAACCTGGAATCATTACAGATAATTCATGGCATTTCATAAAACATTATACCTCTGTATAGCACACACATGAGATGGGGCTGTTAAAAGCTAGATTACCTCTATAATAAGTGTTTAAGTTATAATGTATCTCAAAATAGTAATATCTAGGATACATTATCTTCTGCTCTTAACAACATGCCCCAACTTTGGCAATCTTGAGTTCTCATTTTAGATTAGATTTGATGTATTCTGGTTTACTTTTGTCCCAAAAGTTCCAAAATAATGTAGTAAATAGTTGACTACTCTCATGTTCACTGATCATTATATAGCAAGTCCTCGAATACCATCATTTTGTTCAATGTTTTTGTTATACTGCTGATGAGAGAAAAAAATCAATTTCTGGCTGAGGACACTGTATGTGTGGAGTTTACACATTTTCCCCATGCCTGCATGGGTTTTCTCCAGGTACACGTTTCTTCCCAAACTCCAAAGATGTGCACGTTGTTAACTGGTGTGTCTAAATTATTACAGTGTGAGCATGAGTGAGTGTACGTGGGCGTGTGAGTGCTCCCTTCAACAGAATGACATCCTGCCCAGGGTTAGTTCCTGCCTTGCACCCTAAGCTGCTGGGATAGGCTCTAGCTACCTGCAACCTTGAACTGGACTAACTGGGTAAGTAATTATCTTGTTTTTATTAATCCATCTTAAATGTATATATAGCTTACATGTATTTCAATGTTTAATATTAGAAGTGTTTTGGACTTTATTTACAAGTGTGGTGATATTTTTGTGACCAAAAATATGCTGAAGAAATTCTTGTATATATCAGTTAGCCTATGGTAAAATTAGTTTGATTATATATCATTTTGCTTAAAGTTGCAGTTTTCAAGAACCTATTGAACCTATTAAATTAGGCCTTACTATATATATATGATTAGTATCTGCCTACAAAATGTTTATTTATCATCATTAAGTATCTGACTATAACCAATTCTCAGTCAGGTAACAGGAAATTTTAGGCACAAATTAATTCTAAATCTCTGGTGTTAGATGAATGAAAATCCAAATATGATGAAAATACTGGCTGGGCACAGTGGCTCATGGCTATAATCCCAGCACTTTGGGAGGCCGAGGCGCATGGATCACTTGAGGTCAGGAGTTCCAGAACAGCCTGGCCAATATGGTGAAACCCAGTCTCTACTAAAAATACAAAAATTAGCCGGGCGTGGTGGTGAGCGCCTGTAATCCCAGCTACTTCAGAGGCTGAGGCAGGAGAATCACTTGAACCTGGGAGGCAGAGGTTGCAGTAAGCCAAGATCTCACTGCTGCACCCAGCCTGGATGACAAGAGTGCAATTCTGTCTCAAGAAATAAATAAATAAAATAGAAAATACAAACTAGGCACTAATCATCTCTTATCAGTATAATACAAATCGTTATTCTACAACTAATATTAGTTATTACTGTTTTTTCCTTTTATTCCTAAAAACAACTTAAGAATAAAAGAAGTGTATTTTTTTGTGTAAACTTACTGACAAAGGTCCCCGAATAGGTAAGAAAGTATGCCTGAGTTTCCTTCTTAACATAATATTATCTTCAGCCTACTTTTATTATAAGTGGAGGTGGTAATGAGTAACTAAATGAATTGAAGGGGAAACAACCGAAAAAGAGAAGAAAGGATAAGATCCTAACTATATGAAGGGTATTTTTTCTTCCTACTTGTAGAGAGGGAAAGATAAAAAGAGAGGTTTAAAGCAAGCAAGAGATAGTAAAGCACGCTATGTGAAAACATCTCCTTCACATATTTTATTATTTCCTAGAAAGATTAGTAATTTAATGTTCGTTAAGCATGCAAATAATTCTTAGGAAGCCGTACCTTATGTTGTCTTATATTACTAGATCCACAAATAACAGGGACAAGGTTTCTGTCTATAAAGTTACAATTTACTTGGAGATAGAAGATATATACACAAATAACTGTAATGCAAAGCAAAAATGGTAAGAAAATAGAGCTGACTCACTTCATGGGAAGGGAGGGGCTGGAGAAACCACTACTAAGCTTGGAAATTATGTGATGTTTGAAGGTGCAGATGAGTACTGAAGGATGGTTGGGAATCCCAAAGAAGCTGACAGAAAGTATATATGCAATCATATTTGGGGAACATGTCCAGTTTGGATGCAGCACAAGGTTTATGAAGGGTAACAGTTGGAGATACAACAGAAAAGACAAAATGGGTAAGGATCATGAAAAGTTTTAGACAGCAATGAGTACATATATTATTAAATAAACAAAGGAGTGTCATAATCAGAGCCATACTTTTGCAAATGTTTTATTAAATATCTATGTTTTGGTGATATAAAGGTGAATAGAACCAGCAGCTCTTGACCTGTTAGGGGTGTGTCAGTTTTGGTCCTGTTTGACCTCAAACACGTTCTTGACCCTTCTGTCGCTCTCTACTGTATGACATAAAGCTTGACTCTATATAGGCAATGTTCCCCAAGCTCTTCTGTCGGCCTGCTACTGGCTGGGCTCAGTAAATAGGAAGCACTGGTGGGAGGCTGGAGGGCAGGAGGAAGCAGCCATATTTTTCCCCCATTCCCTTTCTGCCTCAGTAGAGTCTCCTCTAAGACTACCACTCCCTCATCAGACAAGTCTTCCACGTTCCGCAGTCAAACCAGCCTCTTGATTGCTTCCTCTCTCCTTATCCTTCTCATTAGCATAGTGGCTTCCTACTGTTGCTAACCACTGAGATGCCTTAGTTGTAAGCTGCTGGGCGTCTTAGCTTTTCTCTCACCAGTGTAAACGAATTCTCTCATTAAATCTTTCCATGTTAAATACTCAGAATGGTTTCTACTTTTTTTACTGCATGCTGTCTCATACAGAAGGTAACAAATCTATTCAAGAAAACCTTCACAGATGATAGTTTTGGGGACTCCCAGAACTCTTGAAGCTTGTCCATTCATCCATGACTAAGACTACTAATAAAACAAAAAACCAAGTAAGTTTCAAATTGGGAAGATGAAAAAGTTCCAGAAACTGATGGTAGTGATGGTTGCAGAAAAATGTCAATATAGTTAACACTACTGATCTGTACATTAAAAACAAACAACAACAACAACAACAACAACAACAAACTCATTGTTTTGGGCTTTAAGAACTATACATTTTTAAGTGTTGAATTTTGTTAGTATATTTTATCAAAAAAAAGTAAACACACATCTACAATGAGACATGATAAGGTTGTAACAGAAGTACAATGCTATGGCAACATTTAAGAAGTACTGACTGTACTTGCTGAATGAAGTTTCAGAGATCAGGCATGACCTGAACCTTGAATAGAAGTGTACTAGGAAGACAAAGAGAAGTAGAATACATACAAGAATTTTCAAAGAAACTTCAATTCGTTTGGCATGTCTGCAGCATAAAACAGATGTTAGGAAGTTGAGATCAAGTTGGAGAGGTAGGTAGGATCAGTTCCACAGAGCACCTTGAATAAATAGATAAAAACTGAACTGATGGCCCAGAGGCAACAAACACTTTGATGTATTCTGGCCCACACAACATTTTGTAAAATCCCAGCAAGGCAATAAGGGCTACTTAAGTGGAGTAGTGAGATGCAAAAGTCAGAGTGCAGTATCCTGAAGGATAAAAGGTAGGTGAAGAACAGCAACTAAGTGGAATTCATTGTTCTTTGAATAAATTTGACTTGTGAAAGGGTGACACAGAACATAAGACAGAATGTTCTGTTTAATGGGTGTCTAATGTCTAGTGGGGTCCAGAAAAGTGTTTTTTTGTGTGTATGTTTAAGAATTTAAAAAAAACCTAATTATCTGAACACTAAGGGGAGAAAACTTAACTTCTCTATGTTCAGCAATTGGCACAGTGTTTGGAACATACTAGGCACCCAAAGATTTGCTAGAAAAAAAACATTATGAAGGGACCAATAACAAGAGGAGCTGAAGATGGCGAGGGGGTACTGATAGGAAAAGAATCATGAGTAAATAATAAACCTCATATGAGAAAGATATACACGATATGTATCTATTTAAGATGTAAAATGATAAACGACAAAAGTAAGAGCATTAGGCATGGGGAGGCTTTTTTGTATTGTATACTCCTGCCCATCTGAAATTTTTAGTAAGAATAGAATTATCTCAACTTTCAGACTAAAAGGTATAGTGTGAAAGCTTCAGGGAGATTTGTAACAACAGTAAATAAAATGAATTGCGAGGACAACTGTCTGGGAAGCCATGACAGAAGTCCAAAAGAGAAGTAATGGCAGGCACATTGCGGGATTGGTGGCAGTGAAAATGGAATGTGAATGACAAAGATTTTTAAGATAAGAAAACCATGGCTGGCGTTTTTTGTCCATTAAATGAAAAGCAGGAAGTCAGCAGAGTAGCTGGTTTGTGGAGAAAGAATACTCACACATCGATGTGAATTATTTCAATTAGAAAATGATACTGCTTTCTTAGGGCTTTCTTAACTAGGGGTGATTCTGCCCTCCAGGGGACATACTAGCAATATCTAGAGACATTTTCACTGATCACAACTGGGTAAGGGTAGGGTGGGGAACGGGTGTCCTACTGTAATCTAGTGAATAGAAGCCAGGAATGCTGCTAAACATCCTACAATGTTTGAGCACAGGATAGCTCCCCACAATAAAGAATTATGAGGCCCAAAATGTTAACAGTACTGAGGCTGAGAAACCATGTTTAAGACTATAGTTACCGAAACTCAACTAGATTACCAAACTGCCAAAACTCAGAATTCTTAAGCAAAAGATTAATCAGACATTAACAAAACATTAAACTTGTCATTAAGTTTCTTCAAAAATGGATGGTGGAACCATTTCCGTTTAACGTTTCCTGCAAAATGTGCTTATCAAGAGCCCTGCGCAAATAACATTTTTGTGGACAGCGCTGGGCATTTAAAAGAGGCACAAGACAAATGGGTTTTCCGAACAATAAAATAATAGTAGTAATGGCTGTGAATACTATGGGAGGTTTCATCACAGATGCTTGCCATTTACTTTTAGGGACGTCGCATACGACGTCCGTAAATTACTGGCTCGGGTTTTGAGCTTTACCTGGCTCTCGTCCCCTGTAGTACAATCCTCTTTATTCTTTCAGGGGACAAACAACAACAAAACCCGTCTCTCACACAGACAATACACCCTGACAGACAAGTGACCCACAAACAATCCCTCCTCAAATGAAGGTAAAACTAGGGCTAGAAAACGTTCAACTAATTTAAGGCAATTAACCCTCTGAAATTTTTCGCTGATCAAAGGAACAGGAATTGCTGTTTTAAAATATGCAACTGGCATTTCACACCTCTACACTGGACGACGTATTGCGTGGAGGATGGAGAAGGAAGATCACCCCTACTCCCAAATTCGTAGTTATAAGGGCGGGTTATTAGAAGGGCGCCAGGAAGGTCTCTCTACAAAGATGGGGGGCCGGGGAACTCCCTATTTGCCCTATTTTGGTCCCAACACTGAACCAAGGAAATTGCGCCCAAGGTTGAAGCACACGCAATCCGTCCGTCATGCAGACAAATGCTCTTTCAGGGGTCCTAATTAAGTGTGGAGGCCTGACTTTCCTTCCGAATCCGCCCCAGGTGTTCCACCCCGAGCTTCCCCTCGGGCTTCCCCTCGCCACGCAGCCTCTGAAGAGAGGAGCATCTACATACAAAGAGGCTTAAACTGCCCAGAACCTCCGAATGACGAAGAATCACCGCCAGTCTCAACTCGTAAGCTGGGAGGCAAAACCCCAAAGCTTCCCTACCAAGGGAAAACCTTTGGCCTCAAAGGTCCTTCTGTCCAGCATAGCCGGGTCCAATAACCCTCCATCCCGCGTCCGCGCTTACCCAATACAAGCCGGGCTACGTCCGAGGGTAACAACATGATCAAAACCACAGCAGGAACCACAATAAGGAACAAGACTCAGGTTAAAGCAAACACAGCGACAGCTCCTGCGCCGCATCTCCTGGTTCCAGTGGCGGCACTGAACTCGCGGCAATTTGTCCCGCCTCTTTCGCTTCACGGCAGCCAATCGCTTCCGCCAGAGAAAGAAAGGCGCCGAAATGAAACCCGCCTCCGTTCGCCTTCGGAACTGTCGTCACTTCCGTCCTCAGACTTGGAGGGGCGGGGATGAGGAGGGCGGGGAGGACGACGAGGGCGAAGAGGGTGGGTGAGAGCCCCGGAGCCCGAGCCGAAGGGCGAGCCGCAAACGCTAAGTCGCTGGCCATTGGTGGACATGGCGCAGGCGCGTTTGCTCCGACGGGCCGAATGTTTTGGGGCAGTGTTTTGAGCGCGGAGACCGCGTGATACTGGATGCGCATGGGCATACCGTGCTCTGCGGCTGCTTGGCGTTGCTTCTTCCTCCAGAAGTGGGCGCTGGGCAGTCACGCAGGGTTTGAACCGGAAGCGGGAGTAGGTAGCTGCGTGGCTAACGGAGAAAAGAAGCCGTGGCCGCGGGAGGAGGCGAGAGGAGTCGGGATCTGCGCTGCAGCCACCGCCGCGGTTGATACTACTTTGACCTTCCGAGTGCAGTGGTAGGGGCGCGGAGGCAACGCAGCGGCTTCTGCGCTGGGAAATTCAGTCGTGTGCGACCCAGTCTGTCCTCTCCCCAGACCGCCAATCTCATGCACCCCTCCAGAGTGGCCCTTGACTCCTCCCTCTCCTCACTCCATCTTTCCTGGCCTCTCTCCGGGTGCTTAGCGGACTTGGCCAATAACCTCCTCCTTTTAAACGCCCTGAATTGAACCCTGCCTCCTGCGCATCCTCTTTTTGTGTCACCTTAGGGTTCAGATTTAACTACGCGACTTGACTAGTCATCTTTTGATCTCTCTCTCGTATTTAGTACTTTTAGTCAGCGAGCATTTATTGATATTTCAACTTCAGCCTCGCGGTTAAGAGCTTGGGCTCTGGAATCATACGGCTGGAATTGGAATTCTGTCAGTCGTGTGGCCGCTCTCTACTGTCTTGTGAAGATAAGTGAGATAATCTTGACCTGTGGTGAGCACTCGTGAGCGTTAGCTGCTGTATTTACCAGGTACAGATAAGACAACTACAGTGGATGATAATGTATGTGGTGATAGGGGAGTACTCTGATGGTAGAGGAGTGACTTTGGTTCTCTGCAAACTCAGCCTGAGACTATCAATTCAGTTTGTGGTGAGACCTCGCAGTGTTACCTTGGCAGATGGTAGAAGCCTTCCAGATGGAAGGAAAAATGCGTGTAAAGGCACAAAGTGTAGAAGGACCCTGAAGCTCCAGCGTGAGGCCTGGCATTGAATGAAATATATTTTGTGGGTTTTCAGCTGCTGAAGTCATAGGAATGGATGAGACCAAGAAAACAAAGCTGTTTTTGAGGTATGAGCGGAAGAAGAGATATCAGGAGACTTTCGAAACAGTCATAACGGAAGTTAATATGATCATTGCTAACATTTGCTGTGTTTCAGGCACTGTAAGCATGTATATGGGTCCTTAAAGGGACTCATAGAGGTAGGTACTAGTATTGTTTTTCCTTTTATCATTGAGAAACTGAGGTTTGAAGAGATTAGTGAACTTGCTCTAGATTATACAGTTTGTAAGTGGCTGAACCAGGATTTGAACTAATACAATCTGACTACAGAGGCCACACTCCTTAGCACTAGAAAAGAATGGCATGCCAAGGGCAGAGTTATTTCTAGGAAGATGGGATATAAGCGTCATTGTCAAGTTGTGCAAAGGGGTCAACTTGGTTGAGATCTAAAAAGGAACACTGAATTCGTCAATTCAGAGGCTCGTAGGAAGTAGGAAATCCTTATCTTTTCGTTTGAACCTTGAGTGGAACCTAGATATTCTGGATTAATGTATAAATGAAGTTCATCTTTATATGGTGACACTCATACTCTAGTTGACTACCTAATAGTTCCTCTGCCTTCTTTCAGTTCCGCCAACATACTGTGTTCTTTAACATTGTAGAACCCTTTGGCTATGCTAGTCTCCTTCCCTGAAGTGTTGGTCCTCTAGCCCTTTTTTTGATTGGCACCAGTTAGTTCAGATCTTGGCTTTATTATAAACTCCTCTGAGATATATGTTCCCTGACAGTTTATCTAAAATGATTCTCTCTACAGTTATTTTCTATTACTGTGTTTTTGTTTCCTCAGAGGCATACATCACAATTTGGAATTATGCATTGGTTTATCAATTTACTTGTTTATTGTCACCCTGCTGCCCAGATATGACTTCATGAGGGTAGGATTTGTATCTGTTTAGTTCATTATTTGTCTAGCTATAAGTAGTAAATATTGTTTGCATCTATCAGTGAATGAGCATCTTCTGTTTATGTAGATAATACTGAACTGTTTTGTTTTCTTCAAAGTAATCATTAAGCTGAAGGTAAGAAAAACAAGTTCAAGGAAGTCACACCATGGGGAAAAAAAAGTCAAGTTTAGGGCTGCCTCTTCCGGGAAGTGTCAAATCTTTAGTATATTTAGGAATAAAGGTGCCAAACCTTATGGTTCTTTGGATATTGCTAAGGTATTTTCATTGGTTAGATTACCAGTTTCATTTTCCTTATTGACTCAAGAGGGCTTTAAACTGAGATTGAAGAAGTAAGAAGATTCCTAGATAAAACCATAAGGAATGGAAAAACAAAAATGATAATACTTGTCCACAGGAAGTATATAATCAAATGAAAAGAACTCAAATAACAATCTGTAATCTATAGCAGAGTAAAGCGGAAGTTGTAATAGTGTTGGGGGATGGGGGAAGTCAGAAGAACCACCAGTGAATATAAAAGGAGAAGAGAATCAGAGCCATCTGCTAATAAAATGGGTAGTCAGCTCTTTTTGTTTTTTTTGTCTTGTTTTGTTTTGAGACAGTCTCGCTCTGTCGCCCATGCTGGAGTGCAATTGCGTGATCTCAGCTAACTGCACTTTCCGCCTCCTGGGTTCAAGTGAGTCTCCTACCTCAGTCTCCCCAGTAGCTAGGATTGCAGGCACATGCTACCACACCTGGTTAATTTTTGTATTTTTAGTAGAGACGGGGTTTCACGATGTTGGCCAGGCTGGCTGGTCTCGAACTCCTGACCTCGTGGAACGCCCACCTCGGCCTCCCAGAGTGCTGGGATTACAGGCATGAGCCACCACGCCTAGCCCCGGTAGTCAGCTCTTACTGAGAATATTCAAAGACAGGGCATTCATTTTGTAAGAGACATTCCTTCCTTCATAGGAAGATTGGACCTGGTCTTTTAGTTCCTCCCAATTTTGAGATTCTGTGAGATTGAATCGGGGCAGAGAAACATACTTAATCTTGAAAGATTAAGTAGAATTTAGATGGATGGATAGGAGAAGGACTTTCCCTACCTTTTTACTTCTTGAGATATAGTTATTTGTAGGTATAATATACATAAATATATGTATTTTTTCTCTGTTTACAGACATTCATAGTTTAATAAAAAACTTCTTTGTATTATATAAAGGTTTAGATCAGAACTAGTAAAACAGAATGCTGTTTCTTTTTTTTTCTTTTCTATTTTACTTTAGGTTCTGTGGGTAGATGTGCGGGTTTGTTACATGGGTAAATTGCATGTTGCTGAGGCTTGGTGTACGAATGATCCTGTCACTCAGGTAGTGAGCATAGTACCTGATAGGTAGCCCTTCAAGCCATACCTCCCTTTCTTTCCAACCCTCAAACAGTCCCCAGTCTCTGTTCTTCCCATCTTTGTGTCCATGTTGAAATGCTGTTCTTACTACATTTTTTTGAAGGACATCAAAAGAGAGTTTGATTATATCAGAAGCCCCCAAAAGAAGAGAGCTACTCAGTGGAATCAAGGCATAGTAAAATATAGTTGATCCTTGATATTTGCAAAGGATACCACCATAGCATAGAATTTGCTTCATTTCCTTTTAAAACAGAAATGTCATTTTACTCCTATTGTTATGTGTTAAATAAGAACCTTAATACCAGTTGAGATGGAAGTGGTAGACAAAGCTTACTAGCTCTGATAACCTCCTACTTATCAGCTCCAAAGCATGTTTTAAGCCTTTGGCTCAGCAAAATGACATGTCTCTCCATATAAGCAAGAGTGCTTTTTTTTTTTTCTTTGAGACGGAGTCTTGCTCTGTCACCAGGCTGGAGTGCAGTGGCGCGATCTCCGCTCACTGCAACCTCTGCCTCCTGGGTTCAAGCGATTCTCCTACCTCAGCCTCCTGAGTAGCTGGGACTACAAGAGCACACTACCACGCCTGGCCAAGAGTGCTTTTAAATAGTTCATTGTCAATGTTAAATCCTTGAGTGCTCATTTCCTTATTTACCTGGCTGTTTTCTATTCATCTTTCATGTCTCAATTTAAATGTCATGTTTCTTTGGTCTCAGAGTAATAAAAAGTAAATATACTTCCCCCATCTCCCGCCCCGCAGAGCCTTCCTCTGTTGCCCAGGCTGGAGTACAGTGGCTCGATCTTGGCTCACTGAAAGCTCTGCCTCCCAGATTCAAGCGATTCTCCTGCCTCAGCCTCCTGAGTAGCTGGGATTACAGGCGCGCGCCACCAAGCCCGGCTAATTTTTGTATTTTTAGTAGAGACAGGGTTTCACCATGTTGGTCAGGCTGGTCGAACTCCTGACCTTGTGATCCTCCCACCTTGGCCTCCCAAAGTGCTGGGATTACAGGCGTGAGCCACTGCGTCCAGTGTAAATTATACTTTTATTTTAATCCTGCTACTACTGCAAGCAAGGCAAACATTTTTGTGTTACAGCATTACTTGTATAGATTTTAAGAAAATCTCATTTTAAATACGGAAATGTTAAGAAAAATTATTGTGCCTTTGACCAGAATGTGCCTCTAATTGTACAGTTAAATCTAACTATAAATACTGCAGTATAAAATAATTATATACACATTTTTTCACACCTCTTTCTCTCTATATATGCATATATACATATACATATATATACCTATATGTATTTTTTTTACAGACAGTGATGTGTGTTCTGAAATTGTGAACCATGAGTCTAGTACTTAATGATCTGCTTATCTGCTGCCGTCAACTAGAACATGATAGAGCTACAGAACGAAAGGTAGTAAATTACTTAAATTCAATTTTTCCTTGAAATAAGTGTGATTAGTAACCCATTATTATTTCCTTTTTATTTTCAGAAAGAAGTTGAGAAATTTAAGCGCCTGATTCGAGATCCTGAAACAATTAAACATCTAGATCGGCATTCAGATTCCAAACAAGGAAAATATTTGAATTGGGATGCTGTTTTTAGGTATTCTATTCAAATTTATTTTACTGTCTTTATTTTTCTCTTTCATATTTATTTCTGTTGTGATATTACTTTTGTGTGTAAGTCTTAACATTTATCTTTGCTTCCTATATATCATTATGCCTTGCATATGAATTTGGCATTTAATATTTATCCAAAACATAATTTTTAAAGGTTGTTCATATAGAAACTTAAAAATTATAAATTATTTCTTCAATAAAATGTTTTAGACATATCTCACTCAAAATTGAGAGAGAATTTCTTTCATTTTAGTTAGTTCACAAGACTTCAGATTAGAGGAAAAAATTATAATAAATGTTAGGATATTATTTTCACACCTTTAAATATTACTCTGATTATAAGTAAATGCTGTGTGTTAAATTGTAATAAAACAAGTAAAAGGAAGATTGGAATACTTGTGTATGAATTTGGTTAAAAACAAAAAATACCTCGAACAATGAAAAAACACAACTGATTGCTGGACAGGAGTGGCAAACAGGGTTGATGCATTTTTACATTGAGACATCATTTTCAACCGTGAAATCCATTTATAACTAGAAACAGATTGTAAGGATTAGGAAAGATGAATAAAGTATTTTAAATACTGAGAGTATTAAATAAACTAGAAATAACATTTGTAGTCAAGAGGAAGTGTGTATTTAGTTGTCCTTCAGTGTTTATGACAGATTCTGTTTTATTTTTAGCTCCTGTTTGGTATTAGATTGACTGTTACAGATTTGAAAGCATATAAAATGAAACATGCATGCTGTTTTTCCTCTGATTTTCTAGTTTATTTTAAATACCACAAATATAATTACAACCTGAAGATGAATACTATTTTGTATAAGCTGATCTGGTAGGTCAAATATGCACCCAGCATTCCTGGCTAGTTATGAATATCTTCTAGGCAGGCTTAATTTATTGGCTGGCAACATTACCAACTGCCTAAGAAACAGGTAGATCCTGTACAGAATAACAGAAGGAGTTGAGAGAGGATTGAGAGGGTCCTTACTAGCATTGTAAGCTTTTAATGACAAATTTAGAAAACAGGCAGTAAAGCAATAGAAAGTCATAGAAGATTAAGAGCTTTGCAGACCAGATATTAAATTGGTCTTGTAGGAGTTAGGCCTTGAAAGAGAGATTTAATTGTTTTATTTGTTTTTTTCAGCTGATGTAGTAATCTAAGCAAGGTGGTTTAAAAGTTGCTCTTTGTGATGGCATGAACAGCTTTTGAAATTATTATAATTTAAGTATTCAACGAGTTTCTGAAATTGCATTTTGTTTTCTTGAAGATTTTTACAGAAATATATTCAGAAAGAAACAGAATGTCTGAGAATAGCAAAACCAAATGTATCAGCCTCAACACAAGCCTCCAGGCAGAAAAAGATGCAGGAAATCAGTAGTTTGGTCAAATACTTCATCAAATGTGCAAACAGAAGTAAGTGATGTTATAAATTATAAATAAATGGCTTAACAGATTACTGTCGCGTGAGTTTTTTTTTTTTTTCAGATCATTTTAAGGACTTAACTGTTGCATAAGTTTGTTCTAAATAGAATAAGATAAAAGTTGAGTGTAAGTACATATAATGATTTTTATTTTTATTAAAAGGTTTTTTTTTAGGGCTAGTCAAGTGAAGCAGTGGGAGTTTAGAAGGAACAAAGAAATCTGTAACTGGTTGTGATCAATTCGTTGTAAACACCACTGCACTCAGGCCAGCCTGATTTTTAATATTACAAGTTCAAATATTTGGGGAAATTTATGCAAGCATAGAATGACAGAAATCTGAGGATTGAAGGGATTTATTTATTTAAGAGATAGGGTGTCACTCTGTCACCCAGGCTGGAGTGCAATGGTGTGATGATAGCTCACTGCAGGCTGAAGCTTCTCTGTTCCTAAGTGATCCTCCTGTCTTGGCTTCCTAGTAGCTAGGACTACAGAAGTGCATCACCATGCCAGGCTGATTTTTTTTTTTTTTTTTAAGAGGTGTTATTTCACTGTTCTGCCCAGGCTGATCTTGAACTCCTGGCCTCAAGCAGTCCTCCCCCTGCTCAGCCTCCCTAGTTATTGGTATTACAGATGTGAGCCACCATGCCCAGTGAAGGAATTAAAAATTACTGTTTAAACTACCCAGTCTTGGATGCCCTCTCTACGTCCCTAGCCTTTAGGTAGAAGTGCAGTCTTCATGATTGAATATACTTTCAAGGCTTTCTTTTCCATCTTTGAATAGCATTAACAGTATTAAAAACTGGCCAGGCGCAGTGGCTCATTCCTGTAATCCCAGCACTTTGGGAGGCCAAGGCAGGCAGATCACCTGAGGTCAGGAGATCGAGACCAGCCTGACCAACATGGCAAAACCCCGTCTCTACTAAAAATACAAAAATTAATTGGGCATTGTGGCGCACGCTTGTAATTCCAGCTACTTGGGAGGCTGAGGCACTAGAATTGCTTGAACCCAGGAGGCAGAGGTTGTGGTGAGCTGAGATTACGCCACTACACTCCATCCTGGGCGACAGAGCGAGACTGTCAAAAAAAGAAAAGTATTAAAAACCTGTCTTTTGTTACTGCTTCTCCCTTCTGAGAGTATATCAAAAACTCCTATTTATGTTTTTAGTGTGACATCCTTAGAGATGTTTGAAAGTAGCCACAATATTTCCTAAGTCCTCATCTCTAAAGTTCATAATCTCACTTTCTTCAGCTCACGTGACCTAGGTTTTATGCTACTCTCCTCTGAATATTCTTCACTTTAATTGTCTGTCTTAAAGTGTGGGCCTCTACTTACAGGGAAGAGGCCAGAAAAACAAACAAAAAAGTGTGGGACTCATTTTTTTTAATACAGGCTCTTGCTCTGTAGCCCAGGCTGGAGTGCATGCAGTGGTGCAATCTTGGCTCACTGCAGCCTCCGCCTCCCAGGCTCAGGTGATCCTCCTGCCTCAGCCTCCCAAGTAGCTGGGACTATAGGCATGGGCCACCATGTCTGGCTAATTTTTGTATTTTTAATAGAGACAGGGTTTCACTGTGTTGGCCAGGCTAGTCTCAAACTCCTGACCTCAAGTGATTTTCCCGCCTTGGCCTCCTGAAATGCTGGGATTACAAGCGTGAGCCACTGCACCTGGCCAGGACTCAATCTTTTAGGTATATTCTGATTAGTACAGAGTGAAGCAATTCTTGCTTATCTTTCATTCTGTACTCTTACTGATTAATTCTAAGATCATGTGAGCTTCCTTGGCTGTCAGAACCAACACTTAACTGACATTTTACTTGCTATGATTTGAGGAAAAAAACAACCCCCAAAAATATTTTTTTCTCCTGATGAGCCAAATAGTTCCCATCTTTAACTTGTACAATTAATATTGTGAAGAGTTGATTTTTCGGAACCAAAATGCAGGATCCTGGCAAGCTTTTGTAAGGAAATGGGCTTTACACATACTGAAAAGCTAGAGGCAGAAGTGTGTGTTCAGGGACTCCTGGGCTCTTCACAGATAAGGATGTTGCTTTGTGATACCAACTCTTAATTTAAGAATCAGGAGTGTGAGGCGCGGTTGCTCACACCTGTAATCCCAGCACTTTGGGAAGCTGAGGCGGGCAGATCACCTGAGGTCAGGAGTTCGAGACCAGCCTGGCCAATATAGCGAAACCCCATCTCTACTAAAAGTACAAAAAATAGCTGGGTGTGGTGGCGGGTGCCTGTAATCCCAGCTTCTCGAGAAGCTGAGGCAGGAGAATTGCTTGAACCTGGAAGGTGGAGGTTGCAGTGAGCTGAGATTGTGCCATTGCACTCCAGCCTGGGCAACAAGAGTGAAACTCTGTCTCAAAAAAAAAAAAAAAAAAAAAAAGAATCAGGAAAGCCCCCAAATTGGTAAATATTTAGTAGAAGTATGCAGATTATTAGTGAATATTTCAGATTGGTGGTATGAGACTTGAGTCCAAAGAATAATGGTTTAGTCAATTTTCTACCTCCTCTGAGATGCGAGTTCGTGTGGATAGCTTCAACCCCTTGTCAGAGACTCCAGCAGAGACAAAGGAAAACTACACCAAAATATTCTGCACTCACTTTTGCTCTGTGTAGTAGCTTTGTATCCAGTAAAATATTTTATTTGCTAATAATGCTGGGATATAGTAGGTACTTACTGAAAGAGTGAATGAGAGAAAGATAACATGTCAATTTTGTAGCCCACCAGAAAAGTTTGCAATGTGTACAGTAGTTTTGCCTTGCAGTGAACAAACCTTTTAATTGCAACATTAACAATGGAGATTACGTTTGAAAATGCATCAGCCTGTTGGTTTATAAGAAATAGTTGGTGAAATTATCAATGCTGGTCATGTAAGTAGTTGAAAATTTGTTTTTTTATTTACGGCTTCCTTTTCTTTCAAATTTGACTTTGTTACTTAAACCTTTTTAATATTGGGGCAAAACCAGGGAGTTACTATTCCCTCACCCCACTTCAGTTGTTTTTGTTTGTTTGTTTGTTTGTTTTTTACGAAAAGATTGGAGGGTTGATGGAAATTTAACATATGTCTAAACTTTGCCATTCTTGCTTAGCATTGGTATCCAAGGTATGATGAAAGAAATAGAGATTAGTAAAAAAGAAGTAAAAGGCAGCTGAGAAGAAACAAGTAAGCAAATATTGTTGATTTCTCTCCTTTTTTTTTTTTTTTTTTTTTTTTTTTTTTGAGACAGAGTCTTGCTTTGTTGCCTAAGCTGGAGTGCAGTGGTGCAGTCTTGGCTCACTGCAGCCTCTTCTTCCTGGGCGCAAGCGATTCTCACGTGTCAGCCTCTAGAGTAGCTGGGACTATAGGCACACGCCGCCAGGCCCGGTTAATTTTTGTATTTTTAGTAGAGACGAGGGTTTTGCCATGTTGGCCAGGCTGGTCTCAAACTCCTGGCCTCAAGTGATCTGCCTGCCTCTGCCTTCCAATATGCTGGGATTATAGGTGTGAGCCACCACACTCACACACCCAGCCTACTGTTCATTTCTTTTCTTTTTTTTTTTTTGAGACAGAGTTTTGCTCTTGTTGCTCAGGCTAGAGTGCAATGGCGCCATCTTGGCTCACTGCAACCTCCGCCTCCCGGGCTCAAGCGATTCTCCCGCCTCAGCTTCCCAAGTAACTGGGATTACAGGCATGCCCCACCATGCCCAGCTAATTTTGTATTTTTAGTAGAGACGGGGTTTCACCACATTGGTCAGGCTTGTCTCGAACTCCTGACCTCAAGTGATCCACCTGCCTTGTCATCCCAAACTGCTGGGTTTATAGGCGTGAGCCACTGTGCCCACCCTGTTCATTTCTTTATGTTAGCATTTGTCTGCTTTTGTACAAAGCTTAAATAGAGTCTAGATAGTGCAAAACTCAGCTGCGAAAAATGTTAAGTTCCATAAGATTCCTGAAAGTCTCTGTAAGTAGGCTGGGCACAGTGGCTCATGCCTCTCTAATCCTAGTACTTTGTGAGGCCAAGGCAGGCAGATTGCTTGAGCACAGGATTTTGAGACCAGCCTGGGTAACATGGTGAGACCTCATCTCTACAAAAACACAAAAATTAGCCAGGTGTGGTGGTGACCACCTGTAGTCCCAGCTACTTAGGAGGCTTAGGGAGGAAGATTGCTTGAGCCCAGGGGGCAGTGGTTGCAGTGAGCCACGATCATGCTATTGCACTCCAGTCTGGGTGACAGAGTGAGATCCTGTGTCCAAAAAAAAAAAAAAAAAAAAAGTCTCTGCAGGCAACTTAGTTGTACTTTTAAGAAAGATTTGATCCCAGAAGTTTGAGACCAACCTGGGCAACATAGGGAGACCCCATCTTTAAAAAAACTAAAAAAATTAGCTGAGTGTAGTGGTGCTTGCCTGTAGTCCTAGCTACCTGGGAGGCTGACATGGGTAGATCCCTTAAGTCCAGGAGGTCAAGGCTGCAGTGAGTCATAATGGGGCCACTGCACTCCAGCTTGGGTGACAGAGCGAGATATTCTGTCTCAAAAACAAGCAAAACTATGAAAAAAAAGTCAACATTTCTTGAAATACTTCTCATATTTGGTAGAGGAGGGAGATATATTGGGATAAAGGACATAGGAAGATAGGATTTTATTATAATATTAATTTCTGTAGTTATTCAACACAAATTAATTTTTATTGAGCATTTGCTATTAGGGCAGTCACTGGGCTTTTACGTCAGAATATAGAGATTAATTCCTTTCCTTAAGGATCTAATCATACAATGGATGTTTTAGATTAGAAAAATGTTACAAGGACTATAAGAGAAATGCACAGGGTACTAGAAAAAAGGATCACATGGTTGTGCATTTCATAACTGGACAATGCCTAAAATTATGAAGTGAGCCATAAGTGAAGATGATTTTGCAGTTATATCAGTGTATATTTGTTTACCATAGCCTGTGAATATAACTAGTTTCATCATAGGAAAACCCTAATCCAGAATATATTCATATTTACATGAGTTGTGTTCTGCTCATAGTTATGGCAATAAATATATTCAATTTTAAGATTGTCAGTATGGAAAAATGGCATTTCTGCTGTGACGTAAATATAATTTACTGAAAATGATAATTAAATTATTTTTAAATGTAATTTTGTTACCTTCAAGAATATGTGTGTAGTCATGCCAAGTTTTCAGAATCTCTAGTAAGTAAATAACATGCTGTTAAAAATGACACAGGTACAGGGGTCAAGCACAGTGGCTCATACCTATAGTCTCAGCACTTTGGGAGGCCAAGACAGGAGAATCCCTTGAGCTCAGGAGTTCAAGACCAGCCTGGGGAACATTGTGAGAGATTCTGTCTCTATGAAAAATTTAAAAAATTAGCTGGGCATGGTGGCACAACATCTATAGTCCCAGTTGCTCAGGAGGCTAAGGTGGGAGGATCCCTTGAGCCTGAGAGGTTGAGGCTGCTGTTGGGTGTGATCATGCCACTGCACACCAGCCTGGGTGATAGAGCGAGACCCTGTCTTAAAAAAAAAAATTACAACCTGAGGTGTTTGTATGCCATAAATGCTATTATAGGACTTAGAACTAATTTTGCTTTCCAAGGTAAATATTCTCCTTGTAATCTTATGTTATTCTAATAAATTCATTCTTCATAAAGAGTGCCAAAAAACTTGGGATCATTTTTGGTCTAACACCAGAAATTGTGAATTATTAAGGTTATAATTGTTTAAGAATGATTGCTTTTCGAGATGAGCAGATCACTTGAGGTCAGGAGTTCAAGACCAGCCTGGTCAACATGGTGAAACCCTGTCTCTACTAAAAGTAGAAAAATTAGCAGGGTGTGGTGGTGCACGCCTCTAGTCTCAGCTACTTGGAGGCTGAGGTGGGAGAATTACTTGAACCCAGGAGGTGGAGGCTGCAGTGTGCTGAGTTTGTGCCACTGCACTCCAGCCTGGGTGACAGACCAAGATTCCATCTCAAAAAAAAAAAAAAAAGAATGATTGTTTTTGCTATATATTCCTATAAAAGAGGCGTTGGCAAACTTACTGTGTAAAGAGGCCAGATAGTAAATGTTCTTGACTTTATAGGCCATGTGGTCACCTCTGTCTTAATTACAAAAGCAGCCATAAACAATAAGTAAATGAATGGTTGTGACTATGTTCCAATAAAATGTTATTTGCAAAGAAAAAAAAAATGAATTTTGCTTGGGGCCATAATTTGCCAATTTCTTCTCTACAAAAGAAGTTTAGTTAATAGTAATTTCCCAAATGGAATTATTTAAATAGTTGCCATTCCAAGTGTCTTATTTTTGTTCAAATTTATGTTTTTCTTTATTTGTTTATTTTGAAATAGGAGCACCTAGGCTAAAATGTCAAGAACTCTTAAATTATATCATGGATACAGTGAAAGATTCATCTAATGGTGCTATTTACGGAGCTGATTGTAGCAACATACTACTCAAAGACATTCTTTCTGTGAGAAAATACTGGTGTGAAATATCTCAGCAACAGTGGTTAGGTATGTTTTGAAGGTTGTTGTTTGTGAATTTTTCCTCATGAAATGAAACTTCACCAAAGAAAGCACTCTGTCTGTATCTGTCTATATCCCCCAAGTGACCTGACAGTTTAACAGTACTTTAGTAAAATTATATGGTTATCGAACTGACCCTTAATTTTTATTTATTATGTAGCTTTTGAATAAAGTCATGAATAATATATCAGGTGCCTGATATCAGAGCCGGAATTACAGTTGAAAAATACCATCTCCATCGTCAAGGAGTTGACAGTGGCAGAAGAAAACCCAAGTAAACCAGAGTTCATAATGTGCTGTGATACAGACATATTTGGGTTCAGTAGGTATACAAAACAATGACACCTAAACTCAACCATGATTTAAGTAGAAAGGGAGAAAACCAAGAGAGGGAAGTACCATAAAAGTGAAAGCAGGCAGGGTGCAGTGGCTCACGCCTGTAATCCTAGCACTTTGGGAGGCCAAGGCCGGTGGATTGCTTGAGCTCAGGAGTTCAAGACCAGCCTGGGCAACATGGTGAAACTCTGTCTTTAAAAAAATAGCGGAGGTAATGGCTCTTGCTTGTAGTCCCAGTTACTTGGGAGGCTGAGGCAGGAGGATCACCTGAGCCCTGGAGGTTAAGGCTGCAGTGAGCTGTGATCACACTGCACTCCGGCCTCCATGACAGAGTGAGACCCTGTTTCCATTTAAAAAAAAAAAAAAAAGTGAAAGCAAGAGAGTTGAAAGTTCAAAGGGGCGTGGCCAACATTTTAAGTGTTGTAGAAAGGATAAGACACAAAAGTATCCATTGGATGAGGCAGTTAGCACGCTACTTCTAAGGTAATGGAAATCAAATATATTAGAATAGAATGCATTAGAAGACAATGTACAGAACCCAGTGATTCATTAGATGTGTAGAGTGTGTGCTAGGGAGGAATCTGGTGTTGTTTCCTGTTTATAGCTGGGAGGTACTGAGAGACCACAAAGGAAGGAAGTTATGGTCAGAGATTGAAATACTTCAGTTTGTTGGTTTCAAAGATGGAGCATTTCTGGGTTTGAGAATAAGTGAAAGTAGGATTTGACATTAACAAGATGATTTTAAGTCAGGTGTCAAAGTCTTCTAATACACGAACTCTAAAAGTTTAGAAGCTTTTTTTTTTCATGGAAAGTATTTAAGCTAAATTTTGCTAGCTAAATTAAAAGACATTTGTCCATATTCTTTATTGCCATTTTATTATTTCAAAATGAGATACATGTGAACCACAAAACTACTACCTAATCAGTACCCTCACTCCTGCATTACACTCTACTGTTCCCCTGAGAATAAATGCCTTCTCAGCTAATTTCTTAGGAGTCATTTGTAGCCTTTACGTTACTCTGAACACAAGATAGGCTGTGTCTGTAACAGGGCCCTCAACAAGCCTAGAGACAGCCTTTGGGAATAGGCTGGTGATATCTAGGTTACCTAACCAGATCTTTCCCCAGTATGGCTGGTCATATTTAGGTCATTTTACATTATCACTTACAACCATGGCTGTCACTGAAACAAAGGCAGTCTTTCCCCTAGTCTGCTTACTATATTCTGTCATCTAGTTTGTTCTCTGAAACCCCCTTTTTATTTTTAAACTAACTACTCTTACTTCTTTTTTTTTCTTTTTTCTTTTTATTTAAGCTAACCTTTGCCACTTCTTCCCGGATGTTACTTCTTATAATTAGCTTTTTTGTCAAAGTATTTTTTTACTTAGCTTCCTTTTAAAACTTGCTTAGATGAGGACTCTGTGGAAGAAGCGAAGTCTGTGCTCAAAATATATATTTGGTACAGGTGGTGACTGAAGCCATGACTATGGATGAGATTTGTATATAGAGTTTAGTGTGAGATGAGAAGAATGGCCTAAGATTGAGTCAGCATTTGCATATAAATTTTGGAATCAGCTTACTGATTTCTACAAAAGATCTTGCTGGGATTTTGATACTAATTGCATTGAATCTGTTGCACAATTTGAGAAGAATAGAAATCTTAACAATGTGGAGTTTTCCAATCCATGAACACTGTATATCTCTCCATTTACTTAGGTTTTTTTTTTTTTTTTTTTTTTTTTGCTTCTTTGTTTGTTTTTTTGAGACAGAGTCTCCCTCTGTTGCCCAGGCTGGAGTGCAGTGGCACGATCTCACCTCACTGCAACCTCCACCTCCTAGGTTCAAGCGATTCTCCTGCCTCAGCCTCCTGAGTAGCTGGGATTACAGGCATGTGCCACCACACCCAGCTAATTTTTGTATTTTTAGTAGAGACAGGGTTTCCTCATGTTGGCCAGGCTGGTCTCGAATTCCTGACCTCAGGTGATCCACCTGCCTCAGCCTCCCAAAGTGCTGGGTTTATAGACTTGAGCCACCGCGTCTGGCCACTTGTCTTTTTTGATTTCTTTCATTAGTGTTTTATAATTGTCAGCATATAGATTTTTTGTTGTAAATTGACAATTTTTTTTCTTTAATTTTATATATTAAAAAAAATAGAGACAGGATCTCACTGTGTTGCCTAGGCTGGTCTCAAACTCCTGGGCTCAAGTGATACCCTTCCCTTGACCTCCCAAAGTGTTGGGATTATAGGCATGAGCCAACATGCCCAGCTGCAAATTGACATTTATTTATAATTGTATAAACATAAAGATTTTGTATATGTTTTGTTAGATTTATACTGCAGTAGTTTGTAATTGCATTGTTTTTAACATTTTGATTTTCAAATTGTTCAATGCACAAAAATTATACAGAAGTCCAGTTAATTTTTGTATAGTGACCTTGTATTTTGGGACCTTGCTAAAATCACTTACTAAATCTAGTAGCTTTCTTTGAATGTTCTTTTGGATTTTCTTTGTAGACAAACATGTCTTCTGTAAGCAGTAATTTTTTTTTCTTTCTTTCTGAGCCATGTGGCTTTTATTTTATTTTTGTGCTTTATTACATTGGCTAGGACCTCCAGTGTGATTTATTGTGGTAAAATATATATAACATTTATAATTTTAACTTTTTTAAGTGTACAGTTGTGTAGTATTAAGTGCATTCATATTGTTGTGTAATCATCTCCACCATCCATCTCCAGAACTTTTTTTTCTATACTCAGTAAACAATGATTTACCATTTTCCCCTCCCCTATCCCCTGGCAGCTACCATTCTACTTTCTCTCTCTATGAATTTGGCTATTTGGGGTACTTCATTTTTATGGATTGAATGTTGTGTCCCACCAATTATGTTGAAATCTAACTCCCAAAGGGATGGTATTTGGAGGTGTGGGATTTAGGAGGTAATTAGGTCCTGTGGGTCCAGCCTTCATGGATGGGATTAATGCCCTTATGAAAAGAGGCCAGAGAGCTAACTTGCTGTCTTTCTGCCATGTGAAGATACAGTTCAAAGTCAGTAGTCTGCAGCCCCAAAGAGGGCCCTCACCAGAAACCCACAATGCTGGCACCTGAGCTGCTTTCAGCCTCCAAAATTGAGAGAAATAAATTTCTGTGGTTTCTAAGCCACCTAACCTATAATACTTTGTTATAGCAGCCTGAAGTAGAGGACTCCTATAAGTATTTGTCCTTTTGCAACCTGCTTATTACACTTACCAAAATGTCTTTGAGGCTCATCAGTGTTACAGCTTTTGTCAGAATTTCACCCTTATTAAAAACTGAACACTATTCTGTTCTGTGTATATGCCACATTTTGTTAATTCATTCGTCCATTGGTGGACATGGGTTGTTTCTACCTTCTGATTATTGTGAATAATGCTGCCGTGAACATGAGTATACATCTCCTGAGTTTCCTGCTTTCAGTCTTTTGATTATATACCCAGAAGTAGAATTGCTAGATCATGTGGTAATTCTATATTTAATTTTTTAAGGAACCAACATCCTGTTTTACACAGGAGCTACGCCATTTTACATTCTCACCAGCAGCCCACAAGGGTTCCAGTTTCTCTACATTCTCACTAGCACAACTAATAGAAAATGAGGATTCCTCTTCTAGGCCTTGAAAGTGCTGCATAATTTTGCTTCTTCCTACCTGTCTAACTTAACTAAAGCGCTTCTAATTTCTGTGCTCAAGCTACACTGTCAATTATTCAGTTTCTCAAACCTAGTGGTTTCCATTTTTTTAAATTGACTTTTATCTTTTAGAGGAATTTTAAATTTACAGCAAAACGGAGTGGAAAGTCCACTGGACACACACAGCATGCCCTACTGTCAACATCTTGCACCAGTGGTACATTTGTTACCATCAGTAAACCTATGCTGGGACACATCATTATTATCCAGAGTCCAAGGTTCACTTTTGGTGGTACATATGCTATGGATTTTGACAAGTGTTTTGACATTTTTAAAGATCTTTTTCTGTATCTAATGAGATGGTCATATTTTTTTTTCCTCTGGGAGAGAATGGTAACAATTTTTCACTATTACAGAATCATACAGAATACTTTCACTGTCAGAAAAATCCTCTGTGCTTCACCTTTTCATCTCTTCCTTCTTGTAAACTGTGGGAACCATGGATCTTTTTGCTATCTCCATGGTTTAGCCTTTTCCAGCATGTCATATACAGTTGTGCGTCTCTTAACAATGTGGATATGTTCTGAGAAATACATCATTAGGCAATTTCTTTGTTGCGTGAACGTCATAGGGTGTATTTATACAAACTTAGATGGTATAACACTACGCACCTAAGCTATATGGTATTACTGCTCCTGCACTACAAACCTGTGCAGCATGTTACTATACTGAATACTGTAGGCAGCTGTAACACAATGGCAAGTATTTGTGTCTCTAAACATATATAAACATAGAGGAGGTACAGTAAAAGTATAGTATAAAGGATAAAACATGGTACACCTGTCTAGGGCACTTAACCATGAATGGAGCTTGCAGGACTGGAAGTTGCTCTGGGTATGTAAATGTGTGGTAATGTAAAGGCCTGGGATACTATATACTACTGTAGAATTTGTAAACTCTTATTCTGTACCAAATTTAAAAATTTATGTTTTTCTTTCTTCAATACTAAAGTAACATTAGCTACTATAACTTTTTTACTTTATAAACTTTAAAAATGTTTAAACTTTTTGACTCTTTTGTAATAACACTTAGCTTAAAATACAAATGCATTGTACAGCTGTACAAAAATATTTTTTCCTTATATACTTATAGATGTTTTTTCTTTTGTTCTATAAGCTTTTTAAATGAAATTATTATTACTCTATTTTTTCCTTTAAACTTTTTTGTTGAAAACAAAGACACAAACACACACATGAGCTTAGGCCTACATAAGGTCAGGATCATCAGTATCACTGTCTTCTGTCCCTGCATCTTGTCCCCCTGGGAGATCTTCAGGGACATGCACAGAGCTTTCATCTCCTATGATAATGGTGCTTTATTCTGAAATACCTCCTAAAGGACCTACCTGAGACTGTTTTACTGTTTTGTTTTGTTTTGTTTTTTAAGAAGAAGAAGGAGGAATATAGTATAAAATGGTGATAAAAAGCATAGTAGAGTAAGTACATAAACCTAACATTTTACCAGTAACTTAGTCATTTATTATCATTATCAAGGTTTATGTACTATACATGATTGTATGTATTATACTTTTATATGACTGGCAGTGCAGTGGGTTTTTTTTACACAAGTATCACCACAAATGCTTGTGAGTAATTTCTTGTGCTATGACATCACTAAGTATTTAAATAGGAATTTTTCAGTTCTGATACAATCTTACGGTACCACCTTTTCATATTGCCATTTGTCATTGAATAGAATGTTGTTATGTAGTATGTGACTGTGGTTGGAATCATAACAGTATGTATCATTTTCAGATTGCCTTCTTTCATTTAGTAATATGCATTTAAGGTTCCTCCATGTCTTTCTCTTTCTTTCTTTCTGTCTTTCTTTCTTTCTTTTTTTTTTTTTTTTTTTTTTTTTGAGATAGGGCCTCACTCTGTCACCCAGGCTGGAGTGTGGTGGTGAGATCATGGCTCTGCAGCTTCGACCTCCTGAGCTCAAATGATCCTCCCACCCCCTTCCAAGTAGCTGTGACCACAGACACAAGCCATCACACCCTGCTAATTTTTCATTTTTAGTAGAGATAAGGTCTTATTATGTTGCTTATGCCAGCAGCTTGAACTCAGCCTCCCAAAGTGTTGGGATTACAGGTGTGAACCACCGTTCTCAGCTCCTCGATGTCTTTTTATGGCTTGATAGGCTGAAGTGGGAGGATCACTTGAGCCCAGGAGTCCAAATCTAGCCTGGGCAGTGTAGTGAGACTTCCGTCTCTTAAAAAAACAAAAAACAAAAAAAAGAGGACCAAAGTTACTGATATTAGAAATGAAATGAGATCTAATTGCAGATCCTATAGATATTCAAAGGATAATAAGGAAACACTATGAACATCTATTAATTTAAATGGGCCAGTTCCTCAAAACCATACATTATCAAAAGTCATCCAATATAAAATAGATAATTTGACTAGTCCCATAACTATTAGGAGAATAAATTGAATCCATAATTTAAAGCCTTTCATAAGACAAATTGGGAACAAGATAAGGATGTGCACTCTCACCACTCCTTTTCAACATTATGTTGGAGGTTCTAGCCAGGGTAGTTAGACAAGAAAAATAAAAGGCATACAGATTGGAAAGGAAGAAATAACACTCCCCTTTGTAGATGACATGATTGTCTATATATAAAGTCCCAATATACACAAGTATAACATTGTGAATAATGTTATTTGGGGACTGGGCACAGTGGCTTACACCTGTCATCTCAGCACTTTCGGAGGCTGAGGCAGGTGGATCATCTAAGGTCAGATGATGGCTTCCTCTAAAACAGGACAGATTTACTTGTAGCCTATTGATTATAAAAAGCTTGAGGTTTCTCTGTTATAACTCAGTCCACTGTTTTCGCAGTGTCAAGTGTCCCATTTCACCTTGCCTTTGGTACTGGGGAACTGATGCAAAAATGAAGGTAGTCTGGCTACCATCATTACTGGGAGAAATAAACTGTCCTTTTTCTCTTATCAGGAATCTCAGGTTTCCTGCTAGCACCCAGGAAACTGTCATGCTAATTTGTTAGGTTACAAGTAGATAAAATCTCAGCCAGGCACAGTGGCTTATGCGTGTAATCCTAGCACTTTGGGAGGCCAAAGCAGGTGGATCACTTGAGCCCAGGAGTTCAAGACCAGCCTGGGCAACATGGTGAAATCCTGTCTCTACCTAAAATACCAATCAGTTGGGTGTGGTGGTGTGGGCCTCTAGACCCAGCTACTTGGGAGGCTAAGGTGGGAGGATTACCTGAGTCTGCTGAGATTGAAGCTACAGTGAGCCGTGATCTTACCACCACACACCAGTTTGGGTGACAGAGTAAGACTCTACCTCAAATAAATAAGAAACAAACCAAGCAGAGTAAAATTTCATACCCTTCATAGGTCTCAACACATTTTTTGCATATTATTAATCAAACAGTATTATTATTTTAAAAAACTGTGGAGGCCAGGCCCAGTGGCTCATGCCCATAATCCCAGCACTTTGGGAGACCAAGGTGGGTAGATCACTTGAGGCCAGGAGTTTGAGACCAGCCTGACCAACACGGTGAAACCCCATCTTTACTAACAGTACAAAAATTAGCCAGGCATGGTTTTGTGCGCCTGTGGTCCCAGCTACTTGGGAGACTGAGGCATGAGAATCACTTGAACCCAGGAGGCAGAGGTTGCAGTGAGCCAAGATTGCACCATTGCACTCCAGCCTGGACGACAGAGCAAGATTCTGTCTCAAAAAACAGAAGAAAGAAAAACCCATGGAGCATGTACTGTAAGTGCTTTCTTAGGCCTAGATGATGGAACAGAGGCTTAGAGAAGTTAAGTAATGTTTCTGCGACCTGGCTCTTAAACTGGTGCTCTCACAGCAGTTTATAGTTATTCCTGTCTTAAAGGCATTTTATATAAGATAAAATTAAATACTGATGGAGTACTTTTACTATGTTAAAAATAAATTAGTGCAGTTTTAAAATCCTTTTTCTGTATGGGATTATGGAATATTTAAGTTAAATTGTAACATTTAATACATTTTGATTTTTAAAAAATCATGACTAATAATTTTTTTTTTTTTTTAAGAATTGTTCTCTGTGTACTTCAGGCTCTATCTGAAACCTTCACAAGATGTTCATAGAGTTTTAGTGGCTAGAATAATTCATGCTGTTACCAAAGGATGCTGTTCTCAGACTGACGGATTAAATTCCAAATTTTTGGACTTTTTTTCCAAGGCTATTCAGTGTGCGAGGTAATCTAATCTCTTTTTCTTTTGTTTTGTATTGAAATACTTTTGATCTTGCAAGACCATGTTTTAGACTCAGTAACTAAAAATTCTACCTTAAAATAAAACATTGATCCATCATAACAGAACTAGTGGATTCCTAAAGAGACAACCAAGTCCAACACTTTCTGAATATCCAATATGCAGAACACTACGTGAAGTTTTCAAGGGGGAGATGTGTCTTGCTGATGTTCTGTTGACCAGGAAAGTTAAATATCCTCTAAGTCATTGCATTTCCCCCATTTTGAGGATGGTTTTAATATACCGAGAATAAAATAAAATAGGAAAATATTTTGGAAGTATTACTGTTGTACATTAGTATGGCAGTACTCAATGTATAATGTGAAACATTTTATAAATGGTGTTACAAATCAGTTTTGTTTATTTTTATACAATGTTTTAGCAGGAGGGAGAGCTAACAGAAGTGGTCTCTTAACACCAAATAAGAACTAATTTTTTGTCAGTGTGAAGTAATGCTGTGATTTTTTTTTTTAATGAATAGTTTTGAAATTAAGACTACTGTTTGAAAATTAGGGTTTTGTTTTTTTTTCTTTCAGCATACCACTTCATAACTGTTCAGTTTGTACAGTTTGTTCCCCCTGTTATACCCAGTTGAGCTTGTTTGTTTCTTCACAGACAAGAAAAGAGCTCTTCAGGTCTAAATCATATCTTAGCAGCTCTTACTATCTTCCTCAAGACTTTGGCTGTCAACTTTCGAATTCGAGTGTGTGAATTAGGAGATGAAATTCTTCCCACTTTGCTTTATATTTGGACTCAACATAGGCTTAATGATTCTTTAAAAGAAGTCATTATTGAATTATTTCAACTGCAAATTTATATCCATCATCCGAAAGGAGCCAAAACCCAAGAAAAAGGTATAAAGGAAATGTTTACTGTTTTGAATTTGCTTCTTCATTCAAACATAGAAGTCTAAGTATAAAATTAGTGTTCTTTAGGAGGATATGACTTTCCTCTGGATTTCTCTGGTTGATAATGTTACTTAGCCATGAGAATGTTTTTCATAGAGTTTTTAGAATTTGAAGCAGTGGTAGCAGATTCTGTTATGCCTTTCTATTTGTTCAATACAATATTAGGTATTATGGGAAATACAAAAAAATCTGAGACATTGTTCCCTCTAGGAGCTACTTATGCATCAATACTTAGATACTAAGGGGTCTGACACAGACTGTAGGGCAAAAGAATTTAAAGAAAGCAGGATCTTGTTTATCCACCTATTACTTTTATTAGAAGATAAAATACGTAAATTGGACTAAAACCAGTCAGATTATTCAGCTCCTGAGGAAGATACATACATATTACTTTAATAGGAATTTGAGGCAGAAACAGGGAAATTGCTGCCTTAAGCCTCATAGTTACTCTAGGGCCCTGTTTGCCCTAGAGTATCACTTGTTAAGGAGAATCACTTATTCTCCTTAATTCCTTCATATATGTCCTATACCAAGAGAGTATTGCCCAGAAGGTATAGTGCTTTTCTGTAGTTAGGAACTTTATTGGCTGGAACTGGAGTTTCCTCTTGCTCTGTCTATGATTGCCTTTGGGCTTATACTAGCCTTTGGACCAACTCATCATGGCTAGTATAGTGACTTTCTTAAAACAGCATACCACATTGAGTAATAGCAGCTATAATGGAGGAAATGTCTTGTAGCCACTTTTTTTTTTTTTTTTTTTTTGAGACAGAGTCTCACTCTGTCGCCCAGGCTGAAGTGCAGTGACGCAATGTTAGCTCACTGCAACCTCCGCCTCCTGGGTTCAAGCAATTCTCCTGCCTCAGCGTTCTGATTAGCTGGGATTACAGATGCCTGGCACCATGCCCAGCTAATTTTTGTATTTTAATAGGGATGGGGTCTCACCATGTTGGCCAAGCTGGCCTTGAGCTCCTGACCTCAAACCATCCACCCGCCTCAGCCTCCCAAAGTGCTGAGATTACAGGCATGAGCCACTGTGCCCGGCCGTGTAGCCACTTTTTATCAAAAGTAGCTGTGTATTTGTTTTATGGGCTCTTCTAATAAGTATATCTAGATAATATGTAGCCCATGAAACTACTATAAGTGAAAGAATAGTGACTTTTAATAGTTTTTCATCTTTTACTCACCTCTTATCTCCAGGATGAAGATCAGGCTTATTAGGAGGTGATATGATATGTTTAGGGATTTAGTTAACTGCATATTTAGGGTGAATTTAAAATTGGCAGGATGATGAGGATGCCAGAAAAGCTAATGTAGTTTCAGACTACTTTAATAGATTTTGTAGTACCTTGTTTGTGAGAAATAATAGACCTTTTGTTTCGCATACTAGTCAAGCCACAGTTGGATTACCATGTTCACCAGATTTTGTATAGTCAGCATTTTAAGTTGACTGGAATGTGTCTTGGGAAAGATGACTGAAATGGTGAGAAGTCTGAATAATATGTCATTTTTACACTAGTTGAAGGAACTCGTAATATTTTTCTCTTAGGCCAGAAAAAGGCATACGGAGAACTTGGTCCTCATATGAAAGAGGGAACATATTAATTGTATTTGCCTCAGGTGGGAGAATAAATTGGAGAAAGACAGATTTTAGGTCAGAATATGGAAGAAATTTATAAGAAACACAGTTATCTAAATGTAAAATGGACAGTTATGAAATAGAGTTTGTCAAGGATCTTGTCAGAAGAGGCATTAGTACTGAATGGAAGGTTGGACCAGGTGTCTTCTAACGCTGATGCAGCTTGACAGCTGAATAATTTTGTGGGAGCTAGCAGTGTAAACAGAGTACATACATAAAAATTACATTTTAATTTTTTGGATTACAGGTGCTTATGAATCAACAAAATGGAGAAGTATTTTATACAACTTATATGATCTGCTAGTGAATGAGATAAGTCATATAGGAAGTAGAGGAAAGTATTCTTCAGGATTTCGTAATATTGCCGTCAAAGAAAATTTGATTGAATTGATGGCAGATATCTGTCACCAGGTACAGTAAGTAGGTCATGTCACATTTAGAAATTTCCTGTTAATTTTTTTTTTAAACTGGGCATTTTGGGCTTTTAAAACCTGTGTTCTCACAAAAAGCCTATAAAATGACTCTGTACATGCAACTATTCCTTTCAAACTATCAGAAATATTTGGAATTACCCTTTTAACTTAAAAGTTAATGCTTTTGCAGATATTTGAAAACTAACAATGAACTTTTTCATTCTTAAATGATTGTCTCTAGGAAATAAGGTGACCCTAACCCTAATGATTCGATTCGACTCGACTGTATTCTACAAAGTGCTGGGATTACAGGCATGAGCCACCAAGCCCAGTCTGTTTCTTTTTTGCAATTAAGCTAGAGTTCACATAGCATAAAATTCACGATTTTGAGTTGTACATTTCAGTGGTTTTTAGTATTTTTACTATGTTGTACAACCATCATCACTAATTCTGGAAACTTTTTTTATTTTATTTTTATTTTTTTGAGATGGAGTCTTGCTCTGTCACCCAGGCTGGAGTGCAGTGGCACAATCTCCGCTCACTGCAACCTCCCTTTCCCGGGTTCAAGTGATTCTCCTGCATCAGCCTCCCGAGTAGCTGGGACTACAGGTGCCTGCCACCACGCCCAGCTAATTTTTGTTTTTTTAGTAGAGACTGGGTTTCACCATATTGGCCAGCCTAGTCTCAGACTCCTGACCTTGTGATCCTCCTGCATCGGCCTCCCATAGTGCTGGGATTACAGGCGTGAGCCACCGTGCCCAGCCCAGAACTTTTTTATCATCCCAAAAGAAACCTCATCCCTTCTTAGCATTCAGTCCCAATTCCCTGCATCTCCTAGATCCTGGCAACCAGCCACTAATCAATCTTGGTTTTTGTGGATTTTCCTGTTTGGGACAGTTCGTTTAAATGGAATCATACAATATGTGAGTCTTTTGTGTCTGGTTTCTTTCACTAAGCATAATGTTTTCAAAGTTCATGTTTTACCATGAATCAGTACTTCATTCATTTTTATTGCTGAATAATATTCAGTTGTATGGATATACTCCATTTTACTTACCCATCCATCACCTGATGGCCTAATGTTTCTTAAATAAAACTCTGTTCCCCAGAGATTTGGTTAACATCCTGAGTAGTAATTTCACTCTGTCAAATATTTTCTTAATATTTCTTAAAATTTCTTAAATTTAAAAACTTGAATCCCTTTGAAAGTAAAGGTTTTTGCTTTACTTTTAGATTTCTTAGTGCTTTTAGTAAATGTTCCCAGGAAATAAAACTAATGCATTACTTGGTAATACCTGCTTTCTAAAGTGCCATTACTGTCATGCAAAATGTTTGTTTCTTACTATGTTATCAGATTTATATGTTTCTGTAATGTATTACTCTTGCTTTATGAGTTCCCTGTATCTTCATTTCAGAAAGAATTTTTTTTCCCCCTAATGAAATATTAGAAGACAATAGCAATGAAAAAAGTGTATTTGGCCAGGCGTGGTGGCTCACACCTGTAATCCCAGCACTTTGGGAGGCCAAGGCGGGCAGATCACCTGAGGTTGGGAGTTCAAGACCAGTCTGACCAACATGGAGAAACTCTGTCCCTACTAAAAATACAAAGTTAGCTGGGCATGGTGGTGCAAGCCTGTAATCCCAGCTACTCGGGAGGCTGAGGCAGGAGAATCACTTGAACCTGGGAGGTAGAGGTTGTGGTGATACGAGATCGTGCTGTTCCACTCCAACCTGGGCAACAACAGCGAAACTCTGGCTCAAAAAAAAAAAAAAGAAAAAAGTGGATTTATTTTTATTTTACAGGTTTTTAATGAAGATACCAGATCCTTGGAGATTTCTCAATCTTACACTACTACACAAAGAGAATCTAGTGATTACAGTGTCCCTTGCAA
Organism: Homo sapiens; assembly: GCF_000001405.40. Classification (NCBI taxonomy): domain Eukaryota; kingdom Metazoa; phylum Chordata; class Mammalia; order Primates; family Hominidae; genus Homo; species Homo sapiens. The sequence goes on from NC_000011.10 coordinate 108,249,022, forward strand.
AAGGAAGAAAATAGAACTAGGCTGGGAAGTAATAAAAGATCACCTTCAGAAGTCACAGAATGATTTTGATCTTGTGCCTTGGTAAAGTGTTACCATTTTCTCATTCAGTGTCATTTTAATCTCTTGTATGTTATTTTTCAGAAAACTTTCAGTGGAATCCTTTCATCTCAACCAGAACTAAGTCATTTGTCTACCCCCAAACCTATTACTAGCAAAGGGATATGTGATTGCCATGACAAATGAGATCAATCATTAATGGCTCATTTGCTTGGGCCAAGTGCAGGGCCACCTATTTTAATCATATTGTCATAGCAAGTTAAGAAGGAGGACTGGCTCTCTGATAGGCAATTAGAAGTGTGCACCTCATGGAATTCACTGAATTGTACGCTTCAACAATAGATTTTAGCATACGTAGCACCTTCTAATAGAATTAGGAAGAAGTTAAAGATAATCTTAAGAAATCACAGAATAATTTTGACCTTATGCCATGATAAAAAGTTATTTTCTCTTATTTTCTATCTTCTTTATTCTCATGTAACGTTCACATATATTTAAGTAATCAAATAAATTATGGATACTTTGGAATCCCAAAATATTAGATCTGGTAAGGATGTTTAGAATTTATCTAGTTCAGCCTGTTTGCTTTACTGAAAAGAAACTGAAACCCAGAGAGGTTAAGCAACTTCTGTAGGGACAGAGATTTATAGATTATAGTCAAACTCGTGATCAGTGCTCTTTTGATTACCATGTTGATGGAATGTTTAAGTGTAAGTGACTTCTGGGGAAAAGCATATTGATTTAGATACCTATTGCTTAAGCTCATTTTTATATAGTTAAGAGTAGCTATTTAAGATTCTTAATTTGTCCTTTTAGTCAAGAGTAATTTATTGAACACCTGTTATGGGCTAAGCGTTAGATATACAGAGATGAATAACATAAGACTCCTATTCTTAAGTATCACACATTCTAGAGAATACACAGCAAATGTTTATTGGATTAACTGAATTAATGTAAAGGAAAAACAGTTTTTTGGGTTTCTTTGTTTTCCTGTTTTAGAGGAATCGTTTGGTGACTAAAGAGCAAGGATGTACAAGATAACTCAGAAATAAAATATTGCTAAATATATATATATATATATATATATTTTCTGAGACGGAGGCTCACTCTGTCACCCAGGCTGGAGTGCAGTGGCACAATCTTGGCTCACTACAACCTCCACCTCCCAGGTTCAAGCAGTTATCCTGCCTCAGCGTCCTGAGTAGCTGGGATTCCAGGCATGTGCCACCATGCCCGGCTAATTTTTGTATTTTTAGTAGAGACTGGGTTTCACCATGTTGGCCAGGCTGGTCTCAAACTCCTAACCTCGTGATCTGCCTGCCTTGGCCTCCCAAAGTGCTGGGAAACCACCTGGCCCAAATATTGCTAATTTAATATCCTTTAAAATATTTGTTTAAGGGAAACTTAACAGCTTACCCAGCTAGCCAAACGTTGACAATTTTCCTGCCAATTTAGGAAGTAGGACATAGTAACTATTAACAGCCAGTTTATTTTTAGAGTACTATGGAAATGATGGTGATTCTCTAATTAGGATATTGTAAGAGTACCATGTCTATATATTTCCTTTTAGTTTGTTAATGTGATGGAATAGTTTTCAAATTATCCTTTTTTTTTTTTTTTAGGCTACAGATTGCAACCCAATTAATATCAAAGTATCCTGCAAGTTTACCTAACTGTGAGCTGTCTCCATTACTGATGATACTATCTCAGCTTCTACCCCAACAGCGACATGGGGAACGTACACCATATGTGTTACGATGCCTTACGGAAGTTGCATTGTGTCAAGACAAGAGGTCAAACCTAGAAAGCTCACAAAAGTCAGATTTATTAAAACTCTGGAATAAAATTTGGTGTATTACCTTTCGTGGTATAAGTTCTGAGCAAATACAAGCTGAAAACTTTGGCTTACTTGGAGCCATAATTCAGGGTAGTTTAGTTGAGGTTGACAGAGAATTCTGGAAGTTATTTACTGGGTCAGCCTGCAGACCTTCATGGTAAGTTCAGCATGCATTATGTCTGACTTACAGATAAACACACACAGACACACACACACTCACATATCCCTGATCATTTTCATAGTTTGTTACTTCAGTTAAAGATGTCAAATTCTATTTCAGATGCTTTTCTTGTTTGGCCGAGAAGACTTAATAAATGCATAAGTGAATTTAGTTTCAAATGTTGACAAATTATTAAAGACTAATGTTAAGGAATTTCTTTTTTAGTTAAAAAATTTTTAATTGATCTATAATAGAGTTATATATTATCAAGGTACATGTGATAATTTGACACACTCATATGACACACTCATGTAGGGTGATGGGATATCAGCACCCTACGTATCTTTTCTTCATGCTAGGAACGTTTGAATTATTCTCTTCTTGCTGTTTGGAAATGTACAATAGATTAATGTTAACCGTAGTCACCCTACTGATGTATCGGACACCAGGTCTTATTCCTTCTAATTGTATACGTGTATCCAAAAGACTTTCTTTAAAGAATTATGAAGAGTTTAAATTTCTTTTATGTGCAATTTATCATTATTTATTAAATAGCCATGTTTAAATTGTAGTACTATGCACTGTTAATAAACGAGCTATTTTTTAATCAAGAATCTTCCCAAATGTAATCAGACTTTTAACAGTTTTTATGTTCATTTAGTCACCTTAACTAAATGTATGTGCCAGGCACTGTCCTGATAGATAAAGTCTTTGCCCCTCCAATAGCTTGCTTTTCACAATTGTCCTTTGTTTTGTTATAGTCCTGCAGTATGCTGTTTGACTTTGGCACTGACCACCAGTATAGTTCCAGGAACGGTAAAAATGGGAATAGAGCAAAATATGTGTGAAGTAAATAGAAGCTTTTCTTTAAAGGAATCAATAATGAAATGGCTCTTATTCTATCAGTTAGAGGGTGACTTAGAAAATAGCACAGAAGTGCCTCCAATTCTTCACAGGTAATTTAAGTTCATTAGCATGCTGCTGTTTTTTTTGTTTGTTTTATCAGGCTCTCTCCACTTATTTGATGCCAGATGGCTTTATTTTATAATAATAATGCAGAATTTCCCAGATCTAACCTTAATTATTAAATATTATGTTTGTTTTTACAGTTATCTGTGTCTTTATGCCTGATTGCTTCTGAAATAAAGGGTTGTCTCACTGTGAGAATATGGGGGATGTGCATGAAAAATGCACATATAATTCTTTGAGCATTTATGTGTTCCTTTCTGATTTTTTAAATAAGTAAGTCCATATATTTGAGTCATGTAGATCCTGGATCCTTTCTCATAATGGGAGTGTCTTTTGGGTAAAAGATGTTTTATGAATGAGGTGAGGAAACGAGGAAGACAAAACAGGATGTAAGCACTAGGATAAAGGAATGGAGTCCCTCGTCCACTTAACCTTTCCACAGATTGGTAATTGGAACCAAATGATTGGAGAGCAGACCTCCGAATGGATCCAATTAAAGTACTTTTGCTTTAATTTTACAACCTTTTATTTATTTCAGAAATAATGTTAAACATGCTGTTTCTAAACAGTATTGGAAATGATAATAACAATGGTTGTCCTCCTTAAATTGTCCTTTTAGATATTAAGAAATTTAGTATAGATGAAAGCAATTTTAATCTAGGATCCAAATTTTAGAAGTCAAGATTTATAGCTAAACATGGATGTTAAAGTTTAAAGTATTCTTTACATGGCTTTTGGTCTTCTAAGTGAAGCTTTTTGTTTTTCTTTGTAGTAATTTTCCTCATCTTGTACTGGAGAAAATTCTTGTGAGTCTCACTATGAAAAACTGTAAAGCTGCAATGAATTTTTTCCAAAGCGTGCCAGAATGGTATGTTATCTAATAATGCTCTTTATCATTTTAAGCTATAGCTTTAATTACAAAGATGATAATTTTAGCTGGGTAGTAGCTGCATCTTAATAATTGTAAACTAAATTGGTCCAAAAAAATTGCAACTGTTAGCCAGGGAAGAGGTTGTTTTAATTCAGTGATTGTAATCTATGTTATATAACATTAGACCAAGCTTACTATTTTTTAATGCTGTATAGTATAATATGTGACAAGTGCCAATGAGAAAAACTGAATGGTTATGCTGGGAAATTAAGAATATAAAATTTATATGAAATAAGTTCTTAAAGATGTTACCCATTTCTGTACATCAACTATGATTTGACTATTTGTTAGCTTTAAAAACTAATGATAATTGAAAACAAAAATAAATCTAAACCTGAGTTTAGTTGATTGACTCAAGAGACTTAGATTGTATTGCTGTGACTGAAAATGACTCACTGGCACAAACATTCCTTATCTCCCTCAAGAGGGCAAAAGGATGCGTAACTGCTTACCTATACCAGATGTTAAAGGTTTTTAAACCTATGCTCTTTACTTCCTCTGCTTGGTGAAAAAAGGGATATGTTTGCAGACAATGTTATGCTTAACATTTATATCTGGTGTTTTTAAAAATACTTTCTGAATTTGCCTTTGAGATTGTAACTTGTATTTTTTCTCTATCTATTAGTAAAATTTGCTACTGAATAATGACATTTGATATAAGTAGGTCTCAAAGTCCGAAGAAGAGAAGCATTTAAAAGAATAATCTATTAATTATATAAGTAGTCTTTGAATGATGTAGATACTAGGTTAATGTTTTCCTTTGTAATATATTGCTAATACATATAAGGCAAAGCATTAGGTACTTGGTTTATATATTAAAGATCTTACTTTCTTGAAGTGAACACCACCAAAAAGATAAAGAAGAACTTTCATTCTCAGAAGTAGAAGAACTATTTCTTCAGACAACTTTTGACAAGATGGACTTTTTAACCATTGTGAGAGAATGTGGTATAGAAAAGCACCAGTCCAGTATTGGCTTCTCTGTCCACCAGAATCTCAAGGAATCACTGGATCGCTGTCTTCTGGGATTATCAGAACAGCTTCTGAATAATTACTCATCTGAGGTGAGATTTTTTAAAAAAAGAACTAAGCTTATATATGATTCAACTTTGGTAAACTGTTAGGAAGGAGAAATAGGGGCAGGAAAAACAGCAAGGATGGTGGGAGGCTTCATTTTAAAAGCAAAGTGGCAGTAAAGGGCTCTAAATTGGACAACTTAGCATAATTAAAGGAAAACTCAAGAATAATAATTTGAGTACTTCCTTTGTACTGGAAATTATGGTAGACATAAAATAATTCCTTGTGTAGGTTAGTGAGGAATAGTAAGAGTTTGAGCATAGGGATTATATGATGAAAAAAACCTCTAAATACAAAGGAGGGAAATGTTACAGTAATAGAAAAGAACACGATGTAAACAAATCTAATAGATTTTGGTGGCATCTGAAGAGAGATGAGTGATTAGTAAAGACAATAAATGGACTAGCAATTATTTTAGACGTCATCTAGGAATTTCCTTTAGCCTCAAAATCACGAGTTCTCTTCATGTATACTATTCTCTTGCCAAAACTTGCATTTTTTAAAATGTGAAATGTCTTTCTACCTATTTCTGTGTATTCAGATCATCCACATGTGAAAATCCTTGCTAACGCCTTTCTTAGAATCTCAGAAAGTAAGATTCTAAGAATTTTTATTTTTGAGACAGAGCCTCGCTCTGTTGCCCAGGCTGGAGTGCAGTGACGTGATCTTGGCTCACTGCAACCTCCGTCTTCCAGTTCAAGCAATTCTCCTGCCTCAGTCTTCCGAGTAGCTGGGACAGGCGAGTGCTACCACGCCCAGGTAATTTTTGTATTTTTAGTAGAGATGGGGTTTTGCTATGTTGGCCAGGCTGGTCTTAAACTCCTGACCTCAGGTGATGGACCCGCCTCAGCATCCCGAAGTGCTAGGATTACAGGCGTGAGCCACGGTGCCTGGCCTAATAATTTTTCATCTTTTAATTTCATAGTACTTAATGTTTCACATTTTTAATGGCAGTTAGCATCTTCTTTATACCATGGATATTTACATATGGTTTGTATACAAATATCTCTTGAACTATAACTCTTAAACATAAACTCTTAAAAGGGCATACATGTTTTTATTTATCTTTATATCCTCCACAGTGCCTTATTACATGGTAAATGATTAAATAAAGCCTACAATCCATTCAAAGGAGTGAATTCGGTAGCCAGGGAAAATGACTTGAGGACATGAGAGGGGACAGTGTGCCTCTTTATGATCTTTACTGACATTCTTCTGCACCACAATTGTAACCACTTTCATTACAAAGTAATTTAGTTTTGTATATTTTCTCCTAAAATGCCGTTTCCTACCCTGTAGGAACAAAAAAAATCTGAACATTTTGTGTGTAACTTAGCAGATTCTTAGTAATTCTATAAAATTGTCTAAACTTTTTTTTTTTTTTTTTTTTTGAGATGGAGTCTTGCTCTGTTGCCCAGGCTGGAGTGCAGTGGCCTGATCTCGGCTCATTGCAACCTTCGCCTCCTGGGTTCAAGCAATTTTCCTGCCTCAGCCTCCTGAGTAGCTGAGATTATAGGTGCCTGCCATCACGCCCTGCTAATATTTGTATTTTTAGTAGAGACAAGGTTTCACCACGTTAGCCAGGTTGGTCTCGAACTCCTGACCTCAGGTGATCTGCCCGCCTCGGCCTCCCAAAGTGTTGGGGTTGTAGGCGTGAGCCACCATGCCCGGCCAGCTGTCAAAACTTGTATCTACTAGAAAAAATGTTTTATGCTATTCTGTGGAGTCTAAAAAGCTGAATAAGTCAAGGTTCCTATTCTTCAGAAGCTTAAAATGTCATTTTAATGTCTCTTTATATGACTGTAATTTCTACTTGTGTTCTAAGACTTACAGTCATTTATTTGCCTGTGAAGCTTTTTTTCTTTTCTTTCATCCCTACCTCAAATATTTAAGGGCCTATGTGTACAGTACACCCTCCACCCTAAGATGATATATCCTGCTTGGCCATCAGGAGATACTTAGGCTATTTTTCTTGAGAATCCTGGTTATAATTCTACAGTGATCTCCTAGTTGTTTTTAGAGCTATCCAGGATATGCCACCTTTAACTCAGTTAACTGAACTTTTGTTTTTTAATATGTATGTAGAATTTGTTCTTACAAAAGATAGAGTATACTAAATTATTTATGAAATATATATATTTTTATTTGTGGTTTACTTTAAGATTACAAATTCAGAAACTCTTGTCCGGTGTTCACGTCTTTTGGTGGGTGTCCTTGGCTGCTACTGTTACATGGGTGTAATAGCTGAAGAGGAAGCATATAAGTCAGAATTATTCCAGAAAGCCAAGGTAGGAGAATTTATACTAATAAAGTTTCGGATAAATTTGAATGAAATGTATTCCTGTGAAAATTATTACATTTGTTTGGAAGACATTAAATTTTATGCAGGTTAACCCTTTCTCTTTTATTTATGTAATGTGAGAAGAAATTATACTATGTATTTTTTAAATTGTTTTAATTGTTTAATTTTTAATTATTATTATACTTTAAGTTCTGGGGTACATGATGTAGAGCATGCAGGTTTGTTACATAGATATACAGTGCCATGGTGGTTTGCTGCACCCATCAACTCGTCATCTGCATTAGGTACTTCTCCTAATGTTATCCCTCCCCTAGCCCCCGACCCCCTGTCAGGCCCTGGTGTATAATGTTCCCCTCCCTGTGTCCATGTGTTCTCATTGTTCAGCTGCCACTTATGAGTGAGAACATGCAGTGTTTGTTTTTCTGTTCTTGTGTTAGTTTGCTGGGAATGATGGTTTCCAGCTTCATCCATGTCCCTGCAAAGGACATGAACTCATCCTTTTTTATGGCTGCATAGTATATCATGGTGTATATGTGCCACATTATCTTTATCCGGTCTATCATTGATGGGCATTTGGGTTGCTTCCAAGTTTTTGCTGTTGTGAACAGTGCTGCAATAAACATACGTGTGCATGTGTCTTTATAGTAAAATGATTTATAATCCTTTGTGTATATACCCAGTAATGGGATTGCTGGGTCAAATGGTATTTCTAGTTCTAGATCCTTGAGGAATTGCCACACTGTCTTCCACAATGATTGAACTAATTTACACTCCCACCAACAGTGTAAAAGCATTCCTGTTTCTCCACATCCTGTCCAGCATCTGTTGTTTCCTGACTTTTTAATGATAGGCTGTAAGCATGAAACTCTTTCTTATCTCTTGGTAGTACTCTGTCACTGGTATGATTTGCAAGAACAGAGTATAAGATTTGCCATTTTAAAAAATTGTTAATGAGTTTTGCTTATACTGTATGACTACGTGGAACTTCTAAAAACATTTCATTTTTTCTCTTAAGTGCACTTTATTTTTTATTTTATAGTATGTCCAAGATCAAAGTACACTGTAAAAAGCAATACTAAACTATAATTTTAACTGGAATTTGCATTTTTCCTTCTATTCACAATAGTCTCTAATGCAATGTGCAGGAGAAAGTATCACTCTGTTTAAAAATAAGACAAATGAGGAATTCAGAATTGGTTCCTTGAGAAATATGATGCAGCTATGTACACGTTGCTTGAGCAACTGTACCAAGGTAAGATTTTCTTCTTCTTGTTTTGTTTTTTGAGATAGGATCTTTCTCTGTCACCCAGGCTGGAGTGCAGTGGGATTGTCACAACTCATTGTAGCCTTGACCTCCTGGTTTCCAGCAATTCTCCTGCCTCAGCCTCCCAAGTAATTGGGACTACAGGCATGTACCACCTAGCTAAAATTTTCTTTTTACTTGAAAGTGTAGCCTATGCAGGGAATTGATCACTGGTTGGTGTTACTGTTTTGGTGTCCACTCGTAAGTTTATTTTTTACTTTTATTTTTCTTTTTTTTGAGACAGTCTCTCACTCTTTCACCCAGAGTGAGTGATCACATCACTGCGATCCAGCAGCCTCGACCTCCTGGGCTCACAGCAGCCTCGACCTCCTGGGCTCAAGTGATTCTCCCACCTCAGCCTCCTTAGTAGCTGGGACTACAAGTGTACACCACCATGCCTGGCTGATTTTTGTATTTTTGTAATTTTTTGTATTGATGGGGTTTTACACATTGCCCAGGCTAGTCTCAAACCCTGGGCTCAAGTGATGCTTACATCTCAAAGTGCTGTGATTACAGGTGTCAGCTACCATATCTGTTCACATTCATAAGTTATACAAATTGATTTAAAATTCAGTTGAATGGTACATAAAGGTAATATCCAGACAAATAAGCAATAGGAATCTGAGTTTCTCATGAAACTAATTTTATAATTTCAGGAATTTTTCTGAGATTGCCTTATGACTTTTATATACAACCATATAGATGACTCTTTTATTCCTGGGACACTTTCATTCATTTAATAAAAATTTTTTGACCCAAACTATGTGGTATGCGTAGCGGGGCTAGTGAGCAACACAACAATAACTCCAGCACATAGTTTACTTTCTTTTGCTCAGATCACCTTACATAACATTTGGTAGAAAGAGTGCTACTGTGTTTAATCTTTGTTTTTATCTGCAGCAGCCTGTGGGATAGCCAAGCCAGGCCCCAGAGTATTGATAATAATTGGAAATATATTTCAAACCTAGTATTAGGTACATGGCCATATAGCAATATTATCAACATATTTCTTGGTTTTGTAATGTGTTTTTCCTCCTTTTTGGTGTAAGTGGGGAAGGAGAAAAGTAGAATAAACTCTAACCTATAATTATAGCTCACTTATCTTTAGGGTCAATAGCTGTTACTTTAATGTTGTTAAAGCACAATGAAAGATGTACAGTATAGTTATTATAACTCTAAGAAAAGATGTGTTTTTGAAGCAGCATATATATTGGCCCTAATAGTAAACTATTTATCTACATTCCATTCAAGATAGAGAAAACACTGTCTGCCAAGAATAATTGTTTTTATTTCTTTGTTGCTTGGTTCTTTGTTTGTCTTAATTGCAGAAGAGTCCAAATAAGATTGCATCTGGCTTTTTCCTGCGATTGTTAACATCAAAGCTAATGAATGACATTGCAGATATTTGTAAAAGTTTAGTAAGTATGCTTCCTGTTTTGCTATCATATTTTGATTCTAATAGGCATAATTTTTTTGTTGAAATATCTTTGTAAATAAGGATGCATCTCACAACATATAGCTCTTAACATTTTTACAAATGTGGAAATTAAGGCCAGGTGCGGTGGCTCATGCCTGTAACCCCAGCACTTTGGGAGGCCGAGGTGGGTGGATCACAAGGTCAGGAGATTGAGACCATCCTGGCTAACACGGTGAAACCCCGTCTCTACTAAAAATACTAAAAATTAGCCAGGCGTGGTGACATGTGCCTGTAGTCCCAGCTACTCGGGAGGCTGAGGCAGAATTGCTTGAACCTGGGAGGTGGAGGTTGCAGTGAGCGAAGATCGTGCCACTGCACTCCAGCCTAGGCGACAGAGCGAGACTCCATCTCAAAAATAAAAAAATTTAAAAAATTAAATAAAATGTGGAAATTAAATAATTTGTCTTGTGGGGAAATATACCTGATTGCTTCTTAATATCAATACCTAGCATAGTAGTGCCTGCCTTTAGTTTCTCAATAAATAATACATTTAAAAATTGGGAACGAATCATCCAGGCTCACAGCTATATCTGCGCAACATTGTACCAAAATTTAAAATAATTATTTGTTCTTTAAAAGTGACCAAAAATCTTGCCAGGCAAGCAACATATTCTTATTGTAGTATTTATTTTTCTTCCATACAAATGGGCTTATGCCACATACATTCTTTTTTCTGGAACACTGCCGGGCATACAAAGTAGTTATTGAAATATCTATTGAGTGAAAACATATTCTGTAACTTATTTCCATTTTATGACACATCTTAATCATTTTCCATGTCACTGTACTTATTTTATAAGCTATCTGCTGTTATACTTTATTTATTTAGCAGTGCATGGTATTCTATTGTGTGGTGATAGTGAATAGTATATATGTATATGAAAGCTTATCTGCTCTTTTTTTTTTTTTTTTTTTTTTGAGACAAAGTCTTGCTCTGTTGCCCGGGCTGGAGTTCAGTGGCACAATCTCGGCTCACTGCAGCCCCCACCTCCTAGGTTCAAGAGATTCTCCTGCCTCAGCCTCCCAAGAAGCTGGGATTACAGATGTGTGCCACCACAACCGGCTAATTTTTGTATTTTTAGTAGAGACCAGGTTTCACCATGTTGGCCAGGCTGGTCTAGAATTCCTGACCTCAAATGATCTGTCCACCTTGGCCTCCCAAAGTGCTTGGATTACAGGTGTGAGCCACCACACTGAGCCAAAAAGCCCATCTGCTCTTAATTAACATTTTAAGTGGTTTCTAGTTTTTTGGGTTACAAAGACTTCTGTGGTACAGATTATTGTACTTTTGTCTATTTGTATTTGTGTGTATGATGGATGTAGGATAATTTCTAGCAGTAGACTTGCTTGTTCAAAAGGAATGTGAATTTTACTTTTTGATGGATATTGTCATTGTCCTCCAAAATAGTCATACCAATTTAGGCATTTTCCTACACCCTCTTTGGGTAACACTTTAGGTGTTACAAAACTTCTTAATATAAGAAATAATTTTGAGGGAGGAGCCAAGATGGCCGAATAGGAACAGCTCCGGTCTACAGCTCCCAGCGTGAACGACGCAGAAGACGGGTGATTTCTGCATTTCCATCTGAGGTACCGGGTTCATCTCACTAGGGAGTGCCAGACAGTGGGCGCAGGTCAGTGGGTGTGCGCACCGTGCGCGAGCCGAAGCAGGGCGAGGCATTGCCTCACTCAGGAAGTGCAAGGGGTCAGGGAGTTCCCTTTCTGAGTCAAAGAAAGGGGGGACGGACGGCACCTGGAAAATCGGGTCACTCCCCGAATACTGCTCTTTTGCGACGGGCTTAAAAAACGGCGCACCACGAGATTATATCCCGCACCTGGCTCGGAGGGTCCTACGCCCACGGAGTCTCGCTGATTGCTAGCACAGCAGTCTGAGATCAAACTGCAAGGCGGCAGCGAGGCTGGGGGAGGGATGCCTGCCATTGCCCAGGCTTGATTAGGTAAACAAAGCAGCCGGGAAGCTCGAACTAGGTGGAGCCCACCACAGCTCAAGGAGGCCTGCCTGCCTCTGTAGGCTCCACCTCTGGGGGCAGGGCACAAACAAAAAGACAGCAGTAACCTCTGCAGACTTAGATGTCCCTGTCTGACAGCTTTGAAGAGAGCAGTGGTTCTCCCAGCACACAGCTGGAGATCTGAGAACGGGCAGACTGCCTCCTCAAGTGGGTCCCTGACCCTGACCCCCGAACAGCCTAACTGGGAGGCACCCCCCAGCAGGGGCACACTGACACCTCACATGGCAGGGTACTCCAACAGGCCTGCAGCTGAGGGTTTTGTCTGTTAGAAGGAAAACTAACAAACAGAAAGGACATCCACACCAAAAACCCATCTGTACATCACCATCATCAAAGACCAAAAGTAGATAAAACCACAAAGATGGGGAAAAAACAGAACAGAAAAACTGGAAACTCTAAAAAGCAGAGCGCCTCTCCTCCACCAAAGGAACGCAGTTCCTCACCAGCAACGGAACAAAGCTGGATGGAGAATGACTTTGACGAGCTGAGAGAAGAAGGCTTCAGACGATCAAATTACTCTGAGCTACGGGAGGACATTCAAACCAAGGGCAAAGAAGTTGAAAACTTTGAAAAAAATTTAGAAGAATGTATAACTAGAATAACCAATACAGAGAAGTGCTTAAAGGAGCCGATGGAGCTGAAAACCAACGCTAGAGAACTACGTGAAGAATGCAGAAGCCTCAGGAGCCGATGCGATCAACTGGAAGAAAGGGTATCAGCGATGGAAGATGAAATGAATGAAATGAAGCGAGAAGGGAAGTTTAGAGAAAAAAGAATAAAAAGAAATGAGCAAAGCCTCCAAGAAATATGGGACTATGGGAAAAGACCAAATCTACGTCTGATTGGTGCACCTGAAAGTAACGGGGAGAATGGAACCAAGTTGGAAAACACTCTGCAGGATATTATCCAGGAGAACTTCCGCAATCTAGCAAGGCAGGCCAACATTCAGATTCAGGAAATACAGAGAATGCCACAAAGATACTCCTCGAGAAGAGCAACTCCAAGACACATAATTGTCAGATTCACCAAAGTTGAAATGAAGGAAAACATGTTAAGGGCAGCCAGAGAGAAAGGTCGGGTTACCCTGAGAGGGAAGCACATCAGACTAACAGCGGATCTCTCCGCAGAAACTCTACAAGCCAGAAGAGAGTGGGGGCCAATATTCAACATTCTTAAAGAAAAGAATTTTCAACCCAGAATTTCATGTCCATCCAAACTAAGCTTCATAAGTGAAGGAGAAATAAAATACTTTACAGACAAGCAAATGCTGAGAGATTTTGTCACCACCAGGCCTGCCTTACAAGAGCTCCTGAAGGAAGCATTAAACATGGAAAGGAACAACCGGTACCAGCCGCTGCAAAATCATGCCAAAATGTAAAGACCATTGAGACTAGGAAGAAACTGCATCAACTAATGAGCAAAATAACCAGCTAACATCATAATGACAGGATCAAATTCACACATAACAATGTTAACTTTAAATGTAAATGGACTAAATGCTCCAATTAAAAGACACAGACTGGCAAATTGGATAAAGAGTCAAGACCCATCAGTGTGCTGTATTCAGGAAACCCATCTCACGTGCAGAGACACACATAGGCTCAAAATAAAAGGATGGAGGAAGATCTACCAAGCAAATGGAAAACAAAAAAAGGCAGGGGTTGCAATCCTAGTCTCTGATAAAACAGACTTTAAACCAACAAAGATCAAAAGAGACAAAGAAGGCCATTACATAATGGTAAAGGGATCAATTCAACAAGAAGAGCTAACTATCCTAAATATATATGCACCCACTACAGGAGCACCCAGATTCATAAAGCAAGTCCTGAGTGACCTACAAACAGACTTAGACTCCCACACATTAATAATGGGAGACTTTTAACACCCCACTGTCAACATTAGACAGATCAACGAGACAGAAAGTCAACAAGTATACCCAGGAATTGAACTCAGCTCTGCACCAAGCAGACCTAATAGACATCTACAGAACTCTCCACCCCAAATCAACAGAATATACATTTTTTTCAGCACCACACCACACCTATTCCAAAATTGACCACATACTGGGAAGTAAAGCTCTCCTCAGCAAATGTAAAAGAACAGAAATTATAACAAACTATCTCTCAGACCACAGTGCAATCAAACTAGAACTCAGGATTAAGAATCTCACTCAAAACCACTCAACTACATGGAAACTGAACAACCTGCTCCTGAATGACTACTGGGTACATAACGAAATGAAGGCAGAAATAAAGATGTTCTTTGAAACCACCGAGAACAAAGACACAACATACCAGAATCTCTGGGACGCATTCAAAGCAGTGTGTAGAGGGAAATTTATAGCACTAAATGCCCACAAGAGAAAGCAGGAAAGATCCAAAATTGACACCCTAACATCACAATTAAAAGAACTAGAAAAGCAAGAGCAAACACATTCAAAAGCTAGCAGAAGGCAAGAAATAACTAAGAGCAGAACTGAAGGAAATAGAGACACAAAAAACCCTTCAAAAAATTAATGAATCCAGGAGCTGGTTTTTTGAAAGGATCAACAAAATTGATAGACCGCTAGCAAGACTAATAAAGAAAAAAAGAGAGAAGAATCAAATAGACGCAATAAAAAATGATAAAGGGGATATCACCACCGATCCCACAGCAATACAAACTACCATCAGAGAATACTACAAACACCTCTACGCAAATAAACTAGAAAATCTAGAAGAAATGGATAAATTCCTGGACACATACACTCTCCCAAGACTAAACCAGGAAGAAGTTGAATCTCTGAATAGACCAATAACAGGATCAGAAATTGTGGCAATAATCAATAGCTTACCAACAAAAAAGAGTCCAGGACCAGATGGATTCACAGCCGAATTCTACCAGAGGTACAAGGAGGAACTGGTACCATTCCTTCTGAAACTATTCCAATCAATAGAAAAAGAGGGAATCCTCCCTAACTCATTTTATGAGGCCAGCATCATACTGATACCAAAGCCAGGCAGAGACACAACCAAAAAAGAGAATGTTAGACCAATATCCTTGATGAACATTGATGCAAAAATCCTCAATAAAATACTGGCAAACTGAATCCAGCAGCACATCAAAAAGCCTATCCACCATGATCAAGTGGGCTTCATCCCTGGGATGCCAGGCTGGTTCAATGTACACAAATCAATAAATGTAATCCAGCATGTAAACAGAACCAAAGACAAAAAACACATGATTATCTCAATAGATGCAGAAAAGGCCTTGGACAAAATTCAACAACCCTTCATGCCAAAAACTCTGAATAAATTAGGTATTGATGGGACGTATCTCAAAATAATAAGAGCTATCTATGACAGTCCCACAGCCAATATCATACTGAATGGGCAAAAACTGGAAGCATTCCCTTTGAAAACTGGCACAAGACAGGGATGCCCTCTCTCACCACTCCTATTCAACATAGTGTTGGAAGTTCTGGCCAGGGCAATCAGGCAGGAGAAGGAAATAAAGGGTATTCAATTAGGAAAAGAGGAAGTCAAATTGTCCCTGTTTGCAGACGACATGATTGTATATCTAGAAAACCCCACTGTCTCAGCCCAAAATCTCCTTAAGCTGATAAGCAACTTCAGCAAAGTCTCAGGATACAAAATCAATGTACAAAAATCACAAGCATTCTTATACACCAACAACAGACAAACAGAGAGCCAAATCATGAGTGAACTCCCATTCACAATTGCTTCAAAGAGAATAAAATACCTAGGAATCCAACTTACAAGGGATGTGAAGGACCTCTTCAAGGAGAACTACAAACCACTGCTCAAGGAAATAAAAGAGGATACAAACAAATGGAAGAACATTCCATGCTCATGGGTAGGAAGAATCAATATTGTGAAAATGGCCATACTGCCCAAGGTAATTTACAGATTCAATGGCATCCCCATCAAGCTACCAATGACTTTCTTCACAGAATTGGAAAAAACTACTTTAAAGTTCATATGGAACCAAAAAAGAGCCCGCATCGGCAAGTCAATCCTAAGCCAAAAGAACAAAGCTGGAGGCATCACACTACCTGACTTCAAACTATACTACAAGGCTGCAGTAACCAAAACAGCATGGTACTGGTACCAAAACAGAGATATAGATCAATGGAACAGAACAGAGCCCTCAGAAATAACGCTGCATATCTACAACTATCTGCTCTTTGACAAACCTGAGAAAAACAAGCAATGGGGAAAGGATTCCCTATTTAATAAATGGTGCTGGGAAAACTGGCTAGCCATATGTAGAAAGCTGAAACTGGATCCCTTCCTTACACCTGATAGAAAAATCAATTCAAGATGGATTAAAGACTTAAACATTAGACCTAAAACCATAAAAACCCTAGAAGAAAACCTAGGCATTACCATTCAGGACATAGGCATGGGCAAGGACTTCATGTCTAAAACACCAAAAGCAATGGCAACAAAAGACAGAATTGACAAATGGGATCTAATTAAACTAAAGAGCTTCTGCACAGCAAAAGAAACTACCATCAGAGTGAACAGGCAACCTACAAAATGGGAGAAAATTTTCGCAACCTACTCATCTGACAAAGGGCTAATATCCAGAATCTACAATGAACTCAAACAAATTTACAAGAAAAAAACAAACAACCCCATCAAAAAGTGGGCGAAGGACATGAACAGACACTTCTCAAAAGAAGACATTTATGCAGCCAAAAAACACATGAAAAAATGCTCATCATCACTGGCCATCAGAGAAATGCAAATCAAAACCACAATGAGATACCATCTCACACCAGTTAGAATGGCAGTCATTAAAAAGTCAGGAAACAACAGGTGCTGGAGAGGATGTGGAGAAATAGGAATCCTTTTACACTGTTGGTGGGACTGTAAACTAGTTCAACCATTGTGGAAGTCAGTGTGGTGATTCCTCAGGGATCTAGAACTGGAAATACCATTTGACCCAGCCATCCCATTACTGGGTATATACCCAAAGGACTATAAATCATGCCGCTATAAAGACACATGCACACGTATGTTTATTGTGGCATTATTCACAATAGCAAAGACTTGGAACCAACCCAAATGTCCAACAATGATAGACTGGATTAAGAAACTGTGGCACATATACACCATGGAATACTATGCAGCCATAAAAAATGATGAGTTCATGTCCTTTGTTAGGGACATGGATGAAATTGGAAATCATCATTCTCAGTAAACTGTCGCAAGAAGAAAAAACCAAACACCGCATGTTCTCACTCATAGGTGGGAATTGAACAATGAGATCACATGGACACAGGAAGGGGAATATCACACTCTGTGGACTGTTGTGGGGTGGGGGGAGGGGGGAGGGATAGCATTGGGAGATATACCTAATGCTAGATGACGAGTTAGTGGGTGCAGCACACCAGCATGGCACATGTATACATATGTAACTAACCTGCACAATGTGCACATGTACCCTAAAACTTAAAGTGTAATAAAAAAAATAATAATTTTTAAAGTTTGCATATTATTTTGTTATGTAGACATATTACAGGTTATATATCCATTTTACTATTGTTGGACATTTAGTAGAAAAAGTACTGTAGTTTTCATACTTACACATGAACCTTGAATTGTTTGATTAGGTAAATTTTTTTTTTTTTTTTTTTTTTGAGACAGAGTCTCGCTTCGTCAAACCCAGGCTGGAGTGCAGTGGCATGATCTCAGCTCACTGCAATCTCTGCCTCCTGAGTTCAAGTGATTCTCCTGCCTCAGCTTCCTGAGTAGCTGGGATTACAGGTGCCCACCACCACACCCAGCTAATTTTTGTATTTTAAATAGAGACAAGGTTTCACCATGTTGGCCAGGCTGGTTTCGAACTCCCGACCTCAGGTGATCCACCTGGCTCTGCCTCCCAAATTGCTGAGATTACAGATGTGAGCCACTGTGCCCAGCCTGATTAGGTAAATTTTGACTACAGCATGCTCCTGCAAGAAGCCATCTTGAACATCTTTGTTTCTCTTCCTTGAAGGCATCCTTCATCAAAAAGCCATTTGACCGTGGAGAAGTAGAATCAATGGAAGATGATACTAATGGAAATCTAATGGAGGTGGAGGATCAGTCATCCATGAATCTATTTAACGATTACCCTGATAGTAGTGTTAGTGATGCAAACGAACCTGGAGAGAGCCAAAGTACCATAGGTAAATACATATTTACTACTTGGGATTTCTTTTACTTCTTTATATTGATTTGGCAGTATAAGAGGCCTCATTGATATCAATTTTGTGCTTATTTCATTTTCTCTTAGTATAGCCTTTTAGGATTGTTCCTTTCTTATATACTTTATTTTTTTTTTATTTTTACTTGAATTTATTAGTTTCATATTTTATTCTTCATAGAAGGAACTTAAGATAACTATTAAAGAAATAAAACCAGGCCAGGCATGGTGGCTCACGCTTGTAATCTCAGCACTTTGGGAGGCCAAGGCGGGCTGATCATGAGGTCAGGAGATCAAGACCATCCTGGCTAACGTGGTGAAACCCCATCTCTACTAAAAACACAAAAATTAGATGGGCGTGGTGGCGGGCGCCTGTAGTCCCAGCTACTCGGGAGGCTGAAGCAGGAGAACGGCATGAACCTGGGGAGGTGGAGGTTGCAGTGAGCCGAGATCATGCCACTGCATTCCAGCCTGGGCGACAGAGCGAGACTCCGTCTCAAAAAAAGAAATAAAATCATATGATAGGTTATTTCCTCAATAGAAAGCAGGAAATGAAAACACACCTGTAATGCCATTGCTTTTAACCTTTTTCTATTATTTCTCTGTAGAAACATTCAAAATTGTAGTCAACATCAACATTCACATGTTATGAATGCCTGTTTAATTATAAGTATTTTTCCAGGTAGTTGCTTTTCTTGATAGTCATACTTTTTAATGGCTTCACCATTTTTCTGTCATAAATACCATAATTTACTTGACATTTTTTATTGTCAGAAATTTAGATTCTTTTCTATTTTCCTACAATAAACATTATTGCAATGATCATTTGTCTAAGGGTTTTTTTTTCTCATATTTTAAATTATTTCTTGACAACAGAATCTTGGATAATTTTTCAAAAAGACTTTTGAAGCTTTCAGTATATAATTAATTTCACTATAATTTTGCTTTTCATATACTTTTTTTTGTGAAGAGGAGGAAATTTGAGTTAATATGACTATATATGGCTGTTGTGCCCTTCTCTTAGTGTTAATGAGTGCTTTTTATTTTTAGGTGCCATTAATCCTTTAGCTGAAGAATATCTGTCAAAGCAAGATCTACTTTTCTTAGACATGCTCAAGTTCTTGTGTTTGTGTGTAACTACTGCTCAGACCAATACTGTGTCCTTTAGGGCAGCTGATATTCGGAGGAAATTGTTAATGTTAATTGATTCTAGCACGCTAGAACCTACCAAATCCCTCCACCTGCATATGGTGAGTTACGTTAAATGAAGAAGCTCTTGGATTTTATCTGATGTTGCTGACTAAATGTAATGAGTTGACATGTAAGAATCACATGGTGTCTTTGAAGAATTGAAATTGCTTTCTTGAGAAATGAACCTGAGACTAGTTGGAAAATAACACTTTTAACGTGCTGTGAGCAAATTTAAGTGGATGCTGAAATATTAAAACTTAGATGGGTTTTGGATAGATTTATTCTCTTTAGGTTTAATTGTTATAAATTATTTTAATTAGGCTAAGAAACATAGACCCTGAATGTAAAAATATTACATAACATTGTGTTTGAAGTTGGAACCTTGCCTTTGACCTTAGTTTATATATTTTCAGTTTTTTGGATTTGATTTCAAAATGATAGTGAAGTTACAAGAATACTACAGTTAACGTTTTACCATATTTGCTTAATCATTCCCTCTCTCCACACACACACTCATACGCAGATACACACATCATTTTCTCTGAACCATTTTGAGATGAAATCGCACACGTGATGCTCCTTATACTTCAGTGTATATTTCCTAAAAACAAGGATACACTTCTGTTTAGCCACAGTATAATCATCAAAATCAGGAAGTTAACATTTTGTCATTGCATTTAGGTGTGTAGTCTGTTTAGTCTCCTTCAATCTGGAACAGTTCTTTTTTTTATTTATCATGACCTTCATATATTTGAATAGTACAGGTCCCTTGCTCTGAGTTTGTCTGATGTTTCCTTATGATTAAATTTATACTTTGACGAGAATGTTGCAAAAGTAATTCCTCTTCTGCCTTCACCCTGTCCATTTATCTGTCTGTTGATAGATATCTTCAAATCCAAGCCAACATCACACAGTTTATCTTTTTTTCTGTCCAAATTTATAAATTGCTTTACTAGCAGTTAAAAAAAACACCCCAAAACCTGACTATCCACTCAACCTGAATGCATTTACTTATTTGCTCAACAACCTTATATATAACTAATCTAACCATGTGGGCCATTTTCTTAGCCCTAGCCCCAGTGTATGTGGAGGTAGAGCCTCTGGCCTAGCGAGTAGCAAGTTGGGTCCTAGGTCATGTCCCCAGTTCCAGCAAATTGTCACACATGCCTGGTGAGTCCCTAATTAGAACCTCTGATCACAGTAAATTGTAGGCTGAGTCATTGGTGGAATCCCTGGTCATGTTTCCCACCCTTGGTGAAAATGCACGTCAATCCCTTAGAGTGAGAAGACAAGTTTGGTTGTGCCCTGTTTGGGCCCCTGGTTTAGGTCCTCGCAGATACTCAAGTCTCTATCCCTGACCAAGAGGAAGTTACATGCTTTTCTTGAAGTATTGATGTTTCAAGTCACTTCAGAACATTCAGTAACCTCATGTACATGACTCTCATGTCAAATAATGAAAAGGATCATTTAATTTCCTTTGTTAATATCTGAAAAGGATTAAGAAATATATTATTCTATATGTAAATAGGAAAAAAAATCCCTTATTATTTCAGTATAGCCAGAAAATTATTTGGTAGTTCTCGGAAACTGGCTGCCCAGATAATAACTACCATTATAACTGGTCGTTGCAGCAGCCCTTTCTGTGCATAGTACCATAAAGAGCCTTACAAGATTGCCTTATGGGAAGATAGGTCAAGGTTTTTGACTTCTTCCCTGCCCATGATTATCTCTGCTTTCCAAAATTCATTAATAGTTTTCAACCACTGGTCTATTATCCCCAAGCATTATTTTGGGAGAGTGGAGACTTACAGTTTCAGAATCTTGCTCAAGCTCTTAACTGCAACAGTGGTAATAATGATCATTTATTGAATTCCACAATAGAAGCTAGACTTTTACGTTTATTTTCTCTAATCCTCACAGTTATCTGGCCAGGTAAGTGATATATCTTCACTCTACTGATGAGGGTACGAAGGCCCTAGATGACATAAGGCAAGTTTTTTACCAGAAAAGTTAAGGCTGTGGTACTGGGATTTGAATTTTCTGTTTGACTTCAAAGCCTTTTGTTTTTACTATACACCTCTTAAATATTTACAGCTGTGTGTGTGTGTGTATGTGTGTGCATGTATGAATTTATGTTTATATACTTAAAAAAAATTTTTTTTTGAGACGGAATCTCGCTCTGTTGCCCGGGCTGGAGTGCAGTGGCGCGATCTCGGCTCACTGCAACCTTCGCCTCCCAGGTTCAAGCGATTCTCCTGCCTCAGCCTCCTGAGTAGCTGGGATTATAGGCGCCTGCCACCACCCCTGGCTAATTTTTGTGTTTTTAGTAGAGATGGAGTTTCACCATATTGGCCAGGCTGTTCTCAAACTCCTGACCTTGTGATCTGCCTGCTTCAGCCTCCCAAAGTGCTGGGATTACAGGTGTGAGCCACTGCACCCGGCCTATGTTTATATACTTTTTAAAGTAAATGATTTGTGGATAAACCTGATTTTTTTCCCTCCTACCATCTTAGTATCTAATGCTTTTAAAGGAGCTTCCTGGAGAAGAGTACCCCTTGCCAATGGAAGATGTTCTTGAACTTCTGAAACCACTATCGTAAGAAATTAAAACCTTATGTTATGTTCACTTTAAAGTTATAAAATAACTGATGTGTTCTGTTAAGCTTATAAAGTTGAACTTTTTTTTTTTTTTTACCACAGCAATGTGTGTTCTTTGTATCGTCGTGACCAAGATGTTTGTAAAACTATTTTAAACCATGTCCTTCATGTAGTGAAAAACCTAGGTCAAAGCAATATGGACTCTGAGAACACAAGGGATGCTCAAGGACAGTTTCTTACAGTAATTGGAGCATTTTGGTAGGTACAGTCTATTTTGTGGTCCTATTTTTCTTTTGCTATCTGTGGATACGAATGCAAGTTTTGTATCCACATCAGTGATTTCTTCTGATCTTCCTACATAGCTAATACATCTTTTAAGAATAGCAGAATGTAATTTGTGTTTCCCTCAGTCGCTTGAAGAACTACATTGCTTTTTGTTTAAGGCTTGGCTTTCTAAACCGTTTAACTCATTTCTCTGCAAATTTTGAATCACTTAATAATTTGACATGTATAGTGAATAAAGGATAACAAGCCAAAATCAGTTGAATTGTTCATGTTCCCTAAGTGAACAAATTGGCCTTGTCCTTATCTGGTTATTTTATGCATATTGTCACATTCCAAGATAACACCCTGATACTTACAGAGGAGCACATACATATAATTTAGAACCCTTGTACTATCTGATTGCTAAGTAATTCTAAATCAATAGACTGTTTTTTGTTTTTGTGTTTTTTTGAGATGGAGTCTCACTCCATCACCCAGGCTGCAGGCTGGAGTGCAGTGGTGCTATATCTGCTCACTGCAACCTCCGCCTAGTAGGTTCAAGCAATTGTCCTGCCTCAGCCTCCTGAGCAGCTATGATTACAGGCTCCCACCACAATGCCTGGCTAATTTTTTTGTATTTTTAGTAGAGATGGGGTTTCAACACGTTGGCCAGGCTGGTCCCAAACTCCTGACCTCAAGTGATCTGCCCACCTTGGCCTCCCAAAGTGTTGGGATTACAGGTGTGAGCCAGTGCACCCAGCCTGAATGTGGTTTTGAAATCTTCAATATACCAAACAAAGAAATCTTCAATATACCAAACAAAGAAATTTCTTTCTAAAGTAAGTTTACTGTAATGTAGTTTAGCCATTCTATGGTAGCCCCCAAAAAAGGACATAATGGTATAAAACAAATAATATACGCTAAAATGAATTCTTTTACACTAATTTCTTTTAGCTTGAATTTTTGGCAAGGTGAGTATGTTGGCATATTCCACATAATGACAAATAAGTTTAGCACAGAAAGACATATTGGAAGTAACTTACAATAACCTTTCAGTGAGTTTTCTGAGTGCTTTTATCAGAATGATTATTTAACTTTGGAAAACTTACTTGATTTCAGGCATCTAACAAAGGAGAGGAAATATATATTCTCTGTAAGAATGGCCCTAGTAAATTGCCTTAAAACTTTGCTTGAGGTGAGTTTTTGCATTTTTTTAGTAAGATCTCCATTGAAAATTTTAAAGCAGTCTTTGTTTGTTAATGAGTAATTTTTCTCTATTTCATATTTAACCACAGTTCTTTTCCCGTAGGCTGATCCTTATTCAAAATGGGCCATTCTTAATGTAATGGGAAAAGACTTTCCTGTAAATGAAGTATTTACACAATTTCTTGCTGACAATCATCACCAAGTTCGCATGTTGGCTGCAGAGTCAATCAATAGGTAATGGGTCAAATATTCATGAAGTATTTGGAATGCTGCAGATGGCAGTAGAATGTCTTACATAGTAACAGCTCACAGTTGCAATATTAAAAATAGCTAACACTTGTTGAGTATATACGGTGTGCCTGGCATTTATGTTTATTCTTAATTCTTATACTTCTGTCACTTAGATTCTATTATTTCCTTCAATTTATAAATGAAAACTGTGACTTAGTGAGGTAAAGTAACTTGCTTATGCCACAGAGCTAACAAGTGGTTGACTCGAGTGAGGTGTGTCTACTATCATGTACAGGAGATACGGACTGTTTGGAAATTACTGTGATTTTATGTGAGTTTATGAAATGATAATTAGCACATTTTACATTGTGCTAATTACAATTATATTTACTTGAGTGAACATCCAGTGAAGCACTGGAAGGATTCTATCATGAGGATCTTTTATATTTGAGTACTGGAATAAACATATATTAATTTCATTCTTTTTTTTTTTTTTTTTTTTTTTTTTTGAGATGGAGTTTCGCTCATGTCTCCCAGGCTGGAGTGCAATGGTGTGATCTCGGTTCACTTCAGCCTCTACCTCCTCGGTTCAAGCAATTCTCCTGCCTCATCCTCCTGAGTAGCTGGGATTACAGGCGCCTGCCACCATGCCCAGCTAATTTTTTTATTTTTCGTAGAGATGGAGTTTCACCATGTTGGCCAGGCTGGTCTTGAACTCCTGACCTCAGGTGATCCACCCACCTTGTCCTCCCAAAGTGCTGAGATTACAGGCGTGAGCCTTTAATCATGTAGTTTTTGTCATTCGTTCTGTTTATGTGATGGATTATGTTTATTGATTTGTGTATGCTGAATCAGCCTTGCGTCCCAGGGATGAAGCTGACTTGATAGTGGTGGATAAGCGTTTTGATGTGCTGGATTCAGTTTGCCAGTATTTTATCGAGGATTTTCACATCGATGTTCATCACGGATAATGGCCTGAAATTTTCTTTTTCTTGTGTCTCTGCCAGGTTTTGGAATCAGGATGATGCTGGCATCATAAAATGAGTTAGGGAAGAGTCCCTCTTTTTCTATTGTTTGGAATAGTTTCAGAAGGAATGGTACCAGCTCCTCTTTGTACCCCTGGTAGAATTCGGCTGTGAATCCCTCTGGTCCTGGGCTTTTTTTGGTTGGTAGGCTATTAATTACTGCCTCAATTTCAGAACTTGTTATTGGTCTATTCAGGGATTCGACTTCTTCCTGCTTTAGTTGGGAGGTTGTATGTGTCTAGGAATTTATCACTTTCTTCTAGATTTTCTAGTTTATTTGCATAGAGGTATTTATAGTATTCTCTGATGGTAGTTTGTATTTCTGTGGGATCAGTGGTATTATCCTCTTTATCATTTTTTATTGAGTCTATTTGATTCTTCTCTCTTTATTAGTCTTGCTAGCGGTCTGTTTTGTTAATCTTTTCAAAAAATCAGCTCCTGGATTAATTGATTTTTTTGAAAGGTTTTTTTTGTGTGTGTGTGTCTCTATCTCCTTCACTCAGCTCTGATCTTAGTTATTTCTTGTCTTCTGCTAGCTTTTGAATTTGTTTGCTCTTGCTTCTCTAGTTCTTTTAATTGTGATGTTAGGGTGTTGATTTTAGATCTTTCCCACTTTGTCCTGTGGGCATTTAGTGCTATAAATTTCCCTCTAAACACTGCTTTAGCTGTGTCCCAGAGATTCTGGTACATTGTGTCTTTGTTCTTATTGGTTTCAAAGAACTTACTTATTTCTGCCTTCATTTCATTATTTACCTAGTAGTCATTCAGGAGCAGGTTGTTCAGTTTCCATGTAGTTGTGTGGTTTTGAGTGAGTTTCTTAATCCTCAGTTCTAATTTGATTGCACTGTGATCTGAGAGACTGTTACGATTTCCATTCTTTTGCATTTGCTGAGGTTTGTTTTACTTTCAATTATGTGGTCAGTTTTAGAATAAGTGTGATGTGGTGCTGAGAAGAATGTATATTACTCTGTTGATTTGGGGTGGAGAGTTCTGTAGATGTCTGTTAGGTCTGCTTGGTCCAGAGTTCGGTTCAAGTCCTGAATATCCTTGTTAATTTTCTGTCTCATTGATCTGTCTAATATTGATGGTGGGGTGTTAAAGTCTCCCGCTATTATTGTGTGGAAGTCTAAGTCTCTTCGTAGGTCTAAGAACTTGCTTTATGAATCTGGGTGCTCCTGTATTGGGTGCATATATATTTAGGATAGTTAGCACTTCTTGTTGCATTGATCCTTATACCATCATGTAATGTCCTTCTTTGTCTTTCTTGATCTTTGTTGGATGTTTGTTTTATCAGAGACTAGGATTGCAACCCTTGCTTTTTTTCTTTCTATTTGCTTGGTAAATATTCCTCCACCCCTTTATTTTGAGCCTATGTGTGTCTTTGCATGTGAGATGGGTCCCCTGAATACAGCACACTGATGGGTCTTGACTCTTTATCCAATTTGCCAGTCTCTGTCTTTTAACTGGGACATTTTAGCCCATTTACATTTAAGGTTAATATTGTTATGTGTGAATTTGATCCTGTCATTATGATGCTAACTGGTTATTTTGCCCATTAGTTGATGCAGTTTCTTCATAGTGTCAATGGTCTTTACAATTTGGTATGTTTTTGCAGTGGCTGGTACCAGCTTTGCCTTTCCATATTTAGTGCTACCTTCAGGAGCTCTTGTAAGGCAGGCCTGGTGGTGACAAAATCTCTCAGCATTTGCTTGTCTATAAAGGATTTTATTTCTCCTTTGGTTATGAAGCTTAGTTTGGCTGGATATGAAATTCTGGGTTGAAAATTATTTTCTTTAAGAGTGTTGAATATTGGCCCCCACTCTCTTCTGGCTTGTAAGGTTTCTGCCGAGAGATCTGCTGTTAAGTCTGATGGGCTTCCCTTTGTGGGTAACCCGACCTTTCTCTCTGGCTGCCCTTAACATTTTTTCATTCATTTCAACCTTGGTGAATCTGATGATTATGTGTCTTGGGGTTGCTCTTCTAGAGGAGTATCTTTGTGGTGGTCTCTGTATTTCCTGAATTTGAATGTTGGCCTGTCTCGCTAGATTGGGGAAGTTCTGATAATATCCTGAAGGGTGTTTCCAACTTGGTTCCATTCTCCCCATCACTTTCAGGTACACCAGACAAACGTAGATTTAGTCTTTTCATATAGTCCCATATTTCTTGGAGGCTTTGTTTGTTCCTTTTCATTCTTTTTTCTCTAATCTTGTCTTCATGCTTTATTTCATTAAGTTGATCTTCAATCTCTGATATCCTTTCTTCTGCTTAATCAGTTCGGCTGTTGATACTTGCGTATGCTTCACGATGTTCTCATCCTGCATTTTTCAGCTCCATCAGGTCATTTATGTTCTTCTCTACACTGATTATTCTAGTTAGCAGTTCCTCTAACCTTTTTTCAAGGTTCTTAGCTTCCTTGCATTGGGTTAGAACATGCTCCTTTAGCTCAGAGGAGTTTGTTATTACCCATCTTCCGAAGCCTACTTCTGTCAATTCGTCAAACTCATTCTCCGTCCAGTTTTGTTCCCTTGCTGGTGAAGAATTGTGATCCTTTGCAGCAGAAGAGGCATTCTGGTTTTTGGAATTTTCAGCCCTTTTGCGCTGGTTTTTCCTCATCTTCGTGGATTTATCTACCTTTGGTCTTTGATGTTGGTGACTTTTGTATGGGGTTTCTGTGTGGACATCCTTTTTGTTGATGTTGATGCTATTCCTTTTTGTTTGTTAGTTTTCCTTTTTACAGTCAGGCCCCTCTGCTGCAGATCTGCTGGAGTTTGCTGGAGGTCCACTCCAGACCCTGTTTGCCTGGGTATCATCCATGGAGGCTGCAGAACAGCAAAGATTGCTGCCTGTTCCTTCCTCTGGGAAGGTTCGTCCCAGAGCGGCACCCGCCAGATGGCAGCGGGAGCTCTTCTGTATGAGGTGTCTGTCGACCCCTGCTGGGAGGTGTCTCCCAGTCAGGAGGCACGGGGGTCAGGGACCCACTTGAGGAGGCAGTCTGTCCCTTAGCAGAGCTCGAGCGCTGTGCTGGGAGATCCGCTATTCTCTTCAGAGCTGGCAGGCAGGAACGTTTAAGTCCGCTGAAGCTGTGCCCACAACCACCCCTTTCCCCAGGTGCTCTGTGTCAGGGAGATGGGAATTTTATCTATAAGCTCCTGACTGGGGCTGCTGCCTGTCTTTCAGAGATACCCTGCCCAGAGAGGAGGAATCTAGAGAGGCAGTCTGGCTACAGTGGCTTTGTGGCACTATGTTGGGCTCCACCCAGTTCGAACTTCCTACTGGCTGTGTTTATACTGTGAGGGGAAAACATCCTACTGAAGCCTCAGTAATTGCAGACGCCCCTCCCCCCACCAAGCTTCAGTGTCCCAGGTCGACTTCAGACTGTTCTGCTGGCAGCGAGAATTTCAAGCCAGTGGATCTTAACTTGCTGGTCTCCATGGGGGTGGGATCCGCTGAGCTAGACCACTTGGCTCCCTGGCTTCAGCCCCCTTTCTAGGGGAGTGAATGGGTCCGTCTCGCTGGCGTTCCAGGTGCCACTGGGGTATGAAAAAACACTCTTGCAGCTAGCTCAGTGTCTGCCCAAATGGCCGCCCAGCTTTGTGCTTTAAACCCAGGGCCCTGGTGGTGTAGGCACCCAAGGGAATCTCTTGGTCTGCGGGTTGCAAAGACTGCGGGAAAAGCGTAGTATCTGGGCAGGAATCCACCATTCCTCACAGCATAGCCCCTCACAGCATAGTCCCTCACGGCTTCCCTTGGCTAGGGGAGGGAGTTCCCCGACCCCTTGTGCTTCCCGGGTGAGGCTACACCCCACCCTGCTTTGACTCTCCCTCCGTGGGCTGCACCCACTGTCTAACCAGTCCCAATGAGATGAGCCATCTACCTCAGTTGGAAATGCAGAAATCACCACCTTCTGCGTTGATCTCACTGGGAGCTGCAGACCAGAACTGTTCCTATGTTGCCATCTTGCTGTTCCCTTGTTTTATTTTTCTCTAGTATTTATGATAACGTGAAACATATTTTAATATATTTACTTCTCCGTATTCCACTAGTATATATGTTCCTAAAGGCACTGGTTTTTGTCTGTTCTGTTCATTGTTGTATTTTTAGCACCTAAAACAATACTTGGCATGTGATAGGTATCCAATAACTGTTTTAAAATAAATGAATGTACTTGAAAAAAAATTACATGATGCTTCAAAAACATCAAAGCTGAAAATCATTTGAGTAACTTTAAAATGTAAGCAATCAATAATAAAAGATTACTATATTGTTCAGCAGTCACATAAAGTATTAAAACTAATATTTCAGTATTTGAATATGCCGACAGTAATGTTTTCATAAACTAGATTTTGTGTCTAACTCCTCAGGTTTGGAACTGTTTTTAGTAAGACCATAATGCATTGCAAGGATTTCTAATGAATATGTTTAGTAGTTCAAGCCCTTATTAAATTTCACAGATAAAAGCAAATGTATGCTGAACTTTAAGGACTGAGGTAATATAAGACTGAATTGAATGTAATAAGGCGGCAGTGTAGTGGTGGCATTAAAAAAACTGAAGATTCAAAAAGTATAAATTCAAGAATAACATGCAAGTAGCATTCTTTTTTTTAATTTTACACTTGTTAGATTTTGTCTTAGTCCCTTTGTGTTGCTATAAAGGAATACCTGAGGCTGGATATTTACAAAGAAAAGAGGTTTATTTGGCATATGGCGTCTACATCTGGTAAGGGCCTCAGACTCATGGCAGAAGGCAAAGAGGAATCAGTGTGTGCAGAGATCACATGGTGAGAGAGGAAGCAAGGGTGGAGGCGGGGAAGGCCATGCCAGGCTCTTTTTTTTAATAACCAGCCCTTGTGGGAACTGAATAGTGAGAACTCACTCATTCCTTACCCTCAGGCCTTAATCTATTCGTGAGGGATCTGCCCCCATGACTCCGACACCTCCCATTAGGCATAACCTAATGGGGATCAGATTTCAACATGACATTTGGAGGGGTTAAACATTCAGACAATAGCAGATATCTAATGTTCAGCTATTTTAAGAGCAGTGAGTGAAACTAGAAGAATCAGAGGAACATAAACAATTATAAAAGCTTCGATTACTAAAAAAGGATAAAAGACAAAGTTGATTAAAGAGTTATCCTTAAATATGTGGGTGTTACGCAAAAGGTGTACTGATCAACTTTTTTCCATCACATAAAACAAAATTTAAATGGTACATAAAAACATTAACTTACCCGCTTTCAGAGTGATTAAATGTTAGAGCAGGTTGACATTGGAATCTGTGGACTCAACTAATTGGTGTTCGGCCAGAGAACAGTTTATCTTTTCTGGCTAGTTTGAGTTCAGTGCTGTTCAAATTTGAGCAATAGTTAAAATATATTTTGAGACCCTCTTCAGTTCTAGGAGAAAATAGATTTTGTATTCAAGACCTTAATACTAAGCTGCTGGTCTGAACCTCTTTAAATAAACTCAGGTTTTGTTAGTCTTTAAGAAAGAGCTAGTATGTTATTATGTCTCACAGAGTGATTTATTTTTGTTCTGGAATATGCTTTGGAAAGTAGGGTTTGAAATTAGAAAATTATTTCACTTTTTGTTTGTTTGTTTGCTTGCTTGTTTTAAGATTGTTCCAGGACACGAAGGGAGATTCTTCCAGGTTACTGAAAGCACTTCCTTTGAAGCTTCAGCAAACAGCTTTTGAAAATGCATACTTGAAAGCTCAGGAAGGAATGAGAGAAATGGTAATTTTAAGTAACATGTATTTGCTGTTATCATATGCTTGCTATGAATATCCCATAAATTACTTCACCAAGTTTGGTATAAGAGAGTTTATAAT
This sequence comes from Homo sapiens, assembly GCF_000001405.40. NCBI lineage: Eukaryota > Metazoa > Chordata > Mammalia > Primates > Hominidae > Homo > Homo sapiens. Next base: position 108,279,704 of record NC_000011.10, read on the forward strand.
CCAGTAGTTTACAGTATAAAGCTGCTCTAAAACAACTGTATGAATTGATTGAAACTGCATTCTTTCTGGGTCACAATGGGTCAAATCATAGCAATTTCTTTTGGTTTAGCATTTTTATGGAGAAACCCAAAATTTAACTGAGTTTTTATGGGAGTATAAATGGCTCCCTTTTTTATTTTAAAAATCCTTTTATATGTGATCTGATTAAAAGCTAATTAAGGGAACAGGTGACAATGGGAAGAAATGGATTGAGGAGAAGAATCTCACACAAAATCAAATCATTGTGGTGTTTACAGTGAAACTTGTGATATTTCACGTTTCTGTAGAATAATATATTTTTTATGGTAATGATTATCTTAGAGTTCAAATTTTTTCATTTATTTATGCCCTGGTTTGTTTCTTACAAGTATTTAAGGTAGTTAAATAACTGTCAAGTCTGTGATAGCAGGAAATTGAAAGGAACAATTGAAAGAATGTGAGTTTAGAAAAGAATTTCAATAGATTAGAAAGATAAGTGTAAATAACATAAAATCTAATGAGATAATGTATATTATACATTTTAAATCAGCCTGTCATCTGCAAAAAGGGAAAATACTGATCTGACAGCAATTCATTTAGAAAAAGACCTAGGAAGTTTTGTATCTTGTGATTATAGTATGAATCAACATTGTATTACAGTTACCAAAAAGGCTAACTCTGTCTTACACTGCATTAATAGAAGCATATTGTCATGAACAAAGTTAATACAAGAACTTGGATCTTTTATACTTTTTGCTTTATTTTTAGATCTTTTAATTTTTATGGGTACATAGTAGGGGTGTGTGTGTGTGTGTGATACGGGTATACAATGTGAAATAATCACATCATGGAGAATGGGGTATCCATCCCCCAAACAAATATCCTTTGTGTTACAAGCAATCCAATTACACTGTTTTAGTTATTAAATGTTTCTGTATTTTTTAGAGGATAACTATAATGTTTGGTTTGGTTCTGAGTAAAGTAAAAGATTTTTAGCCAGAATGTTATAGATCTGTGTCTTATAAAAAATGGATGAAGGAATTGACTTAGTGGAAAGCTCACATTTGTTTTTAAACATGTCAGTGCTTGTGATTTAGCAAAGGTATTGGTCCTTACTCTTTCTTGTACCAAAAGACAGAACTAGGATTAGTGAGTAGGAGGTTTCTGAAATGTGTATAGCTTGTCAAAAAATCTGGAGTTCAGTTGGGATTTTATAATTGATTGTTAAACATTTACATTTTACATTACATTTTTTTTTTAATTTCTTTTTAAGTCCCATAGTGCTGAGAACCCTGAAACTTTGGATGAAATTTATAATAGAAAATCTGTTTTACTGACGTTGATAGCTGTGGTTTTATCCTGTAGCCCTATCTGCGAAAAACAGGCTTTGTTTGCCCTGTGTAAATCTGTGAAAGAGAATGGATTAGAACCTCACCTTGTGAAAAAGGTATATATGGATGAGTATTTTATTAGAAGCTTCCTTAGGTCACTGTGAAATAATTTAAAAAGTTAAAGCTAGATTTTCTGAGTGGCACTTATTTAAGACTAGGAAACAATTTTATTTTTTAGGTTGGGAATATTGGAAAGCAGTTATACAAAAACTATTCAAATGGTATATTTATGGTATGCACTGTTTCTTACATTCCATTTAAGAGCATTTCACAAGGCTTTCATTGTACTAACAAGAGTGAATGACTTGTCCACCAGACTGACCAGGCTTTTGGAAATAGTATTTATTGAGGGAAACACATGGAGACAAGAGCAGCATAGGTGTTTTGCCCGGTAGATTCTGGGGCAGCACATTGGGATCCAGCAGGGCCAGAAGTCAAATTTTAGAGCTATCAGGCTTTTAAGTTCAGTTATCAGGGGAGAAGGACTAGGGTCCAAGCCTTATAATTACTACATCAGCACAGTATTATAGAATGTTGGCCCCGTCTCTTTTCCATCACCTCAGCATTTATGGTTTAGGAAGTTCCAGACCTTTCCATTGCAAATTTTTATGTGATAAATCAGTGGTAGGTCAGTGGACTGATATTATGCCAGTTAACATTCTACCAGCATAGTTTCCATGGTGCTTTGGAGTAAGCCAGCCTATAATCAGTTAGCCTTTTACCTCTCAGTATAAGACTTGTTCGGTGTTTCTTAAAAGTATACAAATACATTACCTAATAATCATAAGTGTTATGTATTGTTTGGATTTTTCTTATTTGGATTTAAGCCTAAGAGAAATAATTTTACTTTATATTTATTTATTTATTTTGAAAGACAGGGTCTCACTCTGTCACCCAAGCTGGAGTGCGGTGATGTGATCATGGCTCACTGCAGTCTTGACCTCCTGGGCTCAAGCGATCCTCCCAAGCCTCCTGAGTAGCTGGGACTACAGGCATGTGCCACCACACCTGGCTAATTTTTTTTTTTTTTTTTGAGACGGAGTCTCGCTCTGTCGCCCAGACTGGAGTGCAGTGGCATGATCTCGGCTCACTGCAAGCTCCGCCTCCTGGGTTCATGCCATTCTCCTGCCTCAGCCTCCCGAGTAGCTGGGACTACAGGCGCCCGTCGTCACATCCACACACCTGGCTAATTTATTATACAGACGGGCTCTTGCTATGTTGCCCAAGCTGGTCTTGAACTCTTGGGCTTAAGCAACCCTCCCTCCTCAGACTCCCAAAGCGTTGGGATTACAGGTGTGAACCACCACTGGCCAGTAATTTTACATTAAATCTTCCTTTAAGTATAACCAAATGTTGGAAACTCTTAGCATATTTTTATATTTTTATTTACTTAACATTTATTAAGGGTTTGCTATGTGTCAGATACTGTGCCAGTTGAGTACATTTTCTTAATTATTATTCCCATCTCATAGATGAGGAAATCAAGAAAAGTTGAATGAATGTTGTTTCTAGGTCCTACTCTAAATAATATTAACAAGCATTTAAATGATTTATTTTTTTCATTTTTCTTAACACATTGACTTTTTGGTTCGTGCAGGTTTTAGAGAAAGTTTCTGAAACTTTTGGATATAGACGTTTAGAAGACTTTATGGCATCTCATTTAGATTATCTGGTTTTGGAATGGCTAAATCTTCAAGATACTGAATACAACTTATCTTCTTTTCCTTTTATTTTATTAAACTACACAAATATTGAGGATTTCTATAGGTAAGTTTATACATGACATATGTGAAATTTGTTTAATTTAAAATTAGTTAACAATACTTAGCAAGTCCCCTCACCAGCAACACACATACCATACCCATACACATGTGTGTGTGGGAGCCTACATAGTATGAGAAGCAGGACAGCTTCTTTTAATAAGAATGTATTGAAGGGAGTCACTGGACTTCAGATCTGGTCCTAGCTGTGCCAACAACCAGCTATCTGACTTTGGTCAAACCACATAAAGACCCTCTATGCCTTGGTTTTTTAATATGTAAAGTAAGCAAGTTACACAAGGAGATCTTTCAGGTCCTTTTCAGCTTTAATATTTGATCATCTTTCCTTTGGAAAAAATTGAAGATAAATTACTAGTAGCTGGTTATTTCTGCCTTGTTTTTCTTTTCTGTTGCTTGACTATAGGCCTCTTAGTTATTACTTCTATTAGATTTAGAAACTTAATGTAAAACTTTATTTTGCTAACTTTAACTCTGTAGAAGAAAAATTTGAAAATGGAGAGGTTTGAAACAACTAAAAAGTAATGTTTAGGTATCAGGATGATGGGAAGGCATCTCATATTTGTTGAACATGCTCTGTGTTATGGACTTTGCTATGCATTTTACATGTAGTGTATCACAGATCTGAGTTTCAGACTTATCCTAATAGAGTTTTCTAATAGATTATGAGTTGTATGTAGGTAGTTTCCTTTAAGAAGGATATTCCTACAAAAGTAAATTTAGTGGTCCTTATAGTTCATTCATTTTGGCAAGAACAATATAGCTATATCTCTGTATATGCGAGGGATTCATTCCAGGATCCCCCATGTATGCCTAAATTTACGCGTACTCAAGTCACCAAGTTGGCCCTGCAGAACCCACGTATATGAAAAGTCAGTCCTCTGTATATACAGACTTTCACATCCTGTGAATACTGTTTTTCTATCTGCATTTGGTTGAAAAATATGCAAGTATAAGTTCAAACCCATGTTTTTCAAGGGTCAACTGCATTTATGTTAGTTGATTATGCAGAAGAAATAAATATAAATTCAAGTCTCCATTTTTATTTGTTTATTGTTTTGTTTTTTCTTTTTGCTAAGGGTGCTACTGAACAAGGTCCCATTTTTAAATCCCATAATTATGGTGGTGGTATGTTCTAAGCTTTCTAATTTTTTTAATGTGACTATTTAGAATTTACTTAATTTTTCCATTTATAAAATTAAAGAATGTTTAATAATCTGGATAAAGTATGATACTTTAATGCTGATGGTATTAAAACAGTTTTTAAGAACTATTTTATAAAATTTTACTTGGAAAAGTTATATATAACCTGTATTTTAAATTTTTCTATTTTTAGATCTTGTTATAAGGTTTTGATTCCACATCTGGTGATTAGAAGTCATTTTGATGAGGTGAAGTCCATTGCTAATCAGATTCAAGAGGACTGGAAAAGTCTTCTAACAGACTGCTTTCCAAAGATTCTTGTAAATATTCTTCCTTATTTTGCCTATGAGGGTACCAGAGACAGTGGGATGGCACAGCAAAGAGAGACTGCTACCAAGGTCTATGATATGCTTAAAAGTGAAAACTTATTGGGAAAACAGGTATGGCTTCAATTTTTATGTACTTTTCATTCCCTGAATGATATGAGATATAACCTTTAAGTTTTAAGGCTATTTATTCGATTTATTCGTATTTATATATTGAAACTTAGCTTGTGGTAATCATTATCTAGCATAGCCAACCCATGAATTTTTTTGGTTATGTCGTGTTGTCTCCCTCTGATTGGCTTTTAACTAAGTAGAAATGTTTTAAATTAGAAATAATCCAAAAAACCATTTGAATAATTTTCTTCTGCCATTTAAAAATTTATTTTAACTGTTGTAATACACGAATGCAAACTGGTTGTTAAAGTCAAGGAATACTAAACAGTGTACAGAAAACCTTCACTCCCTCTTCAATCTCACCAAGCTTTCCACTTTTCAAGAAAAACAACCGTCCCTCATTCCTATAGTTCTCATACCCTGCTGTTTGTTTTTTTGTGACACTTATTACCTTCTAATGTATGATACAATTTACCTTTTTTTTCTGTCTTTGCTTTTGTTTTTGAGACAGAGTCTTACTCTTTTGCCAAGACTGGAGTGCAGTGGCATGATCTCAGTTCACTGAAGCCTCTGTCTCCTGGGTTCAAGCAATTCTCCTGCCTCAGCCACCCAAGTAGCTGGGACTACAGCTGCGCACCACCACACCCAGCTAATTTTCATATTTTTAGTAGAGACGGGGTTTCACCATGTTGGCCAGGCTGGTCTTTAACTCTTGACCTCAGGTGATCTTCCCACCTCAGCCTCCCAAAGTGCTGGGATTACAGATGTAAGCCACCTTGCCAGACCATAATTTACTTTTGAATTATGTTTATTATTTACCAGTCTTCTCCAGTATACATTTTTCTCTCTTTTTTTTTTTTTGGCTGATGTATCTCTAATATATTTTGAGTATTCATTAAATGTTTGTCAAAAGAAGGAGTCAAGTAAGGAAGGATTTAAAAAGCTTCGTTTGTTTTATAATCATTTATATACATTTCCAAAATTTTTTGAAGCAACTTATATTAAAACATACATACAAATTTTTTAAGATAAAAAAGCTGTGGTCACCCCACATTTATGTATGTATTTATTTATTTTGGATATAAGTAAGGGATAAGTAACCAAACTTGGTCAATATTAGATAAACTTCAAGGGACCTTTTTTTTTTTTAGTTTCCTAGTTATCTATATTGAACCAAGAAATGGAACAGCAAGTTCCTTAGTTGCTTAGGTGGACCTATTCAGAACTGGTTGTAAGTCTGCAGTCTGAAGGGAAATGGTGAGCAGAGGACTCCTTTCCCAAAGACAGCTGGAACAGAAATAGGCACTCCAGAGGTTATGGAATTTGAGAGAGATACTCAGCCTCTAGCCACTCCCATTCAATCTCCCAGCTTAGTCTTCTGAGCATTCTTAATCTTACTATTCTTTTCTTAATGTATTCAAACCAAAAGACAGCAATTTTTAGAGCCTGAATAGGTTTTGGAGGGAAAAGTAATTACGTTCAACTTCGATTGAAACTCTTGCCTCAAGAATGAAGAACAGCAAAAATTAAATCACAGTTTCTTAGCTTTTTGGTTAAAGATGTAAGTTAAATTCTTGGCCGGGTGCGGTGGCTAACGCCTGTAATCCCAGCACTTTGGGAGGCCAAGGCGGGTGGATCACCTGAGATCAGGAGTTCAAGACCAACCTGGCCAACATGGTGAAACCCCATCTCTACTGGGTGTGGTGGTGTGTGCCTGTAATCCCAGCTGTTTGGGAAGCTGAGTCAGGAGAATCACTTGAACCCGGGAGGTGGAGGTTGCAGTGAGCCAAGATTGTACCACTGCATTCCAGCCTGGGCAACAGAGCAAGATTTCGTCTCAAAAAAAAAAAAAAAAAAAAAAAAAAGAATTGTATAAAACACACAAACAAAGCAAGGAAAGAATGAAGCAACAAAGCCAGAGATTTACTGAAAATGAAATTATACTCCACAGAGTGGGAGTGGGCCCTGAGCAAGTGGCTCAAGGGCCTGGTTACAGAATTTTCTGGGGTTTAAATACCCTTCAGAGGTTTTCCATTGGTTACTTGGTATACACCCTATGTAAATGAAGTAGTGGTCTGTAATCAGTCTGATTGGTTATAGGAGGGGACCAATCAGAGGTACTTTCAATTTCTTATCTGCCACAGTAAAAGGGAGGGGGTTGCAAAGGGAGTAGCCTCTTGTCCTTTTGTTACTTGAGCATGGAAAGTTGGGGTTTTCCTTTTGATTTCGTTCTAGGAGGTCAGCATGGATTGACCTTAGGTTCCCTGCCTCCAGACCTTATTGCCCTGCCTCATTTACGTTAGGTTTCTTTCTTGTCACCTTCTAAAATATTTTTTGTTATTAGGAAGTATGTTTTTGAACTTCCTTATGCATTAAGTAAATTAGCCATTTATCACTGTAATTCCTTATTTGGAAAGTTGTTATATTCACCCTTAAGACTTCACAATTCTCATTCATTTAACTAAAGTGCAACATAGCAGACTTATTCTTTATATTTAGAGAATTTGTGTCTTTTGTGAAGCTACCTGTCTATAGTGGGAAGTAGATTAATGAAAAGTCCAAATCTGTTGGGGAGGGTTTTATTCTACTATTGATGAAAGGGGATGTGGATCGCAGCTAGCCTTAGAATTTGGGATGGCACTCAAGTAGAAGTCTGGGAAGAAGTTACGCAGGGAACAAAGATGACATTGTTCGCAGTCCCTGGGAATTCTTAACAGTAAAGTTCTGTAATTGAGACAGAATTCCCAAATAAAGTCAAGAGTAAAATTCAGATAGAGGAGCAGTTATACATCAGTGGGAAATTTGGTTGGCAGAAAAATTACCAGGTCATACAACTTAATGATAGACCTGAAGTCTTATTTAAAATGATTCTCTAAAATTGAAGAATTGGATTAAGGGGGCCTTGTTTGGCTGATTTTCATACTTTTTCCTCTTAGTCTACAGGTTGGCTGCATAGAAGAAAAAGGTAGAGTTATTTATAATCTTGTAAATCTTGGACTTTGAGTCATCTATTTTCTTTTACAGTCATCGAATACTTTTGGAAATAAGGTAATATATGCCTTTTGAGCTGTCTTGACGTTCACAGATATAAAATATTAAATATATTTTAATTTTGTGCCCTTGCAGATTGATCACTTATTCATTAGTAATTTACCAGAGATTGTGGTGGAGTTATTGATGACGTTACATGAGCCAGCAAATTCTAGTGCCAGTCAGAGCACTGACCTCTGTGACTTTTCAGGGTATGTACATTTTAAACTTAGAGAACTAGCTCTAACTTCACAAGTTTTTAAAGAAGTTTATTGGTTGACACCTTCAATGTCTATTTCAATTTATAGACATCACTCTTTTTAAAAAATTTTCTTTAAAAATAGCCACCTTTGAATTGAGGTAATTACCTATCCTCTTTTACCATAGTCTCCCCACAGTAATTACTCTTTCTAAATTGACCACTTGGTTGGCCAACCCAATAACCTTTTCTTAGTCTTTCTGTAATATTTGAACATTGTGCCATCTGTTGGCCCTTGAAATTTTTTTCTTCATACACATTATTCCTAGTTCTCTTCTCTTTATCTAGGTCTTGCCTTTCTAGATCACCTTTTCTTTTTTTTTTTGAGATGGAGTCTCACTCTGTTGCCCTGGCTGGAGTGCAGTGGCATAATCTCGGCTCACTGCAACCTCTGTCTTCCAGGCTCAAGCTATCCTTCCTTCCACCTCAGCCTCTCGAGTAGCTGGGACGACAGATGCACATCACTGCGCCTGGCTAATTTTTTATATTTTTGGTAGAGACGGGGTTTCACTGTGTTGCCCAGGCTGGTCTTGAACTTCTGGCCTCGAATGATTCCCCCGTGTTGGCCAACCAAAGTGCTGGGTCTACAGGCATGAGCCGCCGTACCCAGCCTCACCTTTTCTTTATTGTGCGTTATTATCTGTACAATTTAATTTGGATGTGAATGTCTCTGAGTTGTATATGAACATCAGAGTTGTTTCCCTGGCTTGATTGTAAGCTACTTGAAAATATGCTTTACTTTTTTTTTTTTTTTTTTAATGTGCCCTACTGTGCTGGGCATATAAAATAGTAATAATATCTGAGAAAGTACTTTCACATATGTAATTTCATGCTGTCTAAATAAGTGTTGATTGCCATGTCTTAAAGTACTGCTTTTACAGTACTGGCATAGAGCTTTGATTCTGATCTGAAGTAATACTGAGGCTCATTTATTGAACTGCCTTTTAACTTTATAAGATTTTTTAAGAAAATCATTATAAGATCATTTAAGATTATTTAAGTTACTGAGGGTGAAAGGTATTTAGATAATCTGATTTATATATCTGGACTGTGATATGTCATTTGTGATTTTATTGAAAGTATAGTTTTTCAGTAGAAAAATGGTTTTTGAATTTGGGGGTTATTAAAATCTAAATTTTCATTTTGGAAGTTCACTGGTCTATGAACAAAACTTTTTAAAACGATGACTGTATTTTTTCCCTTAACTCTGTTAGGGATTTGGATCCTGCTCCTAATCCACCTCATTTTCCATCGCATGTGATTAAAGCAACATTTGCCTATATCAGCAATTGTCATAAAACCAAGTTAAAAAGCATTTTAGAAATTCTTTCCAAAAGCCCTGTAAGTATACATGATGAGTTTAATAATAGAACATTCCTTCTTTTTTAGCTAAAAAAACTTTGTAAATACATCTTAAAGAGGAAAAGTAAACAAATGAAAAATTTATCTCATAATTAAAAAGGAAAACATTCATTTACAAGTTTAAATGGTATTTTACTTGTCAGCATTAATTGAAATATGTTACATATGAGAACAGAATCTTGTGACACTTTAGTGATATATTAGCTCAGGGAATATATCTACTTTTTCATAGGAATATACTATTTAATTGTAGTTTACTTTCTGAAAATTAAATAAATTGGCAATAGTTTAAGATAGTAATTTTCTTAATGTAACATTTTGTACTTGATATCAAACCCAAATCTAAATTCTGTTATTTAGTTATTTTAAATATAAAATGTGTAGGTATTCAAATATTTGAAGAAAAAATATAAAGTGTATTTATTGTAGCCGAGTATCTAATTAAACAAGTTTTTACTAAATCTGTTTATTTTCTAGGATTCCTATCAGAAAATTCTTCTTGCCATATGTGAGCAAGCAGCTGAAACAAATAATGTTTATAAGAAGCACAGAATTCTTAAAATATATCACCTGTTTGTTAGTTTATTACTGAAAGATATAAAAAGTGGCTTAGGAGGAGCTTGGGCCTTTGTTCTTCGAGACGTTATTTATACTTTGATTCACTATATCAACCAAAGGTAAATAACATATTTAGACCAATATATAAGCAGTCTTTCTATCCTGTTCTTCCTGTTTTTTTGCTTTGTTTTGTTTTGTTTTGAGACAAAGACTCACTCTGTCCGCCCAGGCTGGGTGCAGTCACGGCTCACTGCATCCTCAACCTCCTGGGTTCAGATTATCCTTCCTCCTCACCCTGCCGGGTAGCTGGGGCTACAGGAGCATACCACCATGCCTGACTAATTTTTTGTGTTTTTTGTAGAGGTGGGGTTTCACCATATTGCCCAGGGTGGTCTCAAACTCCTGGGCTCAAGCGAACTGTCAGCCTCAGCCTCCCAGTGTGCTGGGATTACAGGCATGAGCTACTATGCCCAACCTATCCTGTTCTTTTAATTGAAAGTTTATATGCTTCTAAGAGGTAGATACCAGAATGTTGCTTTCTGAATTTTGCTTTTTAAGATGTCTATTATATTTACTTATTAGTTTTTAAAAATTGCGCTACTTGCCTGGGAAACATAGCAGACCTCGTTTCTACTAAAAATTTTTTAAAAAAGAAAATTAGGGCAAGGTGTGGTAGCTCACACCTATAATCCCAGCACTTTGGGAGGTTGAGGTAGGTAGATTGCTTGAGCCCAGGAGTTAGAGACCAGCCTGGGCAACATGATGTGAAAACCCATCTCTACAAAAATTTTTTAAAAAATAAGCCAGGGATTGTGGCATGCACCTGTAGTCTCACCTACTCCAGAGGCTGAGGTGGGAGGATGGCTTGCGCTCAGGAGGCAGAGGTTACAGGTTACAGTGAGCAAAGATTGTGCCACTACACTCCAGCCTGGGAGACAGAGCGAGACTCTTGTCTCAAAAAAAAAAAAAAAAAAAAAAAAAAAAAGAAAATTATCCAAGTATGATGATATGCGCCTGTAGTTCTAGCTACTTAGGAGGCTGAGGTAGGAGGATGGCTTGAGCTCAAGAGTTTGAGGCTGCCAGTGAGCCTTGATTGCACCACTGCATTCATGCCTGGGCAACAGAGTGAGACTTTCACTCAATTAAAAAAAAAAAAAAAAGCACTACTTCTCCAATTCTAGAAATCTTAAGAAGGATCTTCAACATTTTAATACTAATATTCTAGCTATTGATGGCCTCAAATAAATGTTACTATAGAATTGGGGTTGTTCGGCCGGGTGTAGTGGCTCACGCCTGTAATCCCAGCACTTTGGGAGGCTGAGGCGGGTGGATCACAAGGTCAGGAGATCGAGACCATCCTGGCTAACACAGTGAAACCCCGTGTCTACTAAAAATACAAAAAAATTAGCCAGGTGTGGTGGCAGGTGCCTGTAGTCCCAGCTACTCAGGAGGCTGAGGCAGGAAAATGGCCAGAACCAGGTAGGCAGATCTTGCAGTGAGTCTAATTCGCACCACTGCACTCCAGCCTGGGCGACAGAGCAAGACTCCGTCTCAAGAAAAGAAAGAAAAAACAAAAACAAAACAAGAATTGGGGTTGTTCAATTTAGCATCTCTGATCTTTTCCATTGATTTTAATGAGATTTCTATTTTTTAAGGTCTTTTTTATTGTGGTAAACTATATAACATAAAATTTTTTATTTTCGCCATTAAATGGCCAGTTCAGTAGCATCAATTACATTTCCATTGTTGTGCAACCATCACCACTGTCTATGTCCAAACTTTCATTATCTCAAACTGAACCTCTCTACTCATTCCACAATAACTCCACATTCCTCCTCCCCACTGGCCATTGAGAAACTAATCTATTTTCTGTCTCAATGAATTTGCCTATTGTAGATATTTTAATCTAGAGTTGTACAATATATGTCCTTTTGTGTCTTGCCTTGTGTGGTCACTGAAAACTTTGTACCTTAGCTTGTGTTTAGATAGTGTTTGATAGAGATTTCCTTGGATACCAAGAGTGTTGGGATGAGGAAGCATGAGAGGAGAAAACTTTTCCTAGTGTTTGCAGATTGGCTTTATGCTAGGATTCTTCTTCAACACTTAGCCATGCTTGCATTGCTTGGGATCAGCCCCAAATACAAGCTTAGGGTCTTCTCTGGTCTTTTCTGAGCAAGAGTCTTATCTTGAGCATGTGTGTGGCTTTCTGAATTCCCCCTAATTTGTGGGTGCTTTTGAATATACTAATTTCCCAAAGAAATACGCTCCCCAGCTACTCCTAGGCTTTAGGCAGCCTCTTGTATGTCTCAACAGTAATCTTTTGCCCTATGCACCTGCAGGTTGTTGGTCTGCCTTACAAAGTTTCAAGCAACACCCATATCTTTTGTAGCTGGTATGAAGTTAAACAAAACAGAGCTACGCACTTTACATCAGTCCTTGGTTCCAGACAGGTTAGAATAGACATATACAATAGTTTGCAACTAATCTACTTAGCTCCATGAACTACCATGAGCCAGTGTCTCACACCGAGGATATAGGCCACTGCTTTTGTGATTGTTGCCACGCTGGGGTAGGGGTGGGCAAGGACAAGTAAAGTTACCACAAAGCTTTCCTGCTGTTTTTCAGTTGGATTTTTCTTGATTCAATATTTTCCTGATTACTGTAAACCTTTGACTATTTTACAGAATTCTAACAAAATTAGTTCTGACAATTTTGCCTGTTTTTCAATGTTTCTATTAAAGGATGGAAGCTTAGAGCTGCCTATTCTGCATTTTGCTGATGTGACTTCTCTTTTTGGCTTATAAGCCATTAAAATATTTATGTCAAGGCATATAAGAATTAGAGATGCTGAACAAAAGGACTTCTGAATGAATTTATTTCAGAGTAATTTTCCAGAACTTACTGGTTGTTGTTGTTTTTTTTTCTCCCTATATTAGGCCTTCTTGTATCATGGATGTGTCATTACGTAGCTTCTCCCTTTGTTGTGACTTATTAAGTCAGGTTTGCCAGACAGCCGTGACTTACTGTAAGGATGCTCTAGAAAACCATCTTCATGTTATTGTTGGTACACTTATACCCCTTGTGTATGAGCAGGTGGAGGTTCAGAAACAGGTAATTTTCTGACTCATCTTCAAAATGGTATTTAAAATATATAAAGTATTGTTAGAAGGATTTGAGTGTTTTATGTTTATTTGGTATAATTGGTGATTTTATTGAGAATATTTTTTGTAAAATGATTGGAAAAATATTCTTAATGAATTAACCTTTGTAATCAATTACAGAGCACTTGGTACTTTTGATAGTTTTATCTACTGTGCTGAAGTAGAGAGGTAGTCAAAACTAGGGATAGCAGTTCGCAACGTTATGGTGGTATTTGAGTTACTACTTATATAAACTGTTTCATTAATATTGGCATTTTTTTTAACCTCAGTACCCATCTTGTAGTAGTACCTTACATAGTTATTGAATTATTTGAAAACACAGAAACTAAAAGCTGGGTATCTTAGACGTAATTAGAACATTTAATCTGATCTAGGTTAATAGATTTTATCATTTATTACAGTAAGTTTTGTTGGCTTACTTTAAAATTATTTCTCTCCTTATAATTTTTTCTTTTTAAATTATATTTAGGTATTGGACTTGTTGAAATACTTAGTGATAGATAACAAGGATAATGAAAACCTCTATATCACGATTAAGCTTTTAGATCCTTTTCCTGACCATGTTGTTTTTAAGGATTTGCGTATTACTCAGCAAAAAATCAAATACAGTAGAGGACCCTTTTCACTCTTGGAGGTAATAAAAATTTCATCATCTACTATTTTTTATTAGAGAACATAGTAGTACTTTTCAAAAATCTGTAATGCTCTAGCAGTAAAAAATGGAATCTTTTCTTTAATTGTGATTAAAAATATATACGTAGGCCAGGCACATTGGCTCATGCCTATAATCTCAGCACTTTGGGAGGCTGAGGCAGGAGGATTGCCTGAGCCCAGGAGTTCAAGACCAGCCTGGGCAACATGGCGAAACCCCGTCTCTACAAAAAATTAGTCGGGCATGGTGATATGTGCTTGTAGAATCAGCTACTCAGGTAGCTGAGATGGAAGGATCACCTGAGCCCTGGAGGTCAAGGCTGCAATAAGCCAAGATTGCTCCACTGCATTCCAGCCTGGATGACAGAGTGAGACCCTGTCTCAAAAAAAAAAAAAAAAAATATATATATATATATATATATATATGTGTGTGTATATAAACACATACTTGTGTGTGTGTAACGTGAGATCTACCTACTTAAGAAATAAAAAAATGAATCTTAATGTATCTCTTTGCATTGAAGCCAAAGTATAAATAACAAAACTTCCTGGTAAAGATCCAAATTGTAAGTTTTCAAGGAATGTGATGTAAAATAGTTTTGATTTTAACACATAAGATCCTAAGGTCCACTGATAGCTCAAAACTACCAATGGATCTTTTCAATGTCAATTTAATGTTTGTGTTAGAGATAACGTTTAACTTTTGAAAGCATATTTTAAGTTTTAATCTTTATAAACCTCGAAATTATGTTTAGGTATATTCTTCCATACATATCTTAATTATAATTTTTAAATGATAGTCTGTATTTGACTCTATGTAAATATAAAAACATATTTAAGTATGTTAAGATGTAAAGTTATACTACTAAAGAGAAATTTAAGCATTTCCTTCCAGTTGAGTATGCTATAACAATCTTGAAGTCTGTGTTACCATGAGAGAGTCTATTAGAATTTAAAGGATTAGGCTGGGTGCAGTGGCTCACGCCTGTAATCCCAGTGCTTTGGAAGGCTAAGGCGGGCAGATCATCTGAGGTCAGGAGTTCGAGACCAGCCTGGCCAACATGGCAAAACCCCATCTCTACTAAAAATACAAAATTAGCTGGGCGTGGTGGCACATTCCTGTAAATGCCACCTTTTCAGGAGGCTGAGACATTAGAATCACTTGAACCGGGGAGGCGGAGGTAGCAGTGAGCCTTGATAGCGCCACTGCACTCTAGCCTTGGTGACAGAGCGAGACTCTGTCTAAAAAAGAGTATTAAAACATTGTAGGGTTTGCAGTGGAAGAAATCATTTATTTCTTCCTTGATTAGTAGTAATAGAGACATGAGTCAGTGTCTATAAATGGCACTTAACTAATTTTTTTCTTTTATTAAGTTTTATTTCACAGGCTTAACCAATACGTGTTAAAAGCAAGTTACATTTTCTCTTTTAGGAAATTAACCATTTTCTCTCAGTAAGTGTTTATGATGCACTTCCATTGACAAGACTTGAAGGACTAAAGGATCTTCGAAGACAACTGGAACTACATAAAGATCAGATGGTGGACATTATGAGAGCTTCTCAGGGTGCTAATTTTAAATGACATGGGCTATTTCTACCTGTTTCTTTTTGAAAGAATATTTTGCAAAGTCTTGCTCTTGGTTTCATTGTCACAGACTTAGTTCAGACTCTCATCATTTAGTTCAGACCCTCATTTCTCATCTAACTGTAAAACTGGTCCTAACTGGTCTTCTCACCCTGAACTCTTCCTGTTTTATTCATCCTCTGCCAGATGATTTCTCTAAACCCAAATATGATCATGTTTTTCTACTGCCTAAATTTTTTTTTTAAGAGACAGAGTTTTTTTTTTTTTTTAAGAGTCTCACTCTGTCACCTAGGCTGGAGTGTAGTGGCACCATCATAACTTACTATGACCTTGAATTCCTGGGTACAAGGAATTCTCCTGTCTCAGCCTTCTGAATAGCTGGAACAACAGGCACACACCACTACACCTAGCTACTTTATTTATTTTTTTTATTTTTTGTAGGGACAGGGGTCCCACTATGTTGCCTAGGTTGGTCTCGAATTCTTGGCCTCAAGTGATCCTCCTGCCTTAGCCTCACAAAGCATTGGGATTAGAGGTGTGAGCCACGGCATCTAGCCATGCTTAAACATTTTTCATTTCTTTTTCTTTTTTTTTAAGACGGAGTTTCGCTCTTGTTGCCCAGGCTGGAATGCAGTGGCACTATCTTAGCTCACTGCAACCTCCACCTCCTGAGCTCAGATTCTCGTGCCTCAGCCTTCCTAGTAGCTAGGATTACAGGCACCTGCCACCATGCCTGGCTAATTTTTTGTATTTTTTTTAGTAGAGACGGGGTTTCACCATGTTGGCCAGGGTGGTCTCAAACTCCTGAGCTCAGGCAATCCGCCCACCTCAGCCTCCCAAAGTGCTGGGATTACAGGCATGAGCCACCGCGGCTGGCCCATGCTTAAACATTTTTAACACCTTCCAACCATGTAAAAGAAAATTTTAATTCCTTAGAGCCAGACATACAAGTTAGTCTTGTCTTCTAGTCCAGTTTACCTGAATGAAAGAAATATGTCTCATTTTAATACTTTAGTCATATGTGTTATGTGTGTCTATATATATGTAAGTATGTATTTGTAAGTTTTTCTAGCTTGCTTGTTAATTTGATTTGAAATGTACATTATTACAGTATTTGGGAAACTTTCTACTTTGTGTTTTGATTTTCATCTTCCTATACCAATTAATTTCATATTTCTTTTTTTTTTTTGAAACGAAGTCTCACTCTGTCGCCCAGGTTGGAGTGCAGTGGCACAGTCTCAGCTCACTGCAACCTCCACCTCCTGGGTTCAAGTGATTCTCCTGCCCCAGCCTCCCAAGGAGCAGGGATTACAGGTGTGTGCCACCATGCCCAGCTAATTTTTTGTATCTTTAGTAGAGACGGGGTTTCACCATGTTGTCCAGGCTGGTCTTGAACTCCTGACCTCAAGTGATCCATCTGCCTCGGCCTCCCAAAGTGCTGGGATTACAGGCGTGAGCCACCACGCCTGGCCTAATTTCATATTTCTCTTGTGTTGTTTTTACTCTCAGTACTTTTTAAAATGAATTTTAGTTTTGACTATCTGAGCATAGAGTTTCTAATACATTTGAGATATATAAAATGTATGTAAATAGAAACACCATTATTTCTTGTACTTGTGTTCTTGAGTATTTTATGGGCTAGAGATCTGCCTTGTGCATTACAGCCACTAGCCATTTGGCTATTTAAATGAAGTAAAATTAAATGAAATTTGAAGTTCAGTTTTTTCATTGGTACTGAACACATATCAAGTTCTCAGTAGTACATTTGGTCAGTAGTGATCATTGGACAGTGTAGATTATAGACATTTCCATCATTGCAGAAAGTTCTGTGGGACAGTGCTGGTCTAAACTCTAAATGTTAGATGTTAAAAAGCCAAGCAGGCTCCCAAAGTCCCTTCTAGCTTTAGTGTTGAATGATTCTTGTGCTTCTGTTTGTGATTTTGCTAAGGTGTTGACTTATCTGCACAATTTGTTTAAGACATTTTATTTTCTCTGTTGTCACATATTGCTAATCACTTTCAAAAGAATCTGTTGTATTAAGGAAGTTCAGATTCATTCCCTACATATTTTTTGAGCTACTCATGACTTAAAACCTTTTTTAAACTTTATAGAAGTTTTCTAGTCAGATAATTTAATATATATGCAATTATAAACAAAAGTGTTGTCTTCATGCTAGTTTAAACTAATTTTTAAAAAATTATTTCTAGATAATCCGCAAGATGGGATTATGGTGAAACTAGTTGTCAATTTGTTGCAGTTATCCAAGATGGCAATAAACCACACTGGTGAAAAAGAAGTTCTAGGTAAACTACAGTCATGCGCTGCGTGACATTTCAGTCAACTGCGGATCACATATAGGACAGATTATAATACTGTATTTTTACTGTATGTTTTCTGTTGCCTGTAGTATTCAGTATAGTAACATGCTATACAGGTTTGTAGCCTAGGTGTGTAGTAGGCTATACCATCTAGGTTTGTGTAAGTATATTCTGTGATGTTCACGCAATGACAGAATTGCCCAATGACACATTTCTCAGAACATATCTGTGTCATTAAGCAAAGCATGATTGTATTGGCGGAATGAATGTGAGTTATGCGGTGGTCATCTTTATTATATGAGTGGTTATCTTTATTATATCTTCAAAATAAGTGAGGGTTTGTCATTTGGGATATTGGGGAAATATGAGATGCTAGCTAAGTTACATGCCTATTTAATTAAAATGTCCCTAAAAAGGCCCCTTTTGTACTTTTCTTCCTTAAATATTCATATAAAATGAAAAGTTAGAGATTTACATATGTGTATAACTTAATTTGAAAATGCCTTGTAAATATTTAGGAAAGTCAGAAATACTTGTTTTTAGAGTTAAGTTGCAAATAAATTGACTGCCGATATATTTTATAAATACATTATAACTGACAGGTACTCAGTGTCTTTTGTTATGTAGCAGACATAAGAATGAAGACTTGGAGGGCTAGATTAAACTTAAATAATTAAAAACCATTCAAGTCCTTTCCTACAGCCATTTGAGGGGAAACCTAATGTAAAATAAGAAGCCAACATCATCTCTAGTTTAGGTGTTTAGATTTAGTGACCACGGGATGGAGAAATCACCTGGTTAAAGTCAGCTTGAAGCTCTCGTGATGGTTTTTGTTTCTAATTAGAAAAATAGGAATAAGTAGTGTTTCACAGATTCTACTATCTTTCTTCAACAGCCTTAACTTCTCATTAGGAGCCTAATATCTACAGTACTTCCTTTTTTGTAGATTTTAAAAAATTGAGATATATCCTAATATAGAAAAGTATACAGATCAAAAATATCTAGCTTGAAGAATGTTTGCAGAGTACGCTTGTACATGTAGCACCCAGACTAAAAAACAGAATCTTACCAGAACTGTAGAAGTTTTCTTTAACCAACATACTTACCTCCTTGTCCATAGTGGCACTGCTTTTATGGACAGACCTGATTTACAACAGAAGCCCTAAGTGGCTTTCCTGTGTAGCATAAAATTAATGTGGTTTGTTCTCACAGCTTTCCCCCTAAGATCAGGAATGAGACAAGGCTGTCCACTTTCACTACTGCTGTTCAACAGTGTACTGGAAGTTCTAGCCAGAGCAATTAAACAAGAAAAAGAAATTAAAAGCATGCCAATTAGAAAGGAAGTAAAACTATCTGTATTTACAGACGACATGATCTTATGTATGGAAAATCCCAGAGAATCCACAAGAAAGCTACTGTAGTGCTAATAAATGAATTTAGCAAAGTTGCAGGGTACAAGATCAACACATAATTAGTGGTGTTTGTATATACTAGCAGTGCACAATCCAGAAAGAATTAGAAAAGCAATTCCATTTACGATAGCATCTAAAAGAAATAAATAGCCAGGAATAAATTTAATCAAAGAGGTGAAAAACTTATATACATTCTGTTTGTTAGACGTGAGTCACTAAGTACAGACCACACTCAACGGGAGGGAAGTTAGGCTCTACCCTTTGAAAGAAGGGCTCTCAAAAAATTTGTGAACATATTTTAGTAAATACCATCATGATGGAAAGAGCACGAAGAGCCCTCTGGGTTGCTGAAAATGTCCTGTCTTCATCTGGTTAGGGAGAACACAGGCAGAAAAAAATGTGTATTTGTATGTATAAATTTTCATTGAACTGTGTGTTTAAGATTATGGAATTTGTGTGATACCTCAACAAAAATTTTAACAGTTTTAAGGTTGATTCTCTCTCTCTTTTTTTTTTTTTCTTTTGTCACCCAGGCTAGAGTGCAGTGGTGCCATCTTGGCTCACTGCAGCCTCCGCCTCCTGGGTTCAAGTGATTCTCCTGCCTCAGCCTCCTGAGTAGCTGGGATTACGGGCCTGCGCCACCACGCCTGGCTAATTTTGTATTTTTAGTAAAGATGGGGCTTTACCATGTTGGCCAGGCTGGTCTCGAACTCCTGACCTCAGGTGATCCGCCCGCCTCTGTCTCCCAAAGTGCTGGGATTACAGTCGTGAGCCACCGCACTCGGCCTTAAGGTTAATTCTTGAAGTACAGAAAAACAGCATTATAGTTTTGAAATTAGAAAATTTCAGTTTTATGTATGATCTCTTACCTATGACTCTACTGAAATAGAATTTCTATATGTAGAGGCTGTTGGAAGCTGCTTGGGAGAAGTGGGTCCTATAGATTTCTCTACCATAGCTATACAACATAGTAAAGATGCATCTTATACCAAGGCCCTTAAGTTATTTGAAGATAAAGAACTTCAGTGGACCTTCATAATGCTGACCTACCTGAATAACACACTGGTAGAAGATTGGTGAGTATTTATTGATACCTTATATGTAATCTCAATATGACATTCATGGAGAATGATACTTCACACAAATAGATATTCTCAGTAACTAAAGCTTTGTCCTTTTTTAAATCTCAGTGTCTTTATGAAAATTCTTATATTTTTATTAATTCACATAATTATTTACCCTACTATGTGCCAGACACTTGATATAATGGTGAACATTCCAGACAAGGTCCCTGTTAAAATTTTAGTGGGACTAGACAAATAAACGATAAATAAGAAAAATGCCAGATGGTTCTACACAGAAAATTAAGATAGGGGAATATAAAGGGAGATGTTTTAGGCTCTTGTCAGTATCAGAGGTGCCACTCTCCTCTAAGCGAGGCCTTATTTTGATCCTTTTAAAATAAGTCGTAAAGCAGAGAGGTTGTTTTATAATCCTAGAAGTCTTAAGCTAATCAGACAGGGTCTTCTATTACTTATTCTCTGTGCAAAGCAGAATTGCACCACATATCAAAATTTCAACTGGTTGGTTGAGATTACTTTTGCGTGCATGCTCTTTCTCTCTCTTATTTATTTGTTGATTGATTGATTGGTATCTTTGAGTACTCCATCACCACCATATTTGATGGTAGCCTCAAAGGGTTTTCCTCACAACCAGGCACCTTTCTAAGATAAATACGTGTTTTGATTTTTTTCTGTACTTCCCTTCCTCCTTCTCTTGAGGAATAAATGATTGGCAATAATGTCTAACTGCCATGTTTCCGTTATTGATTTAATGTACCTGTATATTTCTTTCTTTTGTTGTTGTTTTTGTTTCATTAAACAAATTTGTATGGTTTCTTTCCAAACATTTTATTATAAAAAGTTTCAAACATACAGCACAATGGAAATAATTTTATAGTAAACACCCATATGCTTATCATATAGTATCTATATTTTATGCTGTCCTTGCTTAATCACTTCTAGCCATCCGTCTATCCTTGTGTTAACATGTATTAATTCATCTCTCTCTTTTTTTTTTTTTTTTTTTTTTGAGACAGGGTCTCGCTCTATCACCCAGGCTGGAGCGCAGTGGCATGATAATACATCATAGATCATAGCTGACTGTAACCCCAAATTCTTGGGCTCAAGCAGTCCTCCTGCCTCAGCCTCCTAATGTGCAAAGTTTATGTGCTTGAGCCACACCACACTCAGCCAGTTCATCTCATTTTTTAAATGTATATCAAGGTATATCAAGCACAGTTTTTGAAGAGAGTGCCACAGAAAATTTGCGAGCATTAAATGTTTCATTCATTTCATAGTAATTCGAAATTGGTTTTTCTGAAACAGATGCACAGAAATATTAGTGTGACTTCAACTTAAGAATACTAGGAAGCAGGTACAAGTTTTTTGTATTTTTCTTTAACAGGGAAAAACTTTAGATCTTCAAGGGACTTTAGCATATGAAGATGTGGACAAAAGGATTCCCAGAATTTTTATTACTTATATGTATTAGAACATATTATTTTCAAGTATTTCTTGAGTCTTTTTAATTTATAGTAGTCACAATTAAACTGTATTGAATGAAGGGAATTGCAGTTGCAGTGATTAGTAATTCAAGTTTACTGAATGACTAGTGAAAGTCCTTTGATACTTTTATTTGATATTGGAGAATTTTGTAAATGTAAAGTTTCCTAATACAAATTTTAAATTTTAGTTTTGAAATTTTTTCAGTGGAGGTTAACATTCATCAAGATTAATAACTGGTGTACTTGATAGGCATTTGAATTGTTTTTTTCAGTGTCAAAGTTCGATCAGCAGCTGTTACCTGTTTGAAAAACATTTTAGCCACAAAGACTGGACATAGTTTCTGGGAGATTTATAAGATGACAACAGATCCAATGCTGGCCTATCTACAGCCTTTTAGAACATCAAGAAAAAAGGTCTCTTAAGTAATAAATGTTTATTGAATACCCAGCATATCTAAAACAGTTCTGTTTGCTGTGGGTCATGACTGTTAAATTGCTTGAAATAGTATTGTACTAACTATTAACCTTTCCTATAAGTAATTTAAGCCATATTTCATAAATCCAGGGAATGTGTTATTTTTAATTTATTATGGCAGTGTGGAAAAGCTCAGATAGGTAACCTGAGGAAATAGTAGTTGATTTTTGGGGGAGGGGAAATTCTTAAAGACAGACCTTGTTTTTTTAGAAATAGAAAGCGCTACTTTGCTCCCATGAAAGCTGTTAGCTCTGGGTATGGTTTATAGTTATTGTGATCCACAAGTGTTTATTTCCATGTCAAGTTAACATATCACAATCCCCTGGTGAAATATAGGAAGACCCATAGATTTCTCCCTTTTTCCATGTTGATATCGTAATAAGGTTCCACTGTAAGTATTCTGTGAAGCATGTTTAAGAACACTTGTTCCTTCCTTAGTCTAAGCATTCCTCTTTACTATCTTCTTTTCATAAAGTGACTGAGAAATACACAGTTTAGTTTTCACCAATTTAATTTCAGGGCAGAAACCCAACATTGAAGCAGTACTTTCAGTGCATCATAAATATAATTTTAGTGTTAGTAAAATTACTGGTAATATAAACTGTTAATGAAACTAATAATATAACCTGGAAGGCATTATAATTCTAACATTTTAAAATCTCATTTCATTTTGAAATCAAGTCTCTGTGGTAGATGTGGTCTAGTTTTGTTCAAGAGACAGATGAGTCAGAGTTTGTGATTTGTGTAATATGCTACTAATGAGTGACAGAGCTGAGAGTAGAACCTAATTTTTCTGCTGCCTAAAGCAGCAGTTTTTGCCATACCACTCTGCCTCTTGTATAAACATAAATGTTTTCATCTTAAAAGGTAAACATTGCCTCCAGATTTAGTTTTAACTGTATTTAGCTTTATTCAGAAAGATTTGTTATACTCATTTTGTGTAGGAAAGGTACAATGATTTCCACTTCTCTTATTTACATTTTCTAATCCCTTTCTTTCTAGTTTTTAGAAGTACCCAGATTTGACAAAGAAAACCCTTTTGAAGGCCTGGATGATATAAATCTGTGGATTCCTCTAAGTGAAAATCATGACATTTGGATAAAGACACTGACTTGTGCTTTTTTGGACAGTGGAGGCACAAAATGTGAAATTCTTCAATTATTAAAGCCAATGTGTGAAGTAAGAAGATTAATTAGTCTGATATAATTCCTTGTTTATGACCTGTTTATCTAAAGAGTGCTGTGATACTGCACATCATCTTCACATAATATCACCCCCACTCAAACTGTTGTAAATTTATTAAAGTGAGCATCCGTATTTAGTCATAACTTTATGCATTAGGTTTCAGCTTCGGGATAGCAACATACTAGAGGAGTTCTAAGGGGTGCCTTGAATAATTTGTTACTAATGATAGTTAAAATACTGCTGATTATAAATTATTTGCATTAACCAAGAGCCTGTTCTAACTTTGTTTACGTCTTCTGATAAGAGCACCTTTATTTTCCCTGATATGCTTTCTTGAATAAGAAAAAGGAGTGGGGCAGCAATCAGCATAGCTTTTTTATTTTTGAGGATATAGTACAATTTATCTCAACGAAGAGTAAAGGTACATACCAAATGAAACAAAGTTTGTACTCTTCCATCAAATGTGTAATCTAAAACAGCATACTATGATGCTCTAAGATTTACAGAGTTAATTTATAGCACTGTCAAATGTGATTCAACAGAAATGTGAAAATACAACATCTGATGAGGTCAAACATCTGCTGATTACAGATAACTGATAGAGAAGTATTTTCGTAATGTACTCACATTGAAAGCAATGTAAGAAGCAGTTCTTATTTTCTACAGAAAAAGTAGTGACAGTGAATAAAACATCACCTTCTCTGCAATACTACACCGCACTCATACCAATTCAGCAGAGTGGTACCCTGAACACACATACAGCTTATTTCTCATTAGTGAACAAAGCTAAGATTTTTATAAAGTTTTACCTTTGAGCCAGAAAATAAAATGTTCCAAATATACATATGTACACACCCCATTTGTGGTACTTTAAATTCTCTAGCTCTAAAACTGGTGTTTTGCCTTGTCTTTGGTTTGAAAAAGAAAAAGGGTGCAATTAGTAATCTATAACCTGTCTTATGTGTGTGAAGTATGATGAATATGATGGATATGGAGTGTAATGATTCATTCATATGTTAAATATGGAGTGCGGTGAATAGCAAAAGTAAAGCTGAATACTGTTTTAATGTGCCAGATGTATTGGAGCACTTTTCTGCTCTTTGGAATATACCACAAATAATTACCCAAATTTTATGCCCAGAAGTTGGGCTTATTAAAAAATAAACATTTTTAACATGACTGTTGTAGTTCTTCACTGAGGTTAGAAAATGCATAAAAATCAGATTTCCAACTTTTGTCTTAAACTTTTGATACCTTTTTCCCTCTTCTATCATATCAGAAAACTCCTTCTGTTACTAACGCTTTTCAACTCTGAAATTGTATTTAAAGTGGTGATATAATTTCATTTGTAAGCAATATTCTGTTTCATTATGGTAATGGCCTAGACTGGAAATAAACAGTTACAGTGTCACTAACATATATATTTGATATTGATATACTAGCCTAGTGTGGTTTTTTAAACACCACCTAATACATGTTTTTTGTTTGTTTTTTTAGCAGTATGTTGAGTTTATGGCAGATTAATCTATCATCTTTTAGAAATTTAATATGTCAACGGGGCATGAAAATTTTAAGTAAAATGTATTAATTTTACTCATTTTTACTCAAACTATTGGGTGGATTTGTTTGTATATTCTAGGTGAAAACTGACTTTTGTCAGACTGTACTTCCATACTTGATTCATGATATTTTACTCCAAGATACAAATGAATCATGGAGAAATCTGCTTTCTACACATGTTCAGGGATTTTTCACCAGCTGTCTTCGACACTTCTCGCAAACGAGCCGATCCACAACCCCTGCAAACTTGGATTCAGGTATTCTATTAAATTTTTAACATTAATACTGTAAACTCAGTTCTAGAGAAAGATGGATTTAAGATGGAATCCCACTAAAAGCACTTTACAGGATTAAATCTATAACCTCTAAATTTGTTTCTTCATCTATGGAATGGAGATAAAAGTTGCCAACAGTTGCAACAAGTTTTCAATGAAATAATGTGTGTAAAGTGCCTAGGATAGTACTTGATGTATAGTATTCCCTCAGTACATTTTGGCTATTGATAATGGGTCAACTAATTGAGCTTTCAATATGTGTCAGGCACTGTGCTTGCACTGGCAATATTAATGTGAAAAAGAAACACCCACATTCTAGCAATGGAAAAAACAAACACAATCAGATATTTTAGGTACTGTGGTGCAGATACGATAGAATTTTCATATTTTCAGAGCTCTGGCCAACTCAATTTAAAAAGCAGCCTTTGGCCGGGCACAGTGGCTCACGCCTGTAATGCCAGCACTTTGGGATGCCAAGGTTGGTGGATCACTTCAGGTCAGGAGTTCAAGACCAGCCTGGCCAACGTGGTGAAACCCCGTCCCTACTAAAAATACAAAAATTAGCCGGGCATGGTGGCAGGCGCCTATAATTGCAGCTACTTGGGAGGCTGAGGCAGGAGAATCACTTGAACTCAGGAGGTAGAGGCTCCTGAGGCTCACTAGCCAAGATTACACCACTGCATTCCAGACTGAACGACACAGCGAGACTGTCTAAAAAAAGAAAAAAAACCCTTTGTATAACTATAATTAACATTTAGTGTATATCCTTCTAATTGTTTAAAACAAAAATTGAACTGTACTTTATTTACTCTTATAACCTACTTTCCTTCTATGACATATAATGGGTATTTCTCATGCCAAGAGCATAATAGCAAAAGAAATTCCACCAAGGGTTGGGTATGTATAATACATATATGCATGCTTGAAGGCTCATTATGGGTCAGTTTTTTAAACCTAAATTTTATAAAAGGATACAAAATTCACAGATCTTTATTGTTAACTGTCTTTATTATATATTATTAATGTGTTTTATATGCAAACATAAAGCTAGGTGCAAATTCACTTGTTGTACTTAAAGACCAATCAATTCTAATACAAATGTTGATTTAATGTGATATTTTGCCACAACTAATCTGCTCCTCCCAATCCTTCCAGTCACTTCAGCAAAGGTTGTGATTACTCAGTTCTTCCAATTGTTTCTTTTAGTTTTACTGCTACAACCTTCATTTGACATGACTCTAATGTCATTTAGACTTCAGTTTGCTATGCTTTATATTTTATGTATTTTATTTTCTGTTGGCTAACAGCAATTACAAATCTACTATTTGGAAAAATATAAATTATAAACATAGACATAGATGCCCATCCTGTGATCCTACTAGATTATAGGCTGTTCTCTAAATGATCTAGAATGTGCTTATATGAATTTTCCTTAGGCCACTGAAATGAAAATCCTAAAATAAAAATTCTCATAGAGGCTTTGTAAACTATCTAAAATGTATCTCTTATCTTTAATTGGGAAAATACAGGTATAAGTGATTTAAGCATTTAAAACTTTAATATGTAATTTACAGTACTATTAAAAACAATTTTTATTACATAGTTTAAGGTAATCATTGTTTATGATAATCTGGTAATTTGTTATCATGAACATGGCCAAGACTTTTTTCATGTTTATCACTTATGTATTTATGTCACAACCATTGGAAGGTAAAGTAACTGTTTTATTTTATCTGTATACAGTGCCAATATTTTTATTACCTTAAGTGAAAATTTAAACTTCACATATAAAATTCTGTTATTGAAAAGGAAATACATATTTTTGTAAAATTTAAATGGTGTATCTTTTCTGATGGCTATAAGCCTCATTGCCTTCACTAAACGTCCCATGTGCATCTCAAACTCAGCTGTCCAAAAGCAAACGTGTCATCTTCTTCATCCCTTCCCCCAGCCTACTTTTTTAAATGTGTACCTTTTTGACAAATGGCACTCAGTTGCTTACTCTAGAAACCTCTCTCACGTATTTCATCTGATTACCAAATCTTGCCAATTCCATATTATGAATAACTTAGTCCATTTGTTTCTCTCTGCCCTTAGCATCCTTACTGCTTTCTAGCTCCATGATTTAGCACAGTTGAAATTCTTTCATTAAATTTTCCAAGTTATTTCTTGCTTCCAGCCATCTCAGATATTATTATTATTGCCTGTAGCACTATCCTTTCCTGCTCTGATGACTATTACTCTTCTTTCAGATATCACTTTTTCTTTTTTCTTTTTTTTTTTTCTTTTTTTCTCTTGAGACAGAGTCTCGCTGTGTCACCCAGGCTGGAGTGCAGTGGTGCAATCTCGGCTCACTGCAACCTCTGCCCCTCAGGATCAAGCAATTCCCGTGCCTCAGCCTCCTGAATAGCTGGGATTACAGATGTGTGCCAGCATGCCCTGCTAATTTTTGTGTTTTTAATAGAGATAGGGTTTCACCATGTTGGCCAGGCTGGTCTCAAACTTGGCCTCAAGTGATCCGTCCGCATCAGCCTCCCAAAGTGCTGGGATTACAGGCATGAGCCATTGCACTTGGCCAGTATCACTTTTTCTATGAAACTTTTCTTGTCTAGGTGAGGTTCCCTCTGCTAAGCTTCTGTAGCATTTTAAACTTTCCTATTATAACACTTATCATATTGTGTTGTAATGTCCCAGGCTAGTCAGTGAGTTCTGTGTGGTCTGACATGATCTGTCTTGTTCATGCTTATATACTGAGGACCTAGCACATAAAAGATCTTATTGAATCAATTAATTAGTCCTCCTTTGAAATAAAATATAAATTACAATGTAAGTTCTCACTTTTTTTAAGATAACAGTTTCTTTTAAAAGCAAAAGAAATCCTATTAAATTCCTTCAGAACCAATTTTGTGTTAGGTACTGCCCACCAGAACCTTATAGCATAGTGGGAGACAGACACATAAACAAGAAGGAAGAAGGTGTGTAAGCAAGAATGCCTGGGACTGAGGGGAGATATTTTTGTTTGTCAGAGTCAGAGCACTTTTTCCGATGCTGTTTGGATAAAAAATCACAAAGAACAATGCTTGCTGTTGTGGACTACATGAGAAGACAAAAGAGGTAATGTAATGAGTGTTGCTTCTTACGTTTAGGATCTAGAGTGTAACTTGTTAACTATCGGCTGAATTTTAACATGATTATTTTAGGTGAAGGTGTTGCAAAGTGTTATATTTAATTTGTGTGATATTTATATCTCCTTGCAGTAATCCATATTCAGGATAGCAGTTTGGTTAAATCAGTGTCAAGAACTCTCAATTCTAGTACCAGCTGTACCAGTAACCATGTTACCTTTGTTAAATTATGCAGCCTTCTTGGCTCCAATTTATTTCATCTATGTTAGGGATAGGAGCAAGTGTTTTTCCAAGTTACATTTAGCTGTATTACCCCTCTTTTTACTTTTCTCTTTGCTTTAGTTCTAAGAAGTAAATAGAGTTGTGTAAATGTCTTCTTTATGTATCTTTATTTTAAGATGTAAGTTTCTTTACTGTGTGCAGTGGTCTCAAAATCTGTGGCAATACTGTGCTGTGACAATGTTTATTTTCTTGTTTCTGGTAAATTGTTTTATAGTATAGTATCTTTGTTCCTGTTATTTCTCATGAGATTTTTAACAGTGCATACAGAAATTGCTAGAATGGATGGTCTGACTGATGAGTACTGCTTGAGAGTTGACCAGAACTCTGAAGAAATAGTGTAGTAGGCCTATAATTTGAATAGGTAGGAATCGATGTCTCATAAGTGTGTATGGTGGTGGTAGGGGTGGTTGGTAAAGAATGAGAGGGAGAGGTGAGTGAAAAATGAAATGTTTTTAAGCCTAAATGCATTAATATCTTAAAAAATTAATTCCTATGTAGTCTTAAACCATTCTTCTTCTCTAGTAGAAAAAGAAGTTTTATGCTTTTCAGTGTCTTTGCTTCTGGTTATTTTACCTTAGAGTTTTATACCAGATTATCTTCTGAGGAGGCCTATCAGAAGCTTTAATGTAGTGGAGAGCATTTGTTTTCTTGGTGTTGGGAGGCAGTTTTACCTTTGAGTCATTCATTTCAGACTTACCATTGGGGTAGAATGGTGTTGACATTAGCAGGAGTTGGAGAAGATAAAAATTCTTCATATTCCATTTTAATGCTGAATAAGATCCTGAAGAATATTCCTGGAGAAAGTATGAATGGGATATAGAAAAACGGGTAAAGACATGCATTCAAGTCCAAGCTTGTGCTGTGTAAAAATTACTTGTTATCCTGTACAGTATGTTGGGCAAAAACAAAGAACAACAATAAAACAACAACAACAAAAAAATTGCTTGCTGTCTTTGAACCTCAGTCTTATCATCTTTCAAAATCAGAATAATGTCTGTAGTGTCTTCCTTTCCATGGGGAAATTATTTCACTTCTCTGAACTTAACATTCATCGGAAAATTAACTTTAGTTGAGTGCTTGCTGTGTAGTAGGGTGTGCCTTATTCATCAGCTTTGCAGGCATTATTTAATTGTTGCACCCATTCTCCAAGGTCCATGTTGTTCCAGCATTTGCAAGTAAGGAAACTAGGAAACTGAGGTTTAAGAAGTTAAGTTGCTGAAGATCACACAGCTGGTAGTAGGCAATATAGCTAGATTTGAACCTACCTGTATTGTACTTCAACACTAGTGCTCTTAAGCACTACCATGTCCCATCTCTACAATGCTAGTTTTGAAAAAGATACTATCTATGGTCCCTTTCAATCTTGACCTACCTATTAACACAGTGGAAGATTTTTATTAAGTAACTCAACCTAGGCAATACATTAAGGAGAAAATAAGTCACAATAGGAAAGACATGTATTTGTGTCTTAGATGAAACAATATTTTTTATTAAATTGACTGTTTTAAAGTGTGTGTTGGGGGGTGCTTGTGTGCATTTGTATTAGCTATTCTGTGTATCCTATTCTTAGTCTGTGGTACATGGATTTCTTGGTAGAGAGCAGATATGAACCCCAATTTTGTATCAGGTGATAGTCTACAGGTTTTATCAGATTCTCTGATAGGTTTGAGGGAAAAAAGAAAAACCAAAAAGATTAATTAAATAGGACTCTTCAGCCATGTTATCTTATAATGTTTATAGGTATATATTGGGGAAATGTGGTTTTTGGGAATTTGTAATTTTCTGTTAAGCAGTCACTACCATTGTATTCTATATCAACATGCTTTTATTTTGATATTGAAGTTTAAAAAAGTGAATGACATTATATCTCATTTTTCTTTAGACCTTCTTCAGGAACAATTTTTAATGATGCTTTCTGGCTGGATTTAAATTATCTAGAAGTTGCCAAGGTAGCTCAGTCTTGTGCTGCTCACTTTACAGCTTTACTCTATGCAGAAATCTATGCAGATAAGAAAAGTATGGATGATCAAGAGAAAAGGTAATGGAATTTAGAATTTTTGGTTTTTAAAATTAATGTTGGCATTGTCTCAATAAGGGTATATAGTAAAGATTTATTTTGCCTCCTGTTCCCCATTTAAAAGATATTTTAGATAGAAATTTTGTTTTAAAGTGAAATTATAATAAATTTTTAAAAAGGAATATGTAATTCCTGTTCTGAAATAATAGGAATGCTTATTACTTAGGTATTATAAAAATTTAACAGATAGCAAATTCCTATAGGACAGAGTCCATACTTAATTTTCTGTATATTCCCCATAATAGCCCTAGCATTGAGAACTTAATTTAAGGGTGATAAATATTTTTCAAATGATTAAATTATTTCCTAACTTCAGTCAGATTAGATTTACCACTAATTTCTAAACTATTCAAGATTCATTTTGGATATAAAATATCCAAAATTATAATCCAAAATGGCTATAATGTGACTGATTTATTTCTGTGACTAATTAAGTTTCATTTCTTTATCTACCTATATTTCTAGTGAATTTAATTCGCTTTCCTCTGACTGAGTTAGAACTGTCATAAGAATCTAATAAATATACTCCTAGATCATGGGGAAGAACAAAAAATAAGAAAGTAAGAGTAAAAAATAAAGTAAAACACTTTATTATCCCAACTGCTCTTTTCAAATGTTTGTTCGTTTGAAATGGCCTGGGTCTCATTATTTCGCCCAGGCTGTGGTGCAGTGGTGCGATCATAGCTCACTGTAGCCTTGATCTTCCGGGCTCAAGTGATCCTCCTGCCTCAGCCTCCAAGTAGCTGGGACTATAGGCACACACCACTGCATCCAACTCATTTTTTTTAATTTTTATTTTTAATAGAGACAAGATCTTGCTATGTTGCTCAGGCTGGTCCCAAGCTCCTACGTTCAAGCAGTCCTCCCACCTCAGCCTTTCAAAGTGCTGGGATTACAAGCATGAGCCGCTGCACCTGGTCCCAAATTGTTTTTTAAAGCGGTTATACCCATTTGTGTACAGAAATGTAGTTGATAAGGAAGTGGATCGGTAGGAAGCCTTATATTTGAAGAAGGGTGCCAAAGTATAACTGTTCCTAGTTTAGTTAAAAAAGTAAAGAAGGTTGGGCACAGTGGCTCACGCATGTAATCCCAGCACTTTGGGAGGCCAAAGTGAGAGGATTACTTGTGACCAGGAGACTGAGACCAGCTTGGGCAACATAGTGAGACCTCAGCTCTACTAAAAATAAAAATAAATCAGCTGGGCATAGTGGCCTGCACATGTAGTCCCAGCAACTCAGGAGGCTGAGGGAGGAGGATCGCTTGAGCCCAGGAGGGAGAGGCTGCAGTGAGCCATGATTGTGCCACTGCACTCCAGCCTAGGCGACAGAGCGAGACCCTATCTCATAAACAAAAAAAAAAAAATTAAGAAACTGGAATATGTATATAGGTAAATATTAGAGGCAGTATCACTTATGATAGTATTTATTTTATGTACTAGATTATTACTGTTATAGACACCACAGCTGTCATGGTTTTAGAATTGAAGTTACTTACAGAACTGAATGTTATATGTATAAAATGCATAAAGTTAAGGCCTTGAAGTAGGCAAATCTGAGTTCTAATCCTGACTGTCAAACTTTCTAGTTTTATAGTCTTGGTTTAAGTGGATCCTACTGATCTACTTCCTTTTCAATAGTTAATATCAGATGTCTTAAATTTATATCTGTTAAGTATTAAATTCTGTCTTATTGTGGTCTTTATTTGTGTGTCTGTAATTATTGATTGGGTTGAATTTCAGGTGAAACCACTGACAGAGTATATAGTACCTGAATTGGATGGCATCTGCTCTATTTTTAAACAATCCAATCTCTTTATAAATAATCATATTTTTGCATATAGGCTTCCCATATGTAGATTATTCTTAAAATATAATTTTCATTCACAAATTCCTTTTCCATCCTAGGTATAAATGGTATTATGTTTTAAAGTATAAGTGATTTATTCTGTTTTGTTTGCCACCTTCATTAGTTTTTTTCTGTCAAAGTCTATAGTATATGTATTCAGGAGCTTCCAAATAGTATGTTCTCATTAAAAGAGGTGTTCTTGTGACAAACAGAAGTCTTGCATTTGAAGAAGGAAGCCAGAGTACAACTATTTCTAGCTTGAGTGAAAAAAGTAAAGAAGAAACTGGAATAAGTTTACAGGTAAATATTAGAGGCTCTATTATTTATGACAGTATTTATCTCATACTTTGGGTTATTTTGTTATAGACACTGTACAGATGCCATGTGATTTTTAAACTGAATTTACTTACTGGACTAAGCATCATATATATAAAATTATGGTCTGAAGCTTAAGCCTTAGAGTAGACAGACTTGAGTTCTAATACTGACTCTGCCACTTCTTGAGTTCCTTATCTGAAAGACGAAGGTAAAACCACCTGTCTCAGAGTTTATGCCATGCATTTTCTGCCATAGCACCCTGTTCATTTCCTTTATAGCACTTAGGGTTTATAATTATATATTTATTTGTTTGCTTGTTTATTGTATGTTACAGAAGAAGCAGATTGCCTCTTCTATAAATTTCTTGATATCCATTCTTAAATTGGCTCATGTTACTGTCTGGGATGCTTGCCGAATTTCTTTGGTCAACTCATTCCTCCACAATGACAATTTCAGCTTCTCCATTCTGCTTAAACCTCTCATCTTCTCTTCTATGCCGCTGCTTTCAGCCTGCCTCCTACTTGGAGAAAATAGAAGGCATAGAGAGGAAATCTCGCCACATCCCACTCTCAAACATTGAAATCTCCTGGCATCTCCTCCTTTAATAATCTTCCGTCATGTTACAGAAACAGTTTATCCTTCTATTTGAGACTAATTCTTCCTGTGCTTTGTTTTTTTATCTGCTCTTTCTCAGGTGCTTTATTTTTTAATATGCTGTTCTCCCTCTGAACTATGTTCTGAACATTTTAAAACCTCTCCTGTTTAAAAATTCCCTTTCTCACAAAGACAAAATAATTTCCCTCTTCCCTATGTTCTCTTTTAGGTATCACCCTCTCTCTTCCTTCCTCTCACAGACAAACTTTGTGAAAGAGTTGTCCATATTTGCTGTCTGCATTTCCCCCCCTTCCATTTATTCCAGTAAAATAGCACTTGCTAATGTCTCTCATAAACTTCATGTTGCTAAGTCTGGTGGTCACCTTTCATTCTTCCTTTTCCTTAATGTTTTATTAATACTTCACATCATCAACCATGCCTTGCTTGAACTGTGTTCTGTTTACCTTTTTGATCCACTCTCCTGATTTTTCTCCTTTCACTTTTGCCTTCTTCATAGGCTCCTCCTCTCTACTGAGTTTTTGGAATATCGTGTGTGTACTAAGCACTGTGCTAAGCATGGGTACTGAACTTTTCTACTCTGAGGACTTGATTTCACGTTATGAATAGAAACATTTGAGTTGGAACTATAGAATTATGCCAATATAAATGAATTTGTGTGTAGAAAATATTTCACAGAGCAAGCACCATATAGGCAGTTCAATTGCTTGATCAATTTTCTATGCAGTATAGTTCCTAGTTTTTTCTATTTTATTTTTTTTATGTTTTCATTTTTATTTAACTGAGATTGTTTTAAACAGAATATATCTTTTCTGTGTAAATTTTACAACAAAGATTTCAGTAACCAAACTACTTTATCCATATCAAATTTTACCAATTCCAATACAGTTTTGTGCTATTTTTCAAAGAAAAATCCACGACCTTTATTCTTACCAAATTGAGTTTTCAAGAGTCAGACTTTGTAGGACTGTATTTTCTAATGTACAGTTTTTTTGTTTTTTTTTCCAGACAGGATCTGGCTCTGTTGCCCAGGCTGGAGTGCAGTGGTGCAGTCATAACACACTGCAAGCTCTGCCTCCCAGGCTCAAGCCATCCTCCAACCTCAGCCTCACAAGTAGCTGGGACTACAGGCATGCCCCACCATCTCCAGCTAATTTTTGTAGAGATGGGTTTAGCCATGTTGCCCAGGCCGATCTTGAATTCCTGAGCTCAAGCAGTCTGCCTGCCTTGGCTACCCAAAGTACTGGGATTAAAGATGTGAGCCACTGCACCCAGCCCATGTACAGTTTTAGGTGTTGACAAGATTGTTTGGTTTTGTTTGTGTGATTTTTTTTTTTTTATGTGATATAAGCCTGGTAGGTCGGTACTTATTTCTTATCTAATTCATGAAATTGTAGGCAATTCTTCTCGGGTAGACTACAGTCCTCCTGTTGTCTAGGACCAGTCTACTGTGTTGCTGATCCAAATCATTAGTATATACAGTTGACCCTTGAACAGTGTAAGGGTTAGAGGTGCTAACCCCCTGTGCTATTAAAAATCAGGGTAAAACTAAATTAGTAGTCAAAAGTTAACTACTAATAGTCTACTGTTGACCAGAAGCCCTACCGATGATATAAACAACACAATTTTGTATATGTATTATATACTGTATTCTTAAATAAAGTAGCTTGAGAAAAGAAAATGTTATTGAGAAAATGATAAGGAAGAGAAAATGCATTTACAGAACTGTACTGTGTTTATCAATACCGTAAGTTTATATCATCTGTTTACAAAGAATCATCTGTCTGAAATTGTAGGCAACCACTGCTGGTTGATATGTACTTTAGGCCTCAATCTACAGAATGTATCAAACAATTCACCTTTTTCTTGTAATGGCATGACTTTTCTCTGCATCTTGGAAGCACCTCCAGCCACTGTGGTGTTAATCAAGGCTTATAGTATTGCAGTAAACACAGTGAAAAAATACATGAGAACCTGGAGAGATTACTTTTCATTTCTGGATACAATTTACTAGAGAAATGAACTGCTCATGTGGAAATTATTAGTGTCACATGGCATTTTAAGCAGATACTCACAACACAATAATGCTTACCACAGTAGCAACTGAGGTAGCTGCAAAATTATTACAATAGTACAATATGTACGATAGTTAATCTTATGCAATTATGATTTAATACTGCATCTTTACATTTGTTTATATTTGTCTTAACCACAAATAATGCTGTGTACAGTGTGTGTGTGTAAGTTTTGATAAATTTTAACTCTTTGTAATAGATTTGTGTATATTTTATGGTAGTAAATGATGAAATGTATCATATCAAATGTATACAAATGATGGAATGTGTAGACTAGTTGTACATTTATTTTATGCATTCATGACATAACTTTTAAAAAATTTTTCAGTAGTTCTAAACTGTGTGGTTTGTGAATTTTTTCAAATTGTGGCAAACCTCCAAAAAGTTTTCAATATATTTATTGAAAAAAAAATCCACATATAAGTTGTCCTGCACAGTTCAAACTCGTGTTGTTTGAACTGTATTTCAGAACTGTATTTCAGAATCATTACATTTTATTTCTATAACATAACATTTAGAGTTGGGAGTTACATATTGGTAATGATACAATTTAAAATTTGCTAAATTTATAGACCGATTTTTTTTCCTTCTTCAATTTTTGTTGTTTCCATGTTTTCAGGATCTTCTCTTAGAAATCTACAGAAGTATAGGGGAGCCAGATAGTTTGTATGGCTGTGGTGGAGGGAAGATGTTACAACCCATTACTAGGTAAATTGCATTTTTCTAAACAACGGTATAGTAATTCTGTTTATGAAGGAGTTATGTGTGTGTAAAACCCAAAGCTATTTTCACAATCTTTTCTTATAGACTACGAACATATGAACACGAAGCAATGTGGGGCAAAGCCCTAGTAACATATGACCTCGAAACAGCAATCCCCTCATCAACACGCCAGGCAGGAATCATTCAGGTACATTTTTTCCCAGATTTGGTAAAGCCATCACTAGTGTAGTGCTGAGGTTATTTCAGTATGTTGGTGGATATTTACACAGCCAGATAAACTCTAGAGATAAGACTAGAACTTATCTGTTTTTCAGAGGATTAGGCTAAACATTCAGGGATACTCCTGAAGCAGAGGGATGCAAAAAAAAGAGAAAAAATTCAGGGAGACACAGGAAAGTCAGACAGGTCATTGACCTAAAAGATAGTGTAGATTTCTTGATCATAGTGTTGTTGGATAACAACAGAAGACATTGCTCGAGCATATACAATGTGCCAGGTAGTGTACTTACTGCTTCACATGGAAAATCTTATGTAAACTATTTCTCATAGTTTGCAACAGAGTTGGTCCCAGAACCTGTTGTTTCTATTACTGGCTAATACTCCTTAGCCATTCTTCCATGAAATATTAGAGCCCTTTGAGCTCTATTTTTGTGTTTTTTGGGAAACATTAAACGATATTTTGGGATTAAAAAAATGTTTTTGGCCAGGCGTGGTGGCTTGCGCCTGTAATCCCAGCACTTTGGGAGGCCGAGGCGAGCAGATCACGAGGTCAGGAGGTCCAGACCATCCTGGCTAACACGGTGAAACCCCGTCTCTACTAAAAATACAAAAAAAAAAAAAAAAAAAAAAATTAGCCGGGTGTGGTGGCGGGTGCCTGTAGGCCCAGCTACTTGGGAGGCTGAGGCAGGAGAATGGCGTGAACCTGGGAGGCAGAGGTTGCAGTGAGCCGAGATCGCGCCACTGCACTCCAGCCTGGGCAATAGAGCGAGACTCCATCTCAAAAATAAATAAATAAATAAATTTTAGAGATAAGGTGTCACCCTGTTACTGATGCTGGAGTGCATTAGCGTGATCATAGTTCACTGCAGCCTTGACCTCCCTGGCTCAAGGGCACCTCTCGCTTCAGCCACCCAAGTAGCTGGGGCTACAGGTACACACTACCATACCCAGCTATTTTAAAAAAAAAAAAAAATTGTAGAGACAGGTCTTGGTTTGTTGTCCAGGCTGGTCTCAAACTCCTGGGCTCAAGTGATCCTCCTGCCTCAGCCTCCCAAAGTGCTGAGATTACAGGCATGAGCCACCACACCCAGCTGATATTTTGGGATTTTAAATGATATTGTGAACTAAAATTTGTCTAAGTTAATTTGTATCTTTGCTGTTTTTTTCTCTGGTTTTCTGTTGATATCTTTGATTACTTAACTTAAAAACAAAATAACTCCTGTTTAGGCCTTGCAGAATTTGGGACTCTGCCATATTCTTTCCGTCTATTTAAAAGGATTGGATTATGAAAATAAAGACTGGTGTCCTGAACTAGAAGAACTTCATTACCAAGCAGCATGGAGGAATATGCAGTGGGACCATTGCACTTCCGTCAGGTAAGAAATTTGACTTGATTTTTTTTTTTTTGCCTCTCTCCTCATTCTAAACAACAACTGTTTTTCTCTTCTATGAATATAACAGGAGTTGTTTTATATATATATATATATATATATATATATATATATATACACACACACACACACACACACTATATATATATACATACCATATATATAGTGTGTATGTGTGTATATATATATAAAAAAATATATAGTAGATGTTGCAAGCTATAGATAGCCCTAAATCCTTCAGTAAGATAGCAATAAGCAGTTAATGCACCTAGGCTTGAATTTTACTCTCTTATTCCATTAGGACAACTTCACCCCACCCCTAAATATTTCTAAAAACAGAAATATGAAAAGGGTTTTCGAAATGAGTATCATCTCGCATAGTTTGTTGGACTGAGGCATGCCAAGAAAAGTATAGGCATTCCTCTTTCTACTTCCTGCTACAAACATTTTAGTCAGTAAGATAGCACTTATATTGGCTGGAGGATCCACAAAGGACTGCTTATCTTTATTTATGAAATATTTTCTTTTATTAAAAAATAATACGGCCAGGCACGGTGGCTCATGCCTATAATCCTAGCACTTTGGGAGGCCAAGGCGGGTGGATCGCCTGAGCTCAGGAGTTTGAGACCAGCCTGGGAAACACGGTGAAACCCTTTCTCTACTAAAATACAAAAAATTAGCCAGGCGTGGCAGCATGCGCCTGTAGTCCCAGCTACTTGGGAGCCTGAGGCAGGAGAATTGCTAGAACACGGGAGACGGAGGTTGCAGTGAGCTGAGATAGCACCACTGCACTCCAGCCTGGACAACAGAGCGAGACTCTGTCTCTAAAAAAATAAATAAAATAAAAAAAATAATATGCCTACTCAGGGCTGGGCACAGTGTGGTGGCTCACACCTGTAATCCCAGCACTTGGAGAGCTGAGGCAGATGGATCACTTGAGATCAGGAGTTTGAGACCAGCCGGGCCAACATGGTGAAACTCCATCTCTACTAAAAATGCAAAAATTAGCTGGGTGTGCTGGAGCATGCCTGTAATCCAAGCTACTCGGGAGGCTGAGGCAGGAGAATGCTTGAACTTGGGAAGCAGAGGTTGCAGTGAGCCAAGATTGCACCACTGCACCCCAGCCTGGGCGACAGAGTGAGACTCTGTCTCAAAAAAACAAAAAAAACACTCAGTTACCCAGGAAGATAACATTTATAATCTGTATATAAGGTCACCATGTTTTCTGAATGAAAAGCCAAGCACCTAATCTAATAAAGGATTTCATATTTATGTAAAGTTTTTTGATAATGTAAACCCTAAAAAATTAATTATGTTTAAGTATGTTTTGTTGCCTTTGTAGAAAAAAAAAATTATTGGCCGAGCGCGGTGGCTCATGCCTATAATCCCAGCACTTTGGAAGGCTGAGGAGGGTGGATCACATGAGGTTAGGAATTCAAGACAAGCTTGGGCAACATGGTGAAACCCCATCTCTACAAAAAAATACAAAAGTTAGCTGGGCAAGGTAGCATGCATCTGTAGTCCCAGCTGCTTGGGAGGCTGAGGTGAGGGGATCCCTTGAGCCCAGGAGGTGGAGGTTGCAGTGAGCCGAGATCATGCCACTGCACTCCATCCTAGGCAACAGAGTGAGACTCTGTCTCAAAAAATAATAATTATTGGAATGCCTTTCAAATATTTCAGACTGTAAGACTGCTATAAAATTAGAGATATATCCTCATATTTTAAAAACCTTTTCCTGTGCGAGTTGATTCTTGCTTGCCTCTGTAAATCAATATATACTATTCTTCTCCTTCCTCTTGTATTTCAGCTACACAGACCTCTCTGTGTTTTCTTGTCAGGCCAAGCTGTTTCTATCCAAGGGCCTTAGATGTATCTTCTCCTTTTCCCCCAGTTACCATGCGGGTGGCTTCTTTTCATTCGGACCCTAGTTAAATAATAATGTATCTTCAGAGAGGCCTTTCTTGATTACCCATTCTATAATAGCCATCTAGCCATTTTGTTTTGTTACCCTGTTTTAATTCTCTGCATGTCCCTTGTTACTTTCCAATACTTATTTATTGTCTGTTCCTCCAAACCAGCACATAAATTCCATGAGAGTAAAGACCTGATCTGACTTGTCCACTTGTGAATTCCCCTTGTGCCTAGTGCCTGGCACATAATAGGTATTTATTGAATAAATAAATGAAAGTAGAGCATATTTAGAACCAGGCAGAGTATCTGAGTAATTTCCTTTTTTTCTGCTTAAAGAATTTAAATGACTCATAAAATTTGTATTTCTTACCAAAAATTCTAGAAATGCATTTTTTAGAATGGAGAAATGTTAATTTAAAAATTTTGTCCTTTGGTGAAGCTATTTATACATGTATATCTTAGGGTTCTGTTTTTAAGTATATTTTTTTCTTTGACTTATCTCACAGCAAAGAAGTAGAAGGAACCAGTTACCATGAATCATTGTACAATGCTCTACAATCTCTAAGAGACAGAGAATTCTCTACATTTTATGAAAGTCTCAAATATGCCAGGTATTATGAAAAGACAAAGTTACTGTATTTTAACATTTAATGTCATGGCTTCTTTTCTGAAAACTTGAGAAACAATTTTAATGTAAGGATTTGCATTGATGAAGAGATAAAGACTTGGTGGCTGTGATCAGATGTTTCCTTGTAATTCTCTGCCCTCCTTCAAAACAAATTGTTTCTGGGATTCCAGGTTCATTCTTTACCCTGACCCTTCAAGAAAGTTTTGGTGATTCCCTCTTTGTTCTCTTCCTATACAAGTATCCTGAGAATTATATCTTGTCTCTTTTGGTAATTGTATGGCATTTAGTGTTCTAATTTATAAAATTGTAACTCACGGTTAATACTTACAAACTTGTTTTGAGGCACAAATGTGATGAGGCATGAGGAAATAATTATAATGGGGTAAACAAATGCAGCATTTTTAAAGCCGTAGTGACTTAATAAATCCTATGTTTATCACAGAAATAAAATTTACTATCATTTAAGTGCCTATGATATGCTAGCCACTGTTAGACTCTTTTCATATGTATTCTCTAATCATGACAATAACTATGGATGTGAAAAAAGGCTTAGAGAAGTCCAGTAACATGCCCAAAGTTACACAGCTATAAGTGACAGAACTGCAATTTAGATCTAGGTCTGTGTGATTCCAAGGTTTACAGTTGATCCTTGAACCACTTGGAGGTTAGGAGTGCTGAGCCCCTCCTCCTCACACATTTGAAAATGTGAGTATTACTTTGACTCCTCAAAAGCTTAACTACTAATAGCTTACTGTTAACCAGAAGCCTTACCAATAACATAAGCAGTAGATTAACACATATTTTGTATAAGTATTATAATACCATATTCTTACAATAAAGTAAGCTAGAGAAAAGAAAATGTTATTGAAAATTATAAGGAAGAGAACATATATTTACTAGTAAGTGGAAGTGGGTCATCATAAAGGTCTTCATCCTTGCCACCTTCATGTTGAGTAGGATAAGGAGGAAGGGTTGGTCTTGCTATCTCAGGGGTGGCAAGGTGGGAGAAACTCTGAGTGTAAGTGGACCATGCATTTAAATTTGTGTTGTTCAAGGGTCAGTTGTATTTTGTTTCCACTGCTATTTTGTATTCACTGTTGCTTGTTAGTATTATTAGATCAGTAGCAAAGCCTATGATGAGAACTCTTTAACAACAAATTTAAACATTTATTTCCCTGAAAACCTCTTCTTTATTTTCAGAGTGTCTTTTCTTTTTTGCTACTAGAGTAAAAGAAGTGGAAGAGATGTGTAAGCGCAGCCTTGAGTCTGTGTATTCGCTCTATCCCACACTTAGCAGGTTGCAGGCCATTGGAGAGCTGGAAAGCATTGGGGAGCTTTTCTCAAGGTATGTAATTCGTATGACTTTGTTATCCTAAAGTGCAGCTTTTCTGTTACCAATAGTGACTTTAAAAAATAAAAACTATAGGCCGGGCACGGTGGCTCATGCCTGTAATCCTAGCACTTTAGAAGGCTGAAGTGGGTGGATCACTTGAGGTCAGGAGTTCAAGACCAGCCTGGCCAACATGGTGAAACCCTATCTCTACTAAAAATACAAAAATTAGCCAGGTATGGTGGTGGGCGCCTGTAATCTCAGCTATTCAGGAGGCTGAGGCAGGAAAATTGCTTGAACCCAGCACAACAGGCAGAGGTTGTGGTGAGCCGAGATTGCGCCATGGATTCCAGCCTGGGCAACAGAGCGAGACTCTGTCTCAAAAAAAAAAAAAACTATGTAGAGACCAAATGTGTGTGTTTCTTTCCTTTTATCAAGATATAAGTTGATTAGCCCTAGTGAATTGTGCTTTTATTAAACATTTTCCAAAATAGTCATTGTAAAAATTTAAGTTTTAAAAATTCAGCTTAAGTGTGCTTTTCTCTTTATAACTTTTTCCCTGGCCTACCAAGATAAAATTGTTTCCTCATGTTTTTGCATAGCATGATAACACTCCATTCAGTTTTAGCACTACATTGTATTACTGTCATTTTATCTCTGCCTTGCTAAACTAGAAGCTCCCTTAAAAGTGGGAACCATTCTATTGTTTATTGTTGTATACCTAGTGTTTTTGTTTTGTTTTCTTTTTTTTCTTTTTATGTTTTTTTGAGACCAAGTCTCGCTCTGTTGCCCAGGCTGGAGTGTCATGGTATAATCTCAGCTCACTGCAGTCTCCACCTCCCAGGTTCAAGCGATTCTCCTGCCTCAGCCTCCCGAGTAGCTGGGATTATAGGTGCCCCGACAATGCCTGGCTAATTTTTCTACTTTTAATAGAGACGGGGTTTCGCCTTGTTGGTCAGCCTGGCCTCGAACTCCTGACCTCAGGTGATCCACCCGCTTCAGCCTCCCAAAGTGCTGGGATTGCAGGCGTTAGCCACCATGCCCGGCCCCCAATGTTTTCTCTTCTGGTGACTGATAATTATGTTTAGTAAACATTCAGTGGATAGTGGATGTCAGTTAATTTGTAAAAGGTGTTCAGAAGGAATTGCTTCTTATAATGGTGAGAGGGAAATGATCCAGGGATTTTGGAAGATGAAATAGTATAGTTACTCAGGATGCTGTAGATCTAAATTCTTTCCTTTTATCAAGATATAAGTTGATTAGCCCTAGAGAATTGTGCTTTTATTAAACATTTTCCAAAATAGTCACTGTAAAAATTCAAGTTTAAAAAATTCAGCTTAAAAGTGCTTTTCTCTTTATAACTTTTTCCCTGGCCCACCCAGATAAAATTGTTTCCTCATGTTTTTGCACAGCATGTTACACTCCATTCGGTTTTAGCACTGCATTGCATTACTGTCATTTTATCTCTGCCTTGCTACTAGATAAAAGAAGTGGAAGAGTTGTGTAAGGGCAGCCTTGAGTCTGGCAGGATGACAAAGTAAAGTGTTTTGGGTCCTCAGTTTCCTCATTTCTAAAGTCAGGGATTTGTATTCGATGGTCTCTAAAGCCCCTTTTAGCCCTGCTATTTTGAATTACTATTATTATTATACGAGGGAAGAAAGAGGATATAAATGACTAAGGTCACTCTACCTTTATGCAAAAATAAAATTTGGAATATGTTTTGGAAGTAGAAAAGAGAAGGAAATTTTAGAGTCAGAAGAAAATAATAATAGTTTTTTCAAAATGACATAGCAGAAGACATACATATTAATGTGGCTTAGGAGGAAAATAAAGGAACAAAAGTCTTTTCTGCTTTCATTCATAAGTACATTGGCAGTA
This sequence comes from Homo sapiens, assembly GCF_000001405.40. Classification (NCBI taxonomy): domain Eukaryota; kingdom Metazoa; phylum Chordata; class Mammalia; order Primates; family Hominidae; genus Homo; species Homo sapiens. The sequence continues at coordinate 108,323,284 of NC_000011.10, forward strand.
CTTACTGCCAGAAATCAAGAAATTTTTCCTCTGAATGAAAGATTATCCTGCTGAAAAGAGTACAGAATTCTTTAAGAAACAGTGAATAGAATGGTAGTAACCAGAGGCAGGGAAGGGTGTTGTGGAGGGAGAGGATGAAGAGGGGCTGGTTAATGAGTGAAAAAACACAGGTAAATAGAAGAAATAAGATCTAGTGTTTGATAGCACAATAGGGCAACTGTAGTTAACAGTAATTTACTGTATATTTTTAAATAGCTACAAAAGAAGATTTGGAATGTTTCCAACACAAATGATAAATGTTTGAGATCATGGATATCTCAATTACCCAAATTTGATCATTACACATTGTATGCTTGTATCAAAATATCACACGTACCTCATAAATATGTACAACTATTATGTATCCATAAAAATTAAAAATAAATTTTAAAAAGAAACACCTAAAGAATAATCTGGCTGTTTCTTTGGTAGAGAAATAGGAAGAAGAGAAGCAGAGGGAAGGTTGGATGAACTGGTGCACAAATGCTTATGCTCTCAGATTACATTCCATTCATATACATCAACCAAAACATTAAATAATAACAAACTAAATGCAGAAGCAGAGATAAGAATTCATCTCGTTCTGTTAATCCAGACATTAAAGAGATTTGCAAAAATGCAAAACAGTGCCATGCTCACTAAGTTTTGTTTTGTTTTGGGAAGTATACAGTTGAAATTCTTTATCTACAGGTTTCCATCTATGGATTCAACCAACCGCAGATCAAAAATATTTGAAAAAAAAATTTTAAAGAATAGGGTATAACACTTATTTACATAGCATTTACATTATAGTAGGTATAATATGTAATTAGAGATTTATGTATAACCTGTGCACATTCTCCTATTACACGTAATCTAGAGGTTATGTGTAATACTTTTTGGAAATGTTTAATAAAAGCACAATCTAGAGGTTACGTGTAATAGGAAAATGCCCTGCCATTTTAAATAAGGGACTTTGAACATCAGCATTATCAAGGTGTCTTGGAACCAATTTTCTGCAGATACAGAGAAACTACTGTAGTTATTTTTCCTAAAAATTGTTATTTATGATATATAGTAGATTTATTATTTTTGAATAAATTAATACATTTTAGATTTTTCTCAGTCTTTCTAATATGATATCATATCTAATATCAGTAGATATGGTCCAACGATCGAAAGTTCTTTGGGGTCTTCAATAATTTGTTTGATTGTAAAGGAGTTCCGCAAAAAGTTTGAGACCTGCTGTGGTAGGGTCATTTAGAGAGGAATTGAAGTTTTGGTTCCTAGCATTTTTGTTACTGTTCCTTCCCTATCAAGCAACTAAAAGAGCTTTCATTTCTTAGTCATCACTTTGTCATCTTACTCTCCCTGCTTCCTCTTTCTTATTTCTTTCAATAAATGTCCCTGAAGGATTGGGTAGTATTTCATAGTTCAGTTATTTGGGAAGGATACTATTCATATAAACTAATTGTGCAATATGCCTTTTCTGTTCCTTTAATAATGTTGGTAAATGAAACCTTTGCCAGATGCCAGCTTTTCCTTCACTGGATTGTGATTTTTTTGACAGCTATAATTATGCATCAAGTCATCCCCAGTAGGGGGTCCCTCATTTCCTTGCTGACATGTCCTCATTACTACAGGCAGTATTGAAGCAGGACTAAAGATGGAGGCATTCTTTATGATAGGTCTGATGAATATGTTCTTGTTTCAGAAGAGTATTTAGAAGGGCTGCTTTTTGTAATGTCAGAGTATTAAAAATTTTTTTTGATGTTTGTCATCTGTGACCTCTCTGCTAATAACTCTTAAGAGCTCTGACCGCATAGCATTTTGTAGTTTTCTAAATTTTGATCCATATGTAGGATTATTTACAAGTTCTAGTCTTGTCACTACAAAAGTTCCTTTGTATTATTATAATATTATATCGTAAGTTCCAGAACTTACATAGTTTTTTTTTTTTTTTTTTTCATTTCTCTTGCTTACATGAACTCTATGTCGTGGCATTCAGATCAGTCACACATAGACAACTCTCTGAAGTATATATTAAGTGGCAGAAACACTCCCAGCTTCTCAAGGACAGTGATTTTAGTTTTCAGGAGCCTATCATGGCTCTACGCACAGTCATTTTGGAGATCCTGATGGAAAAGGAAATGGACAACTCACAAAGAGAATGTATTAAGGACATTCTCACCAAACACCTTGTAGAACTCTCTATACTGGCCAGAACTTTCAAGAACACTCAGGTAAATACAATTTAAAACTATGTCATCTTACCTCTTGACTTTCCTTTTATTATTTAAAAAACAGAAAGCCTGAGGGAAAAAGAAATGTCATTAAGAGATAGAGATCTCTATTAATATATAGTAAAAATAATTGTTTAAGAGTTCCCATTTTGGAATTAGATCTGACTTTTAAGCCTTGGGCAAGGGTACTTAATCTTTTCTCAACCTCAATTTCCTGGTTATAAAATGAGAAGATACGTAACTTACTATATTGATAACAATTCAGTGATTTTATATACTGTGTGTATGTACACACAGATACACATACATACATATAGAGAGAGACAGACAGACAGACAGATAGGCAGACGTGGGGTGGGGAGATGTCATGCAGACAGAGAGGTCCTTAAGATAGTCCCTGACAAGTAGTTAAGTCCTCAATGAATGGTAGTTGCTGCTTTCATTATTATTATTATTCATGGTAGTAGTATCAGTAGTAAAAGTATTTATTCCCATATGTCATTTTCATTTCAGCTCCCTGAAAGGGCAATATTTCAAATTAAACAGTACAATTCAGTTAGCTGTGGAGTCTCTGAGTGGCAGCTGGAAGAAGCACAAGTATTCTGGGCAAAAAAGGAGCAGAGTCTTGCCCTGAGTATTCTCAAGCAAATGATCAAGAAGTTGGATGCCAGCTGTGCAGCGGTTTGTTTTTTTTATTGGCTGGATTAGTGTTTTACTGTTATTTAAAAAAACACAAATGTACTTTAAAATATTTTTAATAACAATTTTATTAGAGCCTTGAAATTAGTAATTTATTAACAAGATATTGTAAAACTAGTCTTGAAAATTAATTTGTAAATGAAGTTTAGAAACTTTTTCCTATATATCACAATTCTATCAGTCCATCATGTGGTCGATTCATTTAATATATCCCAGTATTAAGCCTTTAACTTCCTATAGAATTCAAGAAAGGTATGTGGGAAATGAATGAAATAGCTACTCTAAATTTGAAATGACAAGTGAAAAAAGGGAAGAGGAAATGAATGAGAGAACTAAATTAGAAAATAAAAGCAAGTTGGGACAATTAGGTTGTCAATCCAAATGCTTTGAAAATATCACATCTAATATTTTATCTAACATTACCTGTTGGTTTTTGCAAACTTATGTTGCTACTTCAGCTGTAAACCCAGCATACACACTGGATAAAGTAGAGGCATTGGTGTCCCCAAGGTTTGTCTACAGTGGTGTCCCACAGACATGTACCTGCTTAGTGAATATCAGCTCACTGTGCTTTATTATTTATTTATTTATTTATTTTTTGAGACGGAGTCTTGCTCTGTCACCCAGGCTGGAGTGCAGTGGTACGACATCGGCTCACCGCAACCTCCACCTCCCTGGTTCAAGCAATTCCCCTGCCTCAGCCTCCCTTGTAGCTGGGATTACAGGCACATGCCACCATGCCCAGCTAATTTTTTTGTATTTTTAGTAGAGATGGGGTTTCACCATGTTGGCAAGACTGGTCTCGAACTCCTGAGCTCAGGCAATCTACCCGCCTTGTCCTCTGAAAGTGCTGGGATTACAGGCGTGAGCCACCACGCCCGGCCTTTACTGTACTTTTTGATGTTGGGCACTCATTGTATAGCATCTTCTGTTATTAGAGAAATCATTATACCAAAGCACTGAGTGCCAATATGATATGTGTAAATATTGCTTAATAGTATTGGCCCTGAAGTATGTGCTGTCTGGAGTTACCCAACTTCCTTGTACCTCAGTTTTCTAATCTGCAAATTGGGGTAATAATAGTACTTATTTAATAGGATTCTTGTGAGAATTAAATGAGTTAATATATATAAAGCCTTTACAAAGTGTCTGACATATATAAGTACTCAATAAATGTGACTTGCTCCAATAATGGCAATAATAATAATAAACAGAGGATGATCATTTCCTACATGGGATTATTAAAATAGTTGTATGGCAAAAGCAGATGAGGAAAAACTTTTTTTTTCCCACCCACCAAGGAAAAACATTTTTAACCTGCTTTTTTCCCCGTACATGAAGGGCAGTTGGGTACAGTCATGGTAATGCATTATATTTTAAGATTTTGCCTTTCTTATACAGAACAATCCCAGCCTAAAACTTACATACACAGAATGTCTGAGGGTTTGTGGCAACTGGTTAGCAGAAACGTGCTTAGAAAATCCTGCGGTCATCATGCAGACCTATCTAGAAAAGGTAAGATTTTTGGAGCAACCCTTAAGATAGTTACTTAGCATGAATATGCTTCATCTTTTCATCAAGATCAATATATTTCCAAAGCAAATAAAAGTATGGTTTTATTTTTCTATATATTATTACTGTTGTAGCTCTGTATAGTCTCTAGGGTGGAGTGAAACATTGTTACAAAACAAAGCAGCCAATTTTGAAAGTAAGCCCAAGTATAGTATCTCTTCTTCCTCCTTCCTACCTCCACTACCAGCTACCCTTTCAGCAGGTTGCTTCTGATCATTTCTTCATTTATGCATCTACAAAAATAACTGATTAAGAATAGGCAAGTCAGCCCTTGCTCTTCATTAGCCCAGCCACCCACAAGTAAAGGCTTCAATATACTAGCCCCTTTGACTTTCCTGTTTCTCCCTCTTATTCCTTTAGATTCACTAATTTTGGAAATAGTTACCTCACTAAATAAGTGTAACATGAAACACATGATGCGATTGTCTTTCTTTTCTTTTCTTTTCTTTGAGATGAAGTCTCTCTCTGTCGCCCAAGCTGGAGTGCAGTGGCGCAATCTCGGCTCACTGCAACCTCTGCCTCCTGGGTTCAAGCGATTCTCCTGCCTCAGCTTCCCAAGTAGCTGGGACTACAGGAGTGTGCCACCACACCCGGCTAATATTTTTTATTTTTAGTAGAGACGGTTTCGCCACATTGGCCAGTCTGGTCTCGAACTCCTGACCTCAAGTGATCCACCTGCCTCGGCCTCCCAAAGTGCTGGCATTACAGGCTTGAGCCACCACACCCAGCCTGATTGTCTTTAAATTTTATAAAGTTCTCTGTTTTTGCAGAGTTCTTTACAAGTATTAGCTGTCTGGGTTATTTCTACACTGTCAAAGTTGTTTTGAAAAGTCAAGAAAATACCATAGTTCAGGGCTGTCCAATCTTTTGGCTTCCCTGGGCCACATTGCAAGAAGAATTGCCTTGGGCCACACATAAAATATACTAACATTAATGATAGCTAATGAGCTTAAAAAAAATCACAAAAGAAATCTCATAATGTTTTAAGAAAATGTACGAATTTGTGTTGGGCCACATTCAAAGCCGTCCTGGGCCACATGCGGCCCATGGGCCGTGGGTTGGACAAGTTTGCAATAGTTCATATAATTTAGCTAGCTTTTATATGTATATAAGTTAAATTTTAGTGTATTACCTTAATTTGAGTGATTCTTTAGATGTATTTAGTATTTGTAAATATAATTTAAATTGGTTGTGTTTTCTTGAAGGCAGTAGAAGTTGCTGGAAATTATGATGGAGAAAGTAGTGATGAGCTAAGAAATGGAAAAATGAAGGCATTTCTCTCATTAGCCCGGTTTTCAGATACTCAATACCAAAGAATTGAAAACTACATGAAATCATCGGAATTTGAAAACAAGCAAGCTCTCCTGAAAAGAGCCAAAGAGGAAGTAGGTCTCCTTAGGGAACATAAAATTCAGACAAACAGGTAACTAGGTTTCTACAAGTGACAATTTTATGTTCACCAGTTAACTGAGTGAGTGTTTTTGCATAGAAAGAGTGACTTGGTCTTTTTATCTGATATAGTTTTGAGCTCTAAAGGTCGGCTTAACTATATATAGATTATCTTGGTCTTTTGGGTTCTTTTCGGTTTTTGTTTTTTGTTTTTTTTTTTGAGACAAGGTCTCACTCTGTCACCCAGGCTGGAGTACAGTGGCGTGATCACTGTACTCCAGCTCACTGCAACCTCGACCTCCTGGACTCAATTGATTCTCCCCCTGAGCCCCCGAAATAGCTGGGGCTACAGGTGCACGCCATACCTGGCTAATTTTTGTATTTTTTGTAGAGATGGGGTTTTGCCATGTTGCCCAGGTTGGTCTCAAACTCATGGGCTCAAACGATCTGCCCACCTTGGCCGCCCAAAGTGCTGGGATTACAGGTGTGAGGCACTGTGCCCTGTCTGTCTTGGTCCTACTGTAGTTAATCACAAATTAGTATGTAAGATATTGACGTGTTCTTTTGTGAATAATTCATGCTCTGCTTCTAAGTTCATTGTGGAGAATATAGATATTAGCTTTCTGTTTTGCTTTTTTGGTTTGTTTGTTGGTATCATAGTGGAAAAGGAGATAGATATTGAAATTAATTACAAAAGTTACCTATTTTGATGTAATTAAATCCCTTTATTTAAGCCTGTCTTGAATCTGTATATTTTAGTGTAAGCAGAGGTGTAAGTTAGCTAAATAGCTTGGGGAGAGTCCCCTTTGTCCTTTGATGCTTAGGAAGGTGTGTGAATTGCACAGTTAAGACAAAAGTAAGTTTATTCCCTTTATAATCCTTAGAAGTTTGCTTTTTTCCCTGGGATAAAAACCCAACTTTTTTCATTAAATGTTGTATATCATGTGTGATTTTGTAGTTCTGTTAAAGTTCATGGCTTTTGTGTTTTACCTTAATTATTCTATGCAAGATACACAGTAAAGGTTCAGCGAGAGCTGGAGTTGGATGAATTAGCCCTGCGTGCACTGAAAGAGGATCGTAAACGCTTCTTATGTAAAGCAGTTGAAAATTATATCAACTGCTTATTAAGTGGAGAAGAACATGATATGTGGGTATTCCGACTTTGTTCCCTCTGGCTTGAAAATTCTGGAGTTTCTGAAGTCAATGGCATGATGAAGGCAAGTGTTACTCAGCCCAATATTCTACCCTGTGCTTGAAAAACTTAGACATAAGCCCCTTGATGTCAGGAATCGTGTATACCTCTTTGTATTCCTAGCACTTGGTCCAGTGCTCTACACATAAGTAGCATTTTGTAGTTTTCTAAACTTTGATCCATATTTAGGATTATTTACAAGTTCTAGTCTTGTTTCTACAAAAGTTCCTTTGTATTATATAAGCTGACAAGCTGTAAATGATGCAAGTTTGTGTGGAGGTGATAGAATTTAGCTTGGTCCTATGTCTTTGCAGTTACCATAGGAGAGGGTCTAGAATGGGGCATTAGATTGGAGGATTTAGAAAGCAGTTAAAGATGATGTGATCACAGGTGGGTTTTCCCCCTGCTGCAGAAATATGGGATTTTTACAATAAATTACTTTTGTAAGTAGAGAAAATATATTTTTCAGAAAATGTCAAGACAGCAGTATTGTATAAGTTTTTCTTTGAAAACCTTAGATTATAGTGATGACACCTAATATTAAATTTAAGTTGACAAGCTATATATTGTTAGTCAATTTGAAGGTTAGAGATAAAATGTTTCTCCTGCAGGAAAATAATAAGACTCATAATAGATACAGTCAATCTCTGCTGTAGTATACACTAAATATTACTTTTGGCCTATGGGGAAAAGCAATTACTTCATTTTATTGTACACTGACTTCTCAGGAATCAAGATCACAGTCACACTCAGATCACATTTGTCTTCCTTAGATTTTTTGGAATATAAACAGTACCAAGTATTCTAGTTCTGAATCCAGTTTAATTTAGGACCAAATATTTTGATTTACCAATGCATTAATCTAGAGTACCCATTAGAAAGACCTTCAGATAAGAAAAGAAATGAAGGAAAACAATATAGTTAGTGAAGTTTTGTTAACCACTTGTGCTAATAGAGGAGCACTGTCTTAAAATAACTTACTTGCTTAGATGTGAGAATATTTGAAATACCTTGTTTCTTAATTTTGTGTCTTTTTTTTAATGGTAGAGAGACGGAATGAAGATTCCAACATATAAATTTTTGCCTCTTATGTACCAATTGGCTGCTAGAATGGGGACCAAGATGATGGGAGGCCTAGGATTTCATGAAGTCCTCAATAATGTAAGTAAACCTGAAAATCAAACCACAATAATTATTTTTATTCTATTATTACTATATATTATATAAAGTATATATACCATTCCCTCTAAGAAATGGAAATACAAAATTTTGTATTTTTTGTCTTCTCACATCACATAAGTTACTCATTTTCTCTCTCTAATTCCTCATAGGCCTCTGCCTTTTTCTCACACATGCAGGCATACACGCTCTACCCACTGCAGTATCTAGACAGTAATACACATTTTAATGTTAAGCAAAATGAAAAATATGGATTATATTTTTTTGTTTATTTGCATAAATCTAATAGTTCTTTTCTTACAGCTAATCTCTAGAATTTCAATGGATCACCCCCATCACACTTTGTTTATTATACTGGCCTTAGCAAATGCAAACAGAGATGAATTTCTGACTAAACCAGAGGTAGCCAGAAGAAGCAGAATAACTAAAAATGTGCCTAAACAAAGCTCTCAGCTTGATGAGGTATTTGGATTAAACATACGTACCTTTTAGAAGTGTGATATTCAGTCTTTCCTAGAATATTTCTTTTTAAAATCTTGTGTTATTAAGATGCCATCTAAAATCGGTTCAAGGCTGGCACGGTGGCTCACGCCTGTAATCCCAGCACTTTGGGAGGCTGAGGCGGGTGGATTACTTGAGGTCAGAAGTTCGAGACCATCCTGGCTGACCGACACAGCAAAACCCTGTCTCTACTAAAAATGCAAAAAACAGCTGGGCATGGTGGTGGGCACCTGTAGTCCCAGCTACTCGGGAGGCTGAGGCAGGAGAATCACTTGAACTCGGGAGGCGGAGGTTGCAGTGAGCCAAGGTTGCGCCATTGCACTCCAGCCTGGGCAACAAGAGCGAAACTCTGTCTCAAATTAATTAATTAATTAATTAATTAAAATTGGTTCAAAATTCCTTAATATTTGTCAAAGCATAGGAGATACCAGTAGTAGTTTACTTTTTTCCTCAAAGCAGTTGGCAAAGTGAAACAATAGATTTTGAAAGGCACCTAAGTCATTGACGAGAGTATGTATCTTTGATGTATTTCATTTATGACTGTTTTGTTTGTATCTGAGGAATTATAATCATTCCATTGTCTAGATTTGTGCATAAATTCTGTTTTTCTCTTTGTTTTTCTAACTCTGAGAAGTTTAAATGTTGGGTAGTTCCTTATGTAATGTTTTTTGTTTTTTATTAATAGGATCGAACAGAGGCTGCAAATAGAATAATATGTACTATCAGAAGTAGGAGACCTCAGATGGTCAGAAGTGTTGAGGCACTTTGTGATGCTTATATTATATTAGCAAACTTAGATGCCACTCAGTGGAAGACTCAGAGAAGTATGTTTTTTTTAAAGAAGAAACGTTACTTTCTTGCTGTGTTACTCTCTGTAGAGATATATTAGTTATAGAGCCTAATAAGTAAATCTGCTTAAAATCACAAACGTAATCCAAAAGCTTAATTTATATCTGATGGCTTCAGCATTCCCTGGTTACTTTTTCACTTAATATCTCTTAATAGAACTGGTAATAGGTGACTACACTAAATTAATTATTTGATTTCTTCTGATAATCTTCTGGCATACATACTTATTACAGAGAATTGCATAATAGAGGCAAGTCTATTAAAATAATTGAATAACTGAACATTTCTAGCCTCAAAAGTTTTTTTAAACGATGTGGTTACTAAAACTGCCCTGGGACTTAAAAACAAAAAAAGGCTTTACCATTTCTTCCATAGGTGCTAAAATGCCATTATTTAATTATTATTCTTGCTGTGTCAGTTCAAATAATTACAAGCTGCTATATAATCTTTGGTTTTGTGACTAGTCTCTAAGTATGCTTCTAAGTATCTCCCCATACTTTAATAATTGTATTTTTTTCTATTCAGAATCATATCTTCAAGTTTAAATTCTTATTACTTGAAAACGAATGGGACTTCACATATTGTTTCTCTAAGCAAACAAAAAGTATTGACATGTCTTTTAGTTGCATTTAATGGTAATGTGACAGGAGTATGTTATCTATGTACTATGCAAACTATTACGTAATTATTTTAAGATGTTTAGTCTGGTTCCTCAGGTGGAATCTGGTCTAGTTACCCTTGTCAGGTAACCTGCAAATTTACTTGAAGCTACATTAACCACTGTTGAGCTTTGACTCTGAGCTGCATAGTGGCCAAAGCCCAGAGTCTTCATTTCTCAATCAGAGCCTGAACCACAGATTAGCAACAAGTTGGGGCCAGTGGTATCTGCTGACTATTCCTGCTTGACCTTCAATGCTGTTCCTCAGTTTGTCACTAAAATCTCTTCATTTTTAAATACAGAAGGCATAAATATTCCAGCAGACCAGCCAATTACTAAACTTAAGAATTTAGAAGATGTTGTTGTCCCTACTATGGAAATTAAGGTAATTTGCAATTAACTCTTGATTTTTTTTAAACTAAATTTTTTTTATTAGATTGAACCATTTGAAATAGTATTTTTATGTAGGTCAAAATTGGTTAAATATTGGCAAATTTCATATGTTTCAACCTATAATTTCTCAGTATTATATTTCCTTTGCCCAAGCCCTAAAATACTCAAAAGCTTCTCCTGCTTTCTTTTCCATTGCCTTCTGTTCTACACCTCCCATCTTTCTTATGAAGGTCTATAGACTGTTACTTTCATTGGCCAGAAGGAGAGTTTCCGTGTGCTTATGCCAAGATTAATTTTTGACTTGGCAAGGAAGGTTCCAATTGTCATATATTGTTTTTAAAAATTCTATGTGCAGTAAAATGTATTGGCTGTGATATATCACAGTATTAAGTAATATAGTATGTATTATTATAATATTAAGCTGACTTCATATGCATGATACACTTAGCTCTGTTCTAATATTCTTTTATTGCAAGAAATAATGGAAGTAATTTCATGTGGGCAGGGATATATGTAATAAGGGTTATAAGTTTAGAAAATGATCATCTTAAATACATTGTCTTTCTTTTCATTTTGCAGTTTAGTGCTTAGTATCTAGTTACTTGATTTGAAATGTAGCTGTATCATGTGGATTAACTGCTGTTTTTCTAGCTATATCAGCTAGGTGATTTCGCTGAATGTTTCCTTAAAATGCCAGATTTAGCAGTTATAACCCAGAAAACTCCTTCTACTGTTTTCCAAAATTTACTTTATGTTTTCGTGAGGAGTTATTTCTCAGATGACTTTACATATATTAGTGAATCTTTGATGAAACAGTAGTTAAAGTTACGAGCGTGAGCCACCACACCCGGCCTAAAGTTGTAGTTCTTAACCACTATCACATCGTCATTTGTTTCTCTGTTTAATATTAAAATTGCCATTTATAATGTATTTTTCTTTAAGTGCAAATAGTGTATCTGACCTATTATCAATCATGTTTATACTTTTATTAGGTGGACCACACAGGAGAATATGGAAATCTGGTGACTATACAGTCATTTAAAGCAGAATTTCGCTTAGCAGGAGGTGTAAATTTACCAAAAATAATAGATTGTGTAGGTTCCGATGGCAAGGAGAGGAGACAGCTTGTTAAGGTGAGCCTTCCCTTCTCTGGCTTAGCCCTTAGAGTTTTAGTGATGAAAATTTTTAGTTCATATTTTCTTTCTGCTTTATTTGGGATTTTGTCTTTATTTTGAATACTTACAAATGAGGAAGATTTGTAGAGTAGAAATGCATTATTTTCTAGAACCAGGCTTTTCTCCATTTTTTTTGTGTCTCTGAAAGACAATCATTATTATATGGTTGATTCAAGTAAAAGAATACCATTAACATGTACAGACATGTACAGTGAGGTTGCTTCTTATGAAAAAAAATACTTTGGTGTCTGTCTCTTATTTCCTTGAATAGTGCAAGTTGACGTCCTTTGCATCAGTATACCGGGTCTCGTACTGTGCCAAGTGCTATTTAATGTACCAAAAAGGGAGAGCATTCTTCCCTTACCATTTGCTGACGAGCTCTTTGGGTCCTACTGGGGAGTGGTGGAAAGACACAGTGCTGTTTTACTCAGGTGTTTGCAGTATGCCTTCCTAGGGGGGACTTCCAGTTAATCTAATTACAGAAGTAGCGAGGGGAAACTTTCTAAATCAGTGTAAATGTTGTAGCTTATTCTAAATGAAAGAATGGCAGTAGGTATTTAATTATTTGGGAGACTGTCAAGAGGTGCACAGATGCTCAGATTGGTTTGAGTGCCCTTTGCTATTCTCAGATGACTCTGTGTTTTTATAATAAAATAAACTGTACTTGTTTATTCATGCTTAATTATTCTGAAGGGCCGTGATGACCTGAGACAAGATGCTGTCATGCAACAGGTCTTCCAGATGTGTAATACATTACTGCAGAGAAACACGGAAACTAGGAAGAGGAAATTAACTATCTGTACTTATAAGGTAACTATTTGTACTTCTGTTAGTTCACCAAAAACATATAAAAGATGCCATTTGGTTGGGTGAAGTGGCTCATGCCCATATTCATAATGCTTTGGGAGGCCAAGGTGGGAGGATTGCTTGAGGCCAGGAGTTCGAGACCAGCCTCAGCAACATAGTGAGACCCCATCTTGACAAAAAGTTAAAAAAAAAAAAAAAGCCAGAGATGATGGCATGTGCTTGTAGTCCCTTAGCTACATGGGAGGCTGAGGTGGGAGGATCACTTGAGTCCAGGAGTTTGAGGCTGCAGTGAGCTCAAACTCTGCAGTGAGCCCCAGTCCAGCCTGAGCAACACAGCAAGATCCCGTTTAAAAAAGAAGAAGAAGAAGAAGATGCCATTATTTGGACCAGGAGTCTACAAATGTTTTCTGTGAAGGACCAAATAATAAAGATTTATTTTCTTTGTAAAAAGTATTTATTAATGTTAATTATAGTTAGGTGTTTCTTATAGTCAACTGAAGTATTTTTTCCTTTTTTTTCTACTCAACAATATGTCACAGAAATCTTTCTCATTTTTTAACAGCTGCATTGTGTGTATGTATGTAGTTTTTTATACAAGTCCTTATCGATGGGCATTTGTGTTGTTTTCAGTCTTTTGCTGCTACAAACAACGCTGTATTGTAGTGAATAACCTTGAACATACAAATTTCATACATGCGCAGGCAAATTTGTAGCATGGATTTCCAAAAGTTGGATTGCTGGGTTAGAGGATACATGCATCTGTAATCTGGTACATATTGCCAAATTACTCTCAATGGGAGTGTACCCACTTACATTTCCTCTAGCTATTTGCCTGAGAAGACAATCCTCAGTCACATTCTATGAGCTGATCATCTTTGACTCTTATATTAATTATTCATTTAACCAGTTTAGAAATAACAATAAATCCTTATTTTGAAGGGCCTATTTTCCATAGGTTTGTCTTTTGTGATTTCATTCCTGTACCTCATTTTTAAACTTTCTCCTTCTATAAATGTTGTAACAGGGACTATGGGTGACATGTGCTTTTTTATATATTTCTAGTTTTCCACTATGAACGTGTTTTATTTTTAAAATAATGGCTAAATTAAAAGCCCTAAATAGGGGAGTGAAGAAGAATAAATTAGATCTACCCTCCAAAATGCTGCTTGAGTTAGGCTATTGTAATAAAAAGCAGAACTTGGTTTTGAGCTTCTTAACTGCTTTCAGAGACTAAATATAAAACTTATTGGTTGGGAGAGGGGCATACTGTTCATTAAGGAAAGCACAATTTTTTCCGTAGCCTTCAAGTTTGTGAGAAATTTGTGACATGGAACCTTCTGCAATAATAACTAACATAATAGATGTTTTCCATTAGCAGTTTAAAAAGCTAATTAATCCTCGATGAATGCAAAAAGCAAAAGTTGCTCTATAAAGGCTACTCTGTAGAGGGATTTCTTTGATGTGGTTAAGATCATTGGTACTCAAGCTTTAGCAGACATCATAGTCACTTAGAGAGTTTGTTAAAAACACAGATTTCTGATCCCCATTCTTAGAATTTCTAATTCAGCAAGATTAGGGTAGAACCTGTGAATGTGCGTTTCTAGCAAGATACCAGTTATGTTGATGCTGCACTGGTCCAGGGACAACACTTTGAGACCCACCAGTCTACTTGTTCTACCATCTATTGACCTGACTTCATTTTAGAACAAAGTTGATGATCTATTAGCTATCTCCTATCTGACAGATAATGTAGAGATTGCTAAGAAGTTTTTAGAGACTAGATATTCTGTAATGTGAATGAAAGGAAATTGTTTATGCTCTAAATACCAAACTTTTAGATGACAAAGATAATAGGTGAAGAATTGGGTTACAAAAGTATGGGCTATAGGAGCACCTCCTGAACTCTCAGAAAGTAGCTAAGATTTCCAAGCAGATACACAATTGAACCTCCAAAGTTCATTGCTGTAAAGCACAAAAAAGCAAATGCCTGACCTAGAATATCTTGAAAGCAGAAATTACTGAACTTTCATCTCTACCTTATGACTTTTTCAACAGCTAGTTTTCACACAAAACTATTTTACCATATAAGTTATTCCATTAAGATTTCTAGCCGGGCATGGTGGCCCACGCCTGTAATCCCAGTACTTCAGGAGGCCGAGGTGGGCGGATCACTTGAGGCCAGGAGTTTGAGACCAGCCTGGCCAACATGGCCAAACCCCATCTCTACTAAAAATACAAAAAAATTAGCCAGGCGTGGTGGCACATGCCTCTAGTCTCAGCTACTTGGGAGGCTGAGGTGAGAGAATCACTTAAACCCGGATGGCAGAGGTTGCAGTTGAGCCGAGATCACACCACTGCACTCCAGCCTGGGTGACAGACCGAGACTTCTTCTCAAAAAAGGAAAAATGTCTAGAGGCCAGATGCAGTGGCTCATGCCTGTAATCTCAGCACTTTGAGAGGCCAAGGCAGGAGGATCACTTGAGGCCAGGAGTTTGAAACCAACCTGGGCAACACAGCAAGACCTCATCTCTACAAAAAATTAAAAATTTAGCCAGGCATGATGGCATGCACCTATAGTCCCAGCTACTCAAGAAGCTAAAGCGTGAGGATTGCTTGAAATCAGGAGTTTGGGGCTGTGCATGAGCTGTGATCATGCCACTGCAGTCCAGTCTGGACAACAGAGCAAGAACTTGTCTTAAAAAAAAAAAAGTGGGGTTGGGGGGTAACCCAGATAATTAATTATTTAATGTTATACATCTCAATATTAAAGTAAAACCTGTAAACACAACAGTTTAGGTTTGACTATTTCTTAGAATTACGACAATAAGCCAGTAATGTTATTTTGAGATTACTCCAAGAATGTGAAAGTTGTGTCATCATTATGTTAAACTAAGTGTTCTTGCCTTTAGTTAAGGTTCCCTAGACTACAGCGAAGTAGTCTACCCAGTCCAGTCATCTGTAGAGTCATTCCCAATCCTGAGATTCAGGTCTTCTGTGGTCATTGTGTCAACAAGAGCATACATTGACTACCTGGAACTAGATCTTGGTATACAAACCTTGTGTCATTGTGCAACCTCAAAAGGAGAGACTTGTATATTGAGGCATGCCAGATATCTCTTGTCAGAGAGAATCAGATGGAAATGAAGACAGTTCTTATTGTGTATGTTGATAGCTCAGACATAGCCCTTAACATTAACCAGAATTAGGGTGGCTGGCCCCATTTTTCTCCACCAAAACTATGCATTGTTACAAAGTATACTGAACAAGTCTAAAATCTTAGGTGTCAGAGGATTTGTTTTCTAAAAGGCAAGTCTCTAATAAACAATATTTAAGTGCTGAAAGGAGCTTTGCACTTAACCTGATCATCCTGCCTTGTGCCAATAAATAATTTTTATTCCTTGTCATGCATATTTCAGAGCATCTATCTCAGTCATGGTTCTGGGGAGAGAAGCCATAATATCTTAAGACATTCACTGAATATAATGAATTAACTTCATTTCTGTGTATCTAGGATGATATCAGCTGTGTACTTTCAGAGAACTGAGAAAATAGTCATCAGTCCTTTTTTGTGGTATTCACACAAAATACCCAGATACCCAGTTGAAATCTTCCAGAGAGTCTTTAGTACCAGAGAAAACACTGTCATTTGCTTTTTGAAATTCAAATTCAGCTCTTTCTCCAACAACCAACATCACAGTTGAGACTCTAAGCTGAGGTAGAAAAAAGCCAACCCATTCCTTTCTGTATCAATCTCTCAACAAAAAATAAGGGTTTGATTCCCCCTCCCCGCCCCAGAGCTAGATATTGATAGAGAGTAATCAATGTAAAAGAGACTTTAGACAGAGTACACTACACTGCAAGAATGTTAATGTGATCAAGCATCAGGGGTCACAGCTAACTCAAAGACAGCAGGGGAGAGGGCATGTAGAATACTTATTAGGCAGGAAGGGAAATCAGAAAGGCCATGAGATCATTCATTTGTTTATTCAATAAATGTGAATTTATATACCTACGTTGGGTTAGATACTCTACTGAGTGCTAGGTCTATAGAAGTAGTAAAACATTGCCCTAGTCCTTAAGGTGTTCACATTCTAATAGGGAAAATAAACATAATAAACATAATTATAATGCAAAGTGTATTGTTAGAGATGGTACCACCTTCACTTGGTTGCTCAGACTGAAACCTAGAGGCTTTATTTTCTTTTTACTTTTATTATTATGGAAAATTTCAAACATACAAAAGGAGACAATAACATCATGAACCCCCTTGTACTTGTCACTCAGTTTCAGCAGTTACCAACTCATGGACAATTTTGTTCCATTTCTCTTTCCACCAACTTCCTTCCAATATTATTTTAAAGCAAGATGTCATATCATTTCATCTGTAAACATTTCAGTGTGTAGATCTGTAAGATAATGTCTGTTTTAAAAAACCATTCTCACAATACTGTCATCACTCCTAAAACAATTCACAAAAATTCCTAAATGTCACCAAGTAATGGGAGTCATTTTAAACTCTTGTTTCTCTCTTCTCAAGTCTTGTCTATTCCATCAGCAAGTCCTATTGGTCAACTTCCAGGCAGGTCACTTTACCACCCCTGCTATTACCACCCTACTTCTGCAGTCACATCTCTGTAGATACTAGAGTTTAAACCAACAGTTTACTTCTGCTCTTGGTTTTCCAAAGCTAGTTTTATTAATAACTGTTAGAGTGATCCTTTTAAAATTGTCTAAGACAGAGTACTCTTATTCGGTATCTGTGGGGGATTGTTTCCAGAGCCCCCTGTGGATACTAAAATCAAGTCCCTTATATACAGTGGTGTATGAAGCATTTGCCTATAACCTATGAACCTCCTCCCATGTACTGTAAATCATCTCTGGGTTACTTAAAATACCTTATATAGTGTAAATGCTGTGTAAATAGTTGTACTGTATTGGTTTTTAAAATTTTTATTTTTTATTGTATTGTTTTTATTGAGGTTTTTTTGGTGAATATTTTTGATCCACAGTTGGTTGAATCTGCAGCTGCAGAGGGCCAGCTGTATTCCATTTTCCTGTTCAGAACCCCACATGAGTTCACATTATCCCTGAATGACAATTCTCTAAGTTAAGTGATCTGCCTCTGCTGTTCTCCCTCCAGCCTTATCTACCACTCTCCTCACACTCCTCTCACTTTCTGCTTGTATAGATGAGTCATCTCCACCTGACTTACCTGGTCTTTTGCAATTGCTTAGACACACCAATTTGTTTCTGCCTCAGGGCTTTTCTGCTTCTGCCTGCAATGCTTTTCCCTCAGATCTTCACACCAGTCACTCCCTTACTTCATTCAGGCTTCTGCTGCAGTGTTACCCTCAGAAAGGCCTCCGACCATGTTGCCATTACCCACTTTCTCTCTTTTTTAAACTTAAGTTTTGTTCTCTTATACTTATTATCTAATATTATGAAATGTTTATTAGGATATATGTTCCTCACCAGAATGAAACTTTATGAGGGCATAGTCTTCATCTGCCTTTTTCCCACTCTGTTCTCAGTGCCCTAGCCCTGTGTGTAACATGTAATACGCCCCCAACAAATAAATGTTAATAAATTAATCAAATGCTTCCTTAAGACACAAAACAGTTCAACATATGTGAGAAACTTAAAATTTAAAAATGTATAGAACTAAAGACACCATAAGGACGAGTGACCAGCTGAGAAAACGAATATAATAATGTTAATTAGAACAAAAAGGATCATTTTAATATAAAGAACAAGGGATTTATATGAAGAATACAATGATATTCAACTTTTCTAGTAATCTGGAAAATACAAATTAAAACCACAGTGAAATACTATTACCCTCAGATTAGCAAAATATAAAAAGCCTGACAATATTAAGTATTGCGAAAGTTATGGAATAACTCTACTGGTGGGTATATAAATCGGTACAGTCACTTTGAATAGTTATTTGGCAATATCTGGTTAACCGAGGTGAAGATGTATCTCTGGCTCAGCTGTTAAATTCCTGGGTATATACCCTAGAGCAGACTTGTCCAACCCACAGCCTGCAGGCCACATGCAGCCTACAGGATGGCTTTGAGTGCAGCCCAACACAAATTTGTAAACTTTCTTAACATTATGAGATTTTTTTTGCAGTTTTTTTTTCTTTTTTAGCTCATCAGCAATCATTAGTGTTAGTGTATTTTATGTGTGGCCCAAGGCAATTCTTCCAGTGTGGCCCAGGGAATCCAAAAGATTGGACACCCCTGCCTAGAGAAACTGAAATATGTTCACGAGTAGTTTATTTCATTGCAGCAGTATTTCATGGAAATGTGGAAACAATGTAAATGTTAATATGCAGATTGGATAACTGTTGTATTTATGTAGTATATAGCTGTTAAAATGAATGATGTAGAGTTAAATATGCTCACATAGTTAGGATAAAATAGTATTGAATAAAAAACCAAATTACAGAAATATACATATAGTATCCTAATTTTTTTACTTAATACTTACAACTATTTGTGTACATATAGCTTTGAAATAAAAATATACCAAAAAATACAAGAACATGATAAACCAGCTAACAGTCATCTTGATGGTGGGAGGGACTTAGGGTCAGTGAAGCACACAAGGGGGAGCTTCATCTCTTCCCCAGCAAATGTGAGAAAATCCTAGATTTGATAAAGCTGTTTAATGGATAAAAGGGTATCTGTTAATATCATTTTCTATACTTTATGTATGTTTATAATATAATTTTAAAAAACTTTCCTAGTAAAGTTGCTTATTTTATATTTAGGAGTACATTTTCTCTCTGTGAAGATAATAAGACTAAAGCAAGAGTACATGTAATTTCAATAATGAAGTTACACTAAAATTGAGACCACATTCATGGGTAATAATTTCCAAGTGAAACTCCCCAAATTTAATTGATACTAAAATTTTAAGGAAAGCAGTTAATTCCTCTCCTAACTGGACAAACTAAGTATGGATTAATGACAGATGACGGTGAGTATAGTTAACAGGAGTGACCTCTCAGAGAATCGTGGGGATTGAGTGATGGGCAGGCTCTCAAACATCTAGGCAGCAGGCTGGAAAATTATATTCTTTGAGCTTAAGTTTATTTCCGATTGGTTTCCTCCAAGGAGCTTTGTCTTCTATGGACAGAGAAATATTAATACAACTTGAAAAAAAATGCTTTGCACTGACTCTGATAGCTGAATGATCATCAAATGCTCTTTAATGGCCTTTTAAAATTAAAAGGTATTTAATCTGTAACTCCAGGTGGTTCCCCTCTCTCAGCGAAGTGGTGTTCTTGAATGGTGCACAGGAACTGTCCCCATTGGTGAATTTCTTGTTAACAATGAAGATGGTGCTCATAAAAGATACAGGCCAAATGATTTCAGTGCCTTTCAGTGCCAAAAGAAAATGATGGTGAGTGACACCCAAAATTAAAGGTTATTGTAAGATTATTTAATGGCTTATTAAAGCTGACAGCTGTCAGATATTATAGAATACAAAAAAACTTTAATTTCATCAGGTAATTGTCAAAGATACTAAGTAAAAGAAAAACTCATCAGAATGAAAGTGTGTGAGTGAAAAAGGAAGGATTTTAAACTACATAATATGTCAACCCTTGTCAGATAAGAAATGTAAAGGTTATTCAATGTGTGCTGATTTGTTTTCAATTTGGGATAAACTAATTCTTAGCAAACAAAACACTAAAATGCCAGGCACGATGGCATGCACCTGTAATCCCAGCTACTTGAGAGGCTGAGTCTGGGGGATCCCTTGAACCCAGGATTTTGAGGCCAGCCTGGGCAACAGAGCAAGACCCCATCTCTAAAAAACAAACACAGTAAACAACAACAACAACAAGATTATGAAGTAATTTTTTATGAAACTGATATAGAAAACCTTCTGAGACATTTACAATGTCACATTGGCCATCTAGTCTGATATTCATTCGCTGAATCAGCAACATTTATTGTATGTTTTCTGTCTACCAGGTACTGTGCTGACTTAAGACTTCACAAATATCAAATATTACGACTAATCATCATAATCCTTATCCTCATTTTAAAATGAGAAGTTCAGAGAACTTGCCCAAGGCCAGTGAGCTAATAAACAGAGCAAGGATTTGAGCCTTGTCTAAATCCAAAATCCATTTATTGTTCATTTTATTGTGCTTTCTGTGACATGTTTTTTAAAATGTGTGATAAGTGCTATAGGTGTTGTGATGGAAGTCTGTACAGGGCACACAGGGTACAGTGTAGGTATGGAGGAGGAAGTGCTTAGTTCTGCCTGGGGTGGGGAGAATAGACAGAAGTAGATCCAAGAAATGCTTCACAGAGGAAAAGGTGTGTGAGCCGAGTTTTGTAAATGAGTTGTTTTTCCAGGCAGAAGGAGCATATAAGCAAAGGAGAGGAGACATGAGCAGGAAAAGACAACATAAGCATAGGCTTAGTGTTTGAGGAAGAAAAGATGAGATTGGAGCAGTAATTGTTGGTCAAAAGATGGAGTGTTGCTTTATGAAATGCAAAGGAGTTTGCACCTTATGCTATAGGCCTCATAAGACCCTAAAGGATAGTAATATCAGACTTGCATTTTAGAAAGAAATTCCGACGGCACTGTGGGTTCTATTTTTGAGAATGCAAACTGGAGGCATGAGATGGTCTGAACTGAGATGAACAGCAGTAGGAAGGGAGAATCGTGGGTAGAGATGAGAAATATGAAGGAGGCAGAATTCATAGGATTTGATTGCTGATTAAAAATAAGGTTGGGGGGCGGGTGTGGTAGCGCATGCCTGTAATCCCAGCACTTAAGGATACCAAGGCAGGAGGATTGCTTGAGCCCAGGAGTTTAAGACCAGCCTGGGAAACATAGTGAGACCACATCTCTACAAAAAATAAAAAGTCAGCCAGGTAATGGTGGCACATGCCTGTAATCCCAGCTACTCAAGAGGCTGAGGTGAGAGGATTGCTTGAGCCCAGGGGCCAAAATTGCAGTGAGCTGTGATCACACCCCTGCACTCCAGTCCAGGTGACAGAGACCCTGTCACCCTGTCTCCAAAAAAAAAAAATGTTGGAGAAAAGGAGTAGCCAGTGCCTCCCAGTTTTCTGTTTGGGGCAGCTGGGTAGATGGTGAAGCTCTTTACTGCATTGAAGAATAGAAGAGGTGACTAAAGTTTGCCAGAGATGAAGTATTTGAATTTGGAAGTGATCCAAGTGAAGATGCTGAATGGGCAGCTTGAGAAGCACATTAAGCTAAAGCTTAATAAAGATATCTGGGCCAAACAGATTTAGAAATCATCAGCACATAGATGGAAGGGAGTTGAAGTCGGTAAGCTTTGCTTCAGGTAGTATTTTATGGCAAGAAGATGTTGGAGGATAGAGATCTGAGTCATATCAGCTGCCATCTATGAGGGATTCTTCTGTTCTTTCTCTTTTCCTGTTTTCTATTGCAACCCAATGCTGTGATGCCACCTGAGGTTATCTGGAACTACTTAGGCATTTCTGTGTTTATTTCTGCTTAAGAGTACAGGATTATTCAAATTAGAATTTAATCAAAACAAGTAACAGTCACTGTAGGTGTGCTTCCTCCCCCAACAATTAATATGGAAATCCTAAAGGGATTATCACTTGTAATTAATTGCTTCCCTGTCCAGACTGTTAGCTTCTTGTAGGTAATGTATCCTGTTCATCTTTATTGCCCCTATATCTGTCATATTTTTATATAAAAATGTGTATATTAGTTTAATTGAACACAATATTGAAAAATAATTATATATATTCTCTATTTAAAGGAGGTGCAAAAAAAGTCTTTTGAAGAGAAATATGAAGTCTTCATGGATGTTTGCCAAAATTTTCAACCAGTTTTCCGTTACTTCTGCATGGAAAAATTCTTGGATCCAGCTATTTGGTTTGAGAAGCGATTGGCTTATACGCGCAGTGTAGCTACTTCTTCTATTGGTAATCTTCTTGTACATATAGTAGATTGAGCACTTTGTTGTTTGGCAGGTTTTATTTTTGTTTGATTCAGCACTTTTTCTACATTCTGAGTTGCAGGGGGATGATAGTGATGATGTGGTTAGTAACCAACCCATCTTCATTATTAAATCATATGTTTCTTGTTCATCCTGATTCTTAGTGTCTACCTTTTTATAACTTATGCAGAAGAGAATTCTCCTACTTCAATAAATAATAAAAAGACAGGGTTTTCTTCTTTGTTTTATAGTGAATATGGCATATTTTCTCTCCTCTCAATATATTATTTTCTGAGACTTTCTTTGGAAAATAATGAAACCTGTGATAACTTATTTCCTTTAATTATTTTTGTTCTTTTGCATATAACCTCTAAATATCATCACCTAGTGATTAATACTTTTTAATAGAATTTTGTTTTCAGAATAGAAACCATGAGATATATTTAAATATTTTGTGTACAATATATATTTTGACTTTTTTTCCCTAAGAAATTAGAATAGGTAGATAGTATGGTTAACAAAATCCTAGAGTATGAGAACTAATGTAAACATTAGAGATCATCTAATCTATTTGTTGTTTTTTTTTTTTTTAACTAAAGACAACTCCCTCCATCACTTACATACTATACCCCAGGAAGGCAGGGCATGTATGTTTTGAAAGAGTTCCCAGGTAATTGTGAAACTCTCTTCTACATAGAGAATCACTAATCTGATACAACTAGTTTATAAACAAGAAAGTAGGCCTAGTTAATGACAGAGCAAGCCAGACACCCAGTCATTCTGATTCCCTACCCAGTGTGTTTTTTTGTAATGCCATGTGATTTCTCCCATTAGTGCATGTCATCATCTGTCTTAAATACAGAAATGCAGTTTTTTGGGGGGATACACACCTGGTGAAATGAATTAATGATTAATTTGTGTTAAATATAATTCATCAAGGAGAAGAAAGTTTCACTGAAGAGTGAAGAGTTTATCCATAGACTTCTCATTTTATAAGTATGTTCAATAAAAATTTGAGTACATATAATGCACAGCTTTGACCCAGGTAAATAATGGGTCTCAACTTTAGCCACAATAATTTTTTAAGTACTAATATTTTAAAATGTGTGCCTATTAGTAAAGAGAAAATTTTTTTAGCAAATCATCTAGGATTTGTAAAATGCAATATGCATTAAAATAGCTGGCAAGATTTGAGTTAAACTCAACATGGCCGGTTATGCACATCATTTAAGTAGGCTAAAAATCCTAAACTACTTAAAGATTATACCAAGTCAGTGGTCTTAATTGAAATTATGGCTATATATTAGAAAGAGATGGAATCAGTGATTTCAGATTGTTTGTTTCTTTTTTCTCCAGTTGGTTACATACTTGGACTTGGTGATAGACATGTACAGAATATCTTGATAAATGAGCAGTCAGCAGAACTTGTACATATAGATCTAGGTAAGTAATAAAATCTATGTATCTATTCTTTTTAGTAAATATTTGGTCATCATGGAATGTTGTTTGCCTACCAAGATATTACAAATATAAGAGACAGATAAATTGAAGCAGTAAATATTGGGTTTTTTTGTTTTCAGCATAAACAGTTGTCCTAGAAGAAACAGTTAACTCTGCCTGGGGTACTGAGTGAAACTTAATAGATGAGGTGTCTTTTGAGCCTGGTCTTCAAGAAAGAAAGAAAGCATAATTCAGACAGAAGATAGAGCAGATTCAAAAGAAGGAATCAGGGCTATTCCACCAAAACAAGGAGTAATTTTAAGATGTAGCATGTTGTGGGAGTGGTGAGACATTAAATGTGTCTGGAGTGAAGTAAGCCTGTAGTTGAGTCGCTTGAGAGAGAGATTGGTACTAGACTGTAAAAAGCCAGGCTAAGGAGTTTCAACTTCATTGCATTAAACTATAGGAAATAAATGAAGGACATGATAATATTTTATTTTCAGAAATATAATTTCAGGAGCACTTTGGGGAGTGGTATTGGCAGCAGGAAGAAAAATTAAGGGATATTGTAATAGTTTAGATGAGAAATGATGAAGATTTATACTAAAGTTGTAGAAACCAGAATATTGGATTTGAGGGACATTTTTGTAGTAAACTGTACCAGTGATATTAGAT
This sequence comes from Homo sapiens, assembly GCF_000001405.40. Lineage (NCBI taxonomy): Eukaryota > Metazoa > Chordata > Mammalia > Primates > Hominidae > Homo > Homo sapiens. Next base: position 108,348,038 of record NC_000011.10, read on the forward strand.
GAGGAAATAGTGGGGGAGTGGGGCCCCCAGATAACTGAAGCTTCTAACTAAGGAATATATCAAGTTTTGTAAATAGTAAGAAAGTGATGAATTTAGTTTTGCTCATTATTTTGAAGTATTAATGGAATTTCTAGGTGGAATAGACAGTTTAATATATAAGAAAGAAAGAATATATAGCTTCTATGTATATATATAGACAGTTTAATATAAAAGAAAGAGAATATATATAGCTAAGGAATATATCAAGTTTTGTAAATAATAAGAAAGTGATGAATTTAGTTTTGCTCATTATTTTGAAGTATTAATGGGATTTCTAGGTGGAATAGACAGTTTAATATATAAGAAAGAAAGAATATGTAGCTTCTATGTATATATATAGACAGTTTAATATATAAGAAAGAAAGAATATATATAGCTAAGAAATATATCAAGTTTTGTAAATAATAAGAAAGTGATGAATTTAGTTTTGCTCATTATTTTGAAGTATTAATGGGATTTCTAGGTGGAATAGACAGTTTAATATATAAGAAAGAAGTGTGAATGTAATGTAAAGAAGTGTGAATGTAATGACAAACTTCTATTAAACAGTATTAATCACTAGGTGATAATTTTTAGAGGTTATATGCAAAAGAACAAAAATAATTAAAGGAAATAAGTTATCACAGGTTTCATTATTTTCCAAAGAAATTCTCAGAAAATAATATATTGAGAGGAGAGAAAATATGCCATATTCACTATAAAACAAAGAAGAAAACCCTGTCTTTTTATTATTTATTGAAGTAGGAGAATTCTCTTCTGCATAAGTTATAAAAAGGTAGATGCTAAGAATCAGGATGAATATGAAACATATGATTTAATAATGAAGCTGGTTTGGTTACTAACCACATCATCACTATTATCCCCCTGCAACTCAGAATGTAGAAAAAGAAGTGTGAATGTAATGACGGAGATCCAGAATCTTCAGCAAATAGATTTCAGTTGAAGTCACTGGGCTGGAGGAGGTTCTGATCTCACACATCATCCGTGATAAAGAGACCTAAAGATGAAATCATAAGGGAAGTGAGCCTTGGAAAGGCTGAGCCAGAAAAAAACTGAGAAGTACTCAAAGGAAGTCAGGATCTTGGAAGGCAAGAGGGGAAAATCTTTTATGAAAGAAGTAGTGCTCAATAGTATCTGATACAGAAAGGTCAGAGAGGATGAATGCTGAAAATAGACCTTTGAATTTAACAAGTAATCAATCCTAGAGGCCTTGGAAGTCCCCTTTGGATAGAATGGAGGAAACCATACTGTAAAAAGGCAAGGACTGAATGGAAGTTAAGGATGTGTAGATTAAGAATGTGGAATCTGCCAGGCGCGGTGGATCACACCTGTAATCCCAACACTTTGGGAGGCCAAGGCAGGTGGATCACGAGGTCAGGAGATTGAGACCATCCTGGCCAACATGGTGAAACCCCATCTCTACTAAAATACAAAAAATTAGCCGGGCGAGGTGGTGGGCACCTGTAGTCCCAGCTACTTGGGAGGCTGAGGCAGGAGAATCACTTGAACCCAGGAAGCAGAGGTTGCAGTGAGCTAAGATCATGCCACTGCACTTCAGCCTGGGCGGCAGAGCAAGACTGTCTCAAAAAAAAAGAATGTGGAATCTTCCTACAAGAAGTTTAGAAGGGAAGGGAAGGATGGCAGAGAAATTTGCTGCAGGAATGAGAGACACATTTGGTCCTTGCTTTTTTAAGATAGGAGAGGTTTAAACCTGTTAGATATTGAAGATACAGGAGAAAAACAAAAGATAATTGAAATAGCAAGGGAAATCATAAAGTACGTGAGTCTGATAGCATTGGCTTTAGATTGGAGGCATGTTAGCTTTTCTGCTGAGAGAGAAGGAAAAGTGATGCCAATAGGAAAGTCTTAAGCTGGAGAGGAAGGAGTATGAGGGAATTATATTTGCTATTGTGTTTTTGCTGAGAAATAGAAAGCATGCTCATTTGCTAAGAATTGGAGGGATGGTAACTGGCCTTAAAAGAACAAATAAAATTCTAAAATTTACCATGGAAATGAGACCAAGACCTGACTAGAAAGGGATAAATAAATAAGACATGCCAAGCAGTTTAAGGGGCACTTTCAATCCTAAATTTGTAGTGGAGCCAATAGGGTTGTTGTATGATTTTCCAGCAGTCCTCAACATCCTTGGAGCTTAAGTTGTAGTTTAAAATGGGAGATGTGGTGGAGGGACAAGGGGACAAGGAGATTTGAAGCACTGATGAGAGTAATCAAACTTATTGTCTCTACCCCTGGGCTGAGTTAGGGAAAGAAGAGGGCTAATAAACTAGAAATCTCAGTCAAATTTGAAGACTGTTTAGTAAGAATAAGGGGTAGAAGGAGAAGAGGTTTTGATTAGAATGTACAATTTACAATGTCTAAGAAGCAGTTTTAGCAGACTCATTTCTGGAGTACAACCCATATGAGTGGTTCATTAAGATAGAATGAAATTGAATTCCATTAGAACAGAGACAGTCACGGATATTATATGGTTTTCCCCAGAATGAATTCTAGAGTTGGGACAGAGGGGAAGATTGTGAGCTAGGTCCATGCCAACATTCAGCGAATGTGAGAGAAAACCTTACAGGTTTACAGAGTAAACGTGAAGATGGAAGGGATTTGTTAGAGCTAGAAGGTGGGGATCTCAACAGAGGAGCCAGACTTTATCTGAGAATGAAAGGAGAGTGGTCTGGAAGATGCAAATTAGAGGTAGGAGTATGCCAACCTGAGTCCATTCAGGTCGTGCTAAAAGCATCTATAAATGAGAAGGGTAAATTGGTACAACCCCTTTGGAATATTGTTTGGCATTATCCACTAAAGCTGACTTTATGTATATCCTGTGACCCATCAATTCCACTCCAACACAAATGCATACATATGTATAAAAATGTTTATAGTAGCATTATTCATAATAGCCCCTAACTGGAAACAATCCAGATATCCATCATAGGTAGAATGGATGAACAAATTGTCGTATATTTATATTCTCTTTGTATATAATGAGATTGAATGAATAATAACACACAATATAGAAGACTCTCACAAATATAATGCTAAGTGAAAGATTCCAACATAAAAGAGTACACATGTATAATTCCATTTACATAAAATTCAAAAGCTGATAAAATTAATGTATAGTGTTAGAAATCAGGATAGTGGTGACCCTTTGAAAGAGGTGATTAGTGACTGGTAGGAGGGACTGAAAGGGGGCCTCTGGAATGCTGGTAGAGTTCTGTTAACGTGGATTTGTTCACTTTGCAGAAATCCCAGTGAGTCACACTTGGGTGATTTGTATACTATTCTGTGTATGTCTGTTTGGTTACCTGTTGCTGCATAACAAACCACCCCAAAATTTAGTAGCTTAAAATCACAATTTATTTATTATTATCTCTCATAGTCTGTTGACTGGGCTCAGCTGGACAGTTTTCACTTAGGATCTCTCATGCAGCTGCAGTTAGCATCTGGGGCTGGAGTTATCTTAAGACTCAGCTGGGCCAGAGTTCATGATTGCTTCTTCACTTACATGTCTGATGCTTCAGCACTCCCATGTGGCCTCTCTGTCCACAATAGTGTCCTGGACCTACTCAGCATCTTGGGGCTCCAAGGGGAAGGAAGTGGAAGTTAAGGGCTAGGCCTGCAACTTGCACAGTATCACTTCCATCACATTATGTCATCACATAGTCATGTCATAGGGTCCATCCTGGTTCTTCCCTGTTTCTGGGACTCCAGTAACCCTATGTTAGGCCTTTGCAATGTATCATTTATACTGTTACCTGCTAGTCTATATTTTCTAACCTTTTTTTCCTTTTTTCTGACTCACTCCTTGGTGTCAGTGGACATATCCGGGGAACCTGGACTTTCAGCCCTACTCAGCTATAGCAAGCCCTTTCCCTATTGAGTGTCAGTGGAGGCCAATTGGGGAATCTAGTCTTCTGCCCTTACCTAGCAGTAACAAGGTGGTGACTCCCAAAGGCATTAAAGGCAGAAGTTTAAGGAAGATCCTGAGTCTCGTAATAACTAAAAGGTGTAGGTGTCAATTGAAAATCATTAGGCATACCTGGAACCAGGAAAATCTCAACTTTAATGAAAAATGGCCACCTGTAGGTGCCAACACTGAGATGACAATGATGTTGGAATTATCTAAGATTTTAAAGCAGCCATCATAAAAACACTGAAGGAACAATTACAAACATGCTTGAAACAAATTAAAATATAGTAAGTCTCAGCACAGAAATAAGTAGTCTCAGTATAGAAGTAGATATAAAGGAGAACCAGATGGAAATTTTAGAACAGAAAAATATAGTAAATAAAATAAAAAATTTCAACTGCAGAATGAGGAGACAGAAGAAATTATCAGTGAATAGAAGACAGAGCCGTAGAAATTACCCAAGCTGAGCAACAGAGGAAGAAAATTAAGAGGAAACCTTCAGCATCTAGGGCTAAACAGAGTTCCTAGACTTGATACCAAAAGAACAATCTTTAAGAACTCTCAAAACTTAACAACAAAATCTACTTATAAAATGGCCATGTACTACAAATGTGTATAGCAGCTTTATTCATAATAGCCAAGAACCGGAAAAATCCAGATGTTCTACAGTGGGCAAATGCTTAAACAAACTGTGTTACATCCATGCCCTGAAATACTACTCAGCAATGAAAAGAAACAGAACTATTGATATACATAACAATTTGGATGAATCTCCAGAGAATTAGGCTGAGTGTAAAAAGCTATTCCCAAAAGGTTACATACTGTATGATTATTCCACTTCCATTTATATAACATACTTGAAATGACAAAATTATAAAAATGGAGAACAGATTAGTGGCTGCTAGAAAAATAGGGGGTCAGAGGGCTGGGTGATAGGCTATGGGAGGGAAATAGGTGCAGCCGTAAAGGGCAGTATGAAGGATCCTTATGATAGGAATATTATATATCTTGACTGCATCGATGTCAGTAGTAGTATAGTTTTGCAGGACATTACAGTTGGGGTGAAATGGGGAAAAGGCATAAGGGATGATCTTTTCTGTATGATTTCTTACAACTCGAAGTGAACATATAATTATCTCATAAAATGTCATTAATTTTTTTTTTTTGATGGAGTTTCACTCTTGTCGCCCAGGCTGGAGTGCAATGGCACGATCTCAGCTCCATGTATCCTTCACCTCCCAGGTTCAAGTGATTCTCCTGTCTCAGCCTCCCGAGTAACTGGGATTATAGGCACCTGCTACCACACCCAGCTAATTTTTGTATTTTTAGTGGAGACAAGGTTTCACCATGTTGGCCAGGCTGGTCTCTTAACTCCTGACCTCAGGTGTCAGGCCTCCTCAGCCTCAAGGTGCTGGGATTACAGGCGGGAGCCACCACACCCAGCCTAAAAATTTTTTAAATATAAATATATCATCTCCATTTTAAATTATACCAGTAGTTACTTCATTTTTAAAAATCACCCTTTAACCTAGATTTCTCTAGTTGGGTTAAGAAGTAGTTAGGTTATTTGGATTTGAGGTGGATCTCACAGACAGTGACAAAGATGAGGAAGGCAGCCAGAGCAGAAGTAAACTACTGTACATACTAGTGTTCATAGAACGTAGGTAACATGTGGTTTCTTGCCTTTGTAAAGTTCACATTCTAACTGGAAAGAAAGTAAATTAGCTGTCAAACCTCCTAACTTCACTGTATTCTTTACTTTAGGTGTTGCTTTTGAACAGGGCAAAATCCTTCCTACTCCTGAGACAGTTCCTTTTAGACTCACCAGAGATATTGTGGATGGCATGGGCATTACGGGTGTTGAAGGTGTCTTCAGAAGGTAAGTGATATGAAGTAAAGGAGGGAAATAATTTTTGATGTCAAAATTACATGGGCTGGGCATGGTTCTTTGCACCTGTAATCCCAGCTGCTCAAGAGGCTGAAGTGGGAGGATTGTTTGAGCCCAGGAGTTTGAGTCCAGCCTAGGCAATACAGCAAGACCCTGTATCTAAAAAAATACACACACACAAACACACACACACACACACACACACACACACACACACGGGTTAGAGATTTGTATAGATTATAGAATTTAGTGCTAGAATCGTATTCCAGTGCCTTATCAATACTAAGGAAAAGACCCTGGGTAAAAGCAATAATAGTTCCTCTTCCTTCCACCCACCTGGGACCTAAGCCCATGTAACATACATACTGTTATTCCAAACCTCCTCTGGAAGCATCCCACCTTTACTTTTAACACCTCTATCCTGGCTGACTCCTTCTTAATGATCCAAACTACTATTGGGTGCTCATCACTGTGCATATAGAAGAGACTACATTTTTATTTATAGGAGCTTGTGTTCTAGTATAACATTGTGCTACTAAAAAAGCTTTGCAGTTCCTTGTAGTTTTCCCAGCATAGGTCTGTGTACTCAACTTGGATTGGGGCAGATTGCAGTCAGTGTAAACTAATAATTGCCACAATAATCAAAGACTGAGAGCTGAGCCCAGTGGTGCATGCCTGTAATCAATAGTGTTGTGTTATTCTTGTAAATGCCAAGCTTGTGAAATAGTCAAATACATATTTGTATTCATTTCAAACGTCTAATGAAAGCCCACTCTGCCAAGTATTATGCTATTTTGAGATACAGATATGTAGATTATTAAGCATAGGCTCAGCATACTACACATGAGAGTATACAGATAAAGATACGTTGACAACATTGGTGTGTAACAAAATCCGTATTTATAATGTGTTTGACTCTAGATGCTGTGAGAAAACCATGGAAGTGATGAGAAACTCTCAGGAAACTCTGTTAACCATTGTAGAGGTAAAGTATTTTATAAGGAAGACTTTATTTTTTTTCTTACCAGGTAGACTGTGTATCTCATCAGGAAGTCACTGATGTGAAGAGCACTGCTTCATTTTAACATAGGGGGATGTGGCTGGGCAGCAGAAAGGAGGAGATTGTGCACTTAGCCTTTTCACACATCCAAAAATACTGGTTTAGAAATGCCTTCAGCCCCCTTGAGTTTCTTGGAATGTTAGAGCATTGTAAGTAGTCTCTAGTTTTCAATTCATAAATCAATTCTTTGACATTTAGATATTCCATATGGTATTATTATTTTCAGAATGGTTTCCATTAGGGTTTAAGAAAAATCAGAAATTTATATCTCCTTTTTCCCTGCTCAGGTTCAGAACTAATTAGTCAGACAAATGGAGATCAAATTGTCAGCATCATTACTAGAGGAACATGGCTTAGGAATGAGGGCCAGACTAGTTTACTGCTGGTGCTACCTCAGTACCTCTCTGCTGTCTTAACTTTGGGACAGCTCACCTGAATAGGGTTTGGGCCTGCAGAGCAAACACATGTAATCAGGATCACTGCCTTGTCTTGATCCAGGGCAGAAAAAAGGAAGTCAAACAAATTTCAGTGTCTGTGCTGTTAGTACCTATGCCAGTCATTCACCAATCTGGTAAGGGTATGTGAGACAAGAAATCAGGAGTGTGGCCTCCCCAGGGAAGCATGGCAGGTAGAGTGCAGTATGGGCTTGCCACTTTTCCACTACTCAGCTTTTCTTCCTTTAACCTGATTTATGTTGGACTGGCTGCATGTTAGTATTACTTTTACTGCATTTAAAAAACATTGATGCTGATCAAATTCAAACCAGGTTTCTAGAGATGGGGCAGGAATATGTGCATTTTTAAAAATCTCTCCTACTGTTCAACTAGGATATGAGAACTGTCTTAATTCATTGGCATTAACCATTAAGCCTGTGGTCAATAAGGGTGGGGCTTTATCCCTTGGAAGATGAGTAACAGTCCATCAGGGTGGTCCTGTGTGCACCTTTATGAACCGAGGCATCTTTATAGATCTCCTTTGGACTGCAGATGGTAATACAGATTTTGCTACAAGGAGTTTGCTGAAATAGGTCCCAATAATACGTTGGTAAAATTAAATCCAAGGCTGTGCTATTCCCAAGGTTAAAAATACATTCTTTTTTCTTTTACCGATTTCAAATTCTGTTCATACATGTTGTCATTTGTTACAGTTTGCCATTGGTTCTGCAGTAAGAATAAATGATAAGAAAATAAGCATGATGTGTAACATTTTAAAAAAATAATACATGGTAACATGGATGCCTCAATAATGTCGAAATTAAACTCTAAAGTTATATTATCTTGCACTTTTTCATGTAAGAAAAAGAGGGCTGGGCGCGGTGGCTCATGCCTGTAATCCCAGCACTTTGAGAGGCCGAGACAGGTGGATCACCTGAGGTCAGGAGTTCAAGACCAGTTTGGCCAACATGGTGAAACCCCGTCTCTAATAAAAATGCAAAAATTAGCTGGGCGTGATGGCGGGCACCTGTAATCCCAGCTACTCAGGAGGCTGAGGCAGGAGAATCGCTTGAACCCAGGAGGTGGAGGTTGTAGTGAGCTGAAATTGCACCATTGCCCTCCAGCCTGGGCGACAAGAGCAAGACTCTGTCTGTCTTAAAAAAAAAAAAAAAAAAAAGCCCAAACTTTTCAAATTAAAGAGTCAAAGCAGCTTAACATATTCTTTAGTATTTTACTCTACCTAGTTTCAGTCAGAAGGGATTTTTATGCTAAGGTGGATTTGGGAGTTTCTTCCAGTACTTGTATCCTACCTAACACTCACCAGAAGAAGGTAGTTCTTTTAGGGCCTCAGAAATCTTACTAGTTTAATGCCAAACTGCTTATGGACTTCACTTTTTAGAGTAGTAGGAGATCAAATGAGAGAAGTGACAGTGGCCAGATCCTTTGCCATTGTAAGGACTTTGGATTTCCTTTGAGTGAGGGTTTTGAGTCTGAAAAGTGATTTGCATCTCCACCTACAATAACTGTCACCTTTAAACACACCCTCCGGGAGGAGGAGCCAAGATGGCCGAATAGGAACAGCTCCGGTATACAGCTCCCAGCGTGAGCGATGCAGAAGACAGGTGATTTCTGCATTTCCATCTGAGGTACCAGGTTCATCTCACTAGGGAGCGCCAGACAGTGGGCGCAGGTCAGTGGGTGCACGCACTGTGCGCGAACTGAAGCAGGGCAAGGCATTGCCTCACTTGGGAAGCGCAAGGGTCAGGGAGTTCCCTTTCCTAGTCAAAGAAAGGGGTGACAGACGGCACCTGGAAAATCGGGTCACTCCCACCCGAATATTGCGCTTTTTGGACCGGCTTAAAAAACGGCGCACCACGAGATTATATCCCGCAGCTGGCTTGGAGGGTCCTACGCCCACGGAGTCTCGCTGATTGCTAGCACAGCAGTCTGAGATCAAACTGCAAGGTGGCAGCGAGGCTGGGGGAGGGGCGCCCGCCATTGCCCAGGCTTGATTAGGTAAACAAAGCAGCCGGGAAGCTCGAACTGGGTGGAACCCACCACAGCTCAAGGAGACCTGCCTGCCTCTGTAGGCTCCACCTCTGGGGGCAGGGCACAGACAAACAAAAAGACAGCAGTAACCTCTGCAGACTTAAATGTCCCTGTCTGACAGCTTTGAAGAGAGTAGTGGTTCTCCCAGCACGCAGCTGGAGATCGGACAACAGGCAGACTGCCTCCTCAAGTGGGTTCCTGACCCCTGACCCCCGAGCAGCCTAACTGGGAGGCACCCCCCAGCAGGGGCACACTGACACCTCACACGGCAGGGTACTCCAACAGACCTGCAGCTGAGGGTCTTGTCTGTTAGAAGGAAAACTAACAAACAGAAAGGATATCCACACCAAAAACCCATCTGTACATCACCATCATCAAAGACCAAAAGTAGATAAAACCACAAAGATGGGGAAAAAACAGAACAGAAAAACTGGAAACTCTAAAACGCAGAGCACCTCTCCTCCTCCAAAGGAACGCAGTTCCTCACCAGCAACGGAACAAAGCTGGATGGAGAATGACTTTGACGAGCTGAGAGAAGAAGGCTTCAGACGATCAAATTACTCTGAGCTACGGGAGGACATTCAAACCAAAGGCAAATAAGTTGACAACTTTGAAAAAAATTTAGAAGAATGTATAACTAGAATAACCAATACAGAGAAGTGCTTAAAGGAGCTGATGGAGCTGAAAATCAAGGCTCGAGAACTATGTGAAGAATGCAGAAGCCTCAGGAGCCGATGCGATCAACTGGAAGAAAGGGTATCAGCGATGGAAGATGAAATGAATGAAATGAAGCGAGAAGGGAAGTTCAGAGAAAAAAGAATAAAAAGAAATGAGCAAAGCCTCCAAGAAATATGGGACTATGTGAAAAGACCAAATCTACGTCTGATTGGTGTACCTGAAAGTGATGGGGAGAATGGAACCAAGTTGGAAAACACTCTGCAGGATATTATCCAGGAGAACTTCCCCAATCTAGCAAGGCAGGCCAACGTTCAGATTCAGGAAATACAGAGAATGCCACAAAGATACTCTTTGAGAAGAGCAACTCCAAGACACATAATTGTCAGATTCACCAAAGTTGAAATGAAGGAAAAAATGTTAAGGGCAGCCAGAGAGAAAGGTCGGGTTACCCTCAAAGGGAAGCCCATCAGACTAACAGCAGATCTCTCGGCAGAAACCCTACAAGCCAGAAGAGAGTGGGGGCCAATATTCAACATTCTTAAAGAAAAGAATTTTCAACCCAGAATTTCATATCCAGCCAAACTAAGCTTCATCAGTGAAGTAGAAATAAAATACTTTACAGACAAGCAAATGCTGAGAGATTTTGTCACCACCAGGCCTACCCTAAAAGAGCTCCTGAAGGAAGCACTAAACATGGAAAGGAACAACCGGTACCAGCCACTGCAAAATCATGCCAAAATGTAAAGACCATCGAGACTAGGAAGAAACTGCATCAACTAACGAACAAAATCACCAGCTAACATCATAATGACAGGATCAAACTCCCACATAACAAAATTAACTTTAAATGTATATGGACTAAATGCTCCAATTAAAAGACACAGACTGGCAAATTGGATAAAGAGTCAAGACCCATCAGTGTGCTGTATTCAGGAAACCCATCTCACGTGCAGAGACACACATAGGCTCAAAATAAAAGGATGGAGGAAGATCTACCAAGCAAATGGAAAACAAAAAAAGGCAGGGGTTGCAATCCTAGTCTCTGATAAAACAGACTTTAAACCAACAAAGATCAAAAGAAACAAAGAAGGCCATTACATAATGGTAAAGGGATCAATTCAACAAGAAGAGCTAACTATCCTAAATATATATGCACCCAATACAGGAGCACCCAGATTCATAAAGCAAGTCCTGAGTGACCTACAAAGAGACTTAGAATCCCACACATTAATAATGGGAGACTTTAACACCCCACTGTCAACATTAGACAGATCAACGAGATAAAAAGTCAACAAGGATACCCAGGAATTGAACTCAGCTCTGCACCAAGCGGACCTAATAGACATCTACAGAACTCTCCACCCCAAATCAACAGAATATACATTTTTTTCAGCACCACACCACACCTATTCCAAAATTGACCCCATAGTTGGAAGTAAAGCTCTCCTCAGCAAATGTAAAAGAACAGAGATTATAACAAACTATCTCTCAGACCACAGTGACATCAAACTAGAACTCAGGATTAAGAATCTCACTCAAAACCGCTCAACTACATGGAAACCAAACAACCTGCTCCTGAATGACTACTGGATACATAATGAAATGAAGGCAGAAATAAAGATGTTCTTTGAAACCAACGAGAACAAAGACACAACGTACCAGAATCTCTGGGACACATTCAAAGCAGTGTGTAGAGGGAAATTTATAGCACTAAATGCCCACAAGAGAAAGCAGGAAAGATCCAAAACTGACACCCTAACATCACAATTAAAAGAGCTAGAAAAGGAAGAGCAAACACATTCAAAAGTTAGCAGAAGGCAAGAAATAACTAAAATCAGAGCAGAACTGAAGGAAATAGAGACACAAAAAACCCTTCAAAAAATTAATGAATCCAGGAGCTGGTTTTTTGAAAGGATCAACAAAATTGATAGACCGCTAGCAAGACTAATAAAGAAAAAAGAGAGAAGAATCAAATAGACACAATAAAAAATGATAAAGGGGATATCACCACCGATCCCACAGAAATACAAACTACCATCAGAGAATACTACAAACACCTCTACGCAAATAAACTAGAAAATCTAGAAGAAATGGATAAATTCCTCGACACATACACTCTCCCAAGACTAAACCAGGAAGAAGTTGAATCTCTGAATAGACCAGTAACAGGAGCTGAAATTGTGGCAATAATCAATAGTTTACCAAACAAAAAGAGTCCAGGACCAGATGGATTCACAGCTGAATTCTACCAGAGGTACAAGGAGGAACTGGTACCATTCCTTCTGAAACTATTCCAATCAATAGAAAAAGAGGGAATCCTCCCTAACTCATTTTATGAGGCCAGCATCATTCTGATACCAAAGCCGGGCAGAGACACAACCAAAAAAGAGAATTTTAGACCAATATCCTTGATGAACATTGATGCAAAAATCCTCAATAAAATACTGGCAAAACGAATCCAGCAGCACATCCAAAAGCTTATCCACCATGATCCAGTGGGCTTCATCCCTGGGATTCAAGGCTGGTTCAATATATGCAAATCAATAAATGTAATCCAGCATATAAACAGAACCAAAGACAAAAACCACATGATTATCTCAATAGATGCAGAAAAAGCCTTTGACAAAATTCAACAACCCTTCATGCTAAAAACTCTCAATAAATTAGGTATTGATGGGACGTATTTCAAAATAATAAGAGCTATCTATGACAAACCCAGAGCCAATATCATACTGAATGGGCAAAAACTGGAAGCATTCCCTTTGAAAACTGGCACAAGACAGGGATGCCCTCTCTCACCACTCCTATTCAACATAGTGTTGGAAGTTCTGGCCAGGGCAATCAGGCAGGAGAAGGAAATAAAGGGTATTCAATTAGGAAAAGAGGAAGTCAAATTGTCCCTGTTTGCAGATGACATGATTGTATATCTAGAAAACCCCACTGTCTCAGCCCAAAATCTCCTTAAGCTGATAAGCAACTTCAGCAAAGTCTCAGGATACAAAATCAATGTACAAAAATCACAAGCATTCTTTTACACCAACAACAGACAAACAGAGAGCCAAATCATGAGTGAACTCCCATTCACAATTGCTTCAAAGAGAATAAAATACCTAGGAATCCAACTTACAAGGGATGTGAAGGACCTCTTCAAGGAGAACTACAAACCACTGCTCAAGGAAATAAAAGAGGATACAAACAAATGGAAGAACATTCCATGCTCATGGGTAGGAAGAATCAATATTGTGAAAATGGCCATACTGCCCAAGGTAATTTACAGATTCAATGGCATCCCCATCAAGCTACCAATGACTTTCTTTACAGAATTGGAAAAAACTACTTTAAAGTTCATATGGAACCAAAAAAGAGCCCGCATCGGCAAGTCAATCCTAAGCCAAAAGAACAAAGCTGGAGGCATCACACTACCTGACTTCAAACTATACTACAAGGCTACAGTAACCAAAACAACATGGTACTGGTACCAAAACAGAGATATAGATCAATGGAACAGAACAGAGCCCTTAGAAATAACGCCGCATGTCTACAACTATCTGATCTTTGACAAACCTGAGAAAAACAAGCAATGGGGAAAGGATTCCCTATTTAATAAATGGTGCTGGGAAAACTGGCTAGCCATATGGAGAAAGCTGAAACTGGATCCCTTCCTTACACCTGATACAAAAATTAACTCAAGATGGATTAAAGACTTAAACGTTAGACCTAATACCATAAAAACCCTAGAAGAAAACCTAGGCATTACCATTCAGGACATAGGCATGGGCAAGGACTTCATGTCCAAAACACCAAAAGCAATGGCAACAAAAGCCAAAATTGACAAATGGGATCTAATTAAACTAAAGAGCTTCTGCACAGCAAAAGAAACTACCATCAGAGTGAACAGGCAACCTACAAAATGGGAGAAAATTTTCGCAACCTACTCATCTGACAAAGGGCTAATATCCAGAATCTACAATGAACTCAAACAAATTTACAAGAAAAAAACAAACAACCCCATCAAAAAGTGGGTGAAGGACATGAACAGACACTTCTCAAAAGAAGACATTTATGCAGCCAAAAAACACATGAAAAAATGCTCATCATCACTGGCCATCAGAGAAATGCAAATCAAAACCACAATGAGATACCATCTCACACCAGTTAGAATGGCAGTCATTAAAAAGTCAGGAAACAACAGGTGCTGGAGAGGATGTGGAGAAATAGGAACCCTTTTACACTGTTGGTGGGACTGTAAACTAGTTCAACCATTGTGGAAGTCAGTGTGGCGATTCCTCAGGGATCTAGAATTAGAAATACCATTTGACCCAGCCATCCCATTACTGGGTATATAACCAAAGGACTATAAATCATGCTGCTATAAAGACACATGCACACGTATGTTTATTGCGGCATTATTCACAATAGCAAAGACTTGGAACCAACCCAAATGTCCAACAATGATAGACTGGATTAAGAAAATGTAGCACATATACACCATGGAATACTATGCAGCCATAAAAAATGATGAGTTCATGTCCTTTGTAGGGACATGGATGAAATTGGAAATCATCATTCTCAGTAAACTATCGCAAGAACAAAAAACCAAACACCGCATATTCTCACTCATAGGTGGGAATTGAACAATGAGAACACATGGACACAGGAAGGGGAATATCACACTCTGGGGACTGTGGTGGGGTGGGGGGCGGGGGGAGGGATAGCATTGGGAGATATACCTAATGCTAGATGACGAGTTAGTGGGTGCAGCGCACCAGCATGGCATATGTATACATATGTAACTAACCTGCACAATGTGCACATGTACCCTAAAACATAAAAGTATAATTTAAAAAAAACTAAAAAAACAAACAACAAAACAAACAAACAAAAAAAACACACCCTCCAATGCTTTGTGTATTTTACACTCATCTACCTAATCTTCCCTCCGTAAATCTGTCCGAATTTCCCCAAATCATTTGGTGTGATTGTTCCAATCTTCAAGAATAATTTTCCCAGTGATCTTACCACAGTAAGACCCTTTCTGCCTTCAGCTTTAGGAGGGTGCTTCTCAATTAGCATCCTGGTTCCCAGTCCTCTGGGACATCATTTCTTTCCTCTCTTGGATTCATTTCTTTTCTTCTCTTAGATTTCATTGAGGCACAGTCACTATTTCTGAACTGATCTCCCCGCTTCCTAAGCCCCTCCTTCAGAGCACTTTAACCTGGGTGTATTTCCCTTTTCTTTTCAGTGTATTTGTCTCTCCTGGCCTTCAAGATTTTATTTTCTTCCTAATGGACCATTCTCTCCTCTAAGATTTTATGTGTTATGCTAAGGAAATATATCTCTCCCTCTAACTCAGTGATGCTTAGCCAAGAGCAGTTTTGTCCCCTAGAGGACAGTTGGCAATGTCTGGAGGCATTTTTATTGTCACAATTGGGGATGGGAGATGAGGATAGTATTGGCATCTACTGGGTAGAGGCCAGGGATGCTGCTGAACACCTCAGAATGTACAAGTTAGCCCCCACAGCAAAGAAATACCCCATCCAAAATGACAATAGTGCTGAGACTGAGAAACCCTGCTCTAGCTTAATCAGTCTGTATTCCTTTACTGTTTCCAACCACTTCTGTCTTGTCAGACTGAAACATAATTTTTTACTTATTCCAGTTCCTCCTTAATTCTAATATTTGCAAGTATGATTCCTGACACAAGCCCTTGGTTTTGAAGTAATTTAGATTTTTCTTCTACTTCAACCCAAGAAAACCATCTAGTCTGTATTAGAGGCCTTCATTCCTTTTCATTAGTTCATTAATAAAATATATTAATATTTCCCTTTTGTGGGTGAAACTGGTTTGGATCTCTGAAATCTAAAGCCATGTCAGTGCCCAACTTGAAGTCACATAGGAAACCTTGAACTTAACGGACAAGCTACATGTAATCAAGCTCAGTTTCTCCACAGTATTTAATGGTCCTGGAGGACACTCAAAACAGCATTAAAAAATAGAGAGATTTTGGTTCTGCTAATCTAGTACGTGTCCTGAAACTAAATCTGCTAAAGGCATTTTATAGTCCCAACCTGCAGATTTACTGAGAAACTGTATACAGATAGCAGCAAAAAAGTGTTCCAACCTTGTAATACTGGAATGCCCTGTAGAATCATTCTTTATATTGTCTCCACTTATTACTAAGATTTGTAAGCATTTGCTAAAGCCTATTTTTTTTAAAGTTCTGTGTTTATAAATACCAGAGCAGTTAGCTGTTCTGAACTGCCAATATCAGAAATTCCTCATGAACTCACTTTCTAAAATTTACGACCTAAAGCTACTTGCTCTAGCCATGTCAGTTGTTTTGGTATCCTAATTCTACACCTAATATATATCTCAAGATTCCAAACGCAGCACCAAACCTTGGGTTTTGAGGAGGTTTCAACAAATTATACCTTTCTGGATCCACCCAGATTTAGAACTGAGAGAAAAAGAGCCATAGGAATAGGGTGGAGATCAGAATTTCAGATTTGTTACTGATAAAACTATTGGAGAAGACGGCTTAGGAGTGAGGTCCAAATAGGCTTGCTGGTGCTCTCCAGTTCCCACATCCCAATCTATACCTTGAGACAGCCTGGGCTGAGGAAGAATTGGGCCCTACAAAGCAAATACACTAACCCAGGGTTAAGAGTAGAGAGAGAAGGAAAGAAAGTGACTAACCTTTTAATAGATTAGTTTCATCCAGTCAGGAAACATGGGTCAAGGGATGTCACCCCTAACCATGGAGGAAGAATGAATTCAGAATGAAATGAGAAGCTTGGAGCATTATGCTAGGATAGTTTCCTCAAGGAAACATGAAGTGTGCATGATGTTTGTTCCCCTCCCCCATCAACTACCATGTGACTGGCTTATTTGTATGATACTGGTTCTACTGTTTCTAAGTATGTGATTAAAATGTACATTGTTCTTTTAATACATATGTTCTCTCTGTTTAGGTCCTTCTATATGATCCACTCTTTGACTGGACCATGAATCCTTTGAAAGCTTTGTATTTACAGCAGAGGCCGGAAGATGAAACTGAGCTTCACCCTACTCTGAATGCAGATGACCAAGAATGCAAACGAAATCTCAGGTGAGCAGTATTTTAAGAAGGTCCTGTTGTCAGTTTTTCAGATTTTCTTATTCCCAAGGCCTTTAAACTGTTCACCTCACTGAAACCTTTGTGTTTTTGTCCTTAGTGATATTGACCAGAGTTTCAACAAAGTAGCTGAACGTGTCTTAATGAGACTACAAGAGAAACTGAAAGGAGTGGAAGAAGGCACTGTGCTCAGTGTTGGTGGACAAGTGAATTTGCTCATACAGCAGGCCATAGACCCCAAAAATCTCAGCCGACTTTTCCCAGGATGGAAAGCTTGGGTGTGATCTTCAGTATATGAATTACCCTTTCATTCAGCCTTTAGAAATTATATTTTAGCCTTTATTTTTAACCTGCCAACATACTTTAAGTAGGGATTAATATTTAAGTGAACTATTGTGGGTTTTTTTGAATGTTGGTTTTAATACTTGATTTAATCACCACTCAAAAATGTTTTGATGGTCTTAAGGAACATCTCTGCTTTCACTCTTTAGAAATAATGGTCATTCGGGCTGGGCGCAGCGGCTCACGCCTGTAATCCCAGCACTTTGGGAGGCCGAGGTGAGCGGATCACAAGGTCAGGAGTTCGAGACCAGCCTGGCCAAGAGACCAGCCTGGCCAGTATGGTGAAACCCTGTCTCTACTAAAAATACAAAAATTAGCCGAGCATGGTGGCGGGCACCTGTAATCCCAGCTACTCGAGAGGCTGAGGCAGGAGAATCTCTTGAACCTGGGAGGTGAAGGTTGCTGTGGGCCAAAATCATGCCATTGCACTCCAGCCTGGGTGACAAGAGCGAAACTCCATCTCAAAAAAAAAAAAAAAAAAACAGAAACGTATTTGGATTTTTCCTAGTAAGATCACTCAGTGTTACTAAATAATGAAGTTGTTATGGAGAACAAATTTCAAAGACACAGTTAGTGTAGTTACTATTTTTTTAAGTGTGTATTAAAACTTCTCATTCTATTCTCTTTATCTTTTAAGCCCTTCTGTACTGTCCATGTATGTTATCTTTCTGTGATAACTTCATAGATTGCCTTCTAGTTCATGAATTCTCTTGTCAGATGTATATAATCTCTTTTACCCTATCCATTGGGCTTCTTCTTTCAGAAATTGTTTTTCATTTCTAATTATGCATCATTTTTCAGATCTCTGTTTCTTGATGTCATTTTTAATGTTTTTTTAATGTTTTTTATGTCACTAATTATTTTAAATGTCTGTACTTGATAGACACTGTAATAGTTCTATTAAATTTAGTTCCTGCTGTTTATATCTGTTGATTTTTGTATTTGATAGGCTGTTCATCCAGTTTTGTCTTTTTGAAAAGTGAGTTTATTTTCAGCAAGGCTTTATCTATGGGAATCTTGAGTGTCTGTTTATGTCATATTCCCAGGGCTGTTGCTGCACACAAGCCCATTCTTATTTTAATTTCTTGGCTTTAGGGTTTCCATACCTGAAGTGTAGCATAAATACTGATAGGAGATTTCCCAGGCCAAGGCAAACACACTTCCTCCTCATCTCCTTGTGCTAGTGGGCAGAATATTTGATTGATGCCTTTTTCACTGAGAGTATAAGCTTCCATGTGTCCCACCTTTATGGCAGGGGTGGAAGGAGGTACATTTAATTCCCACTGCCTGCCTTTGGCAAGCCCTGGGTTCTTTGCTCCCCATATAGATGTCTAAGCTAAAAGCCGTGGGTTAATGAGACTGGCAAATTGTTCCAGGACAGCTACAGCATCAGCTCACATATTCACCTCTCTGGTTTTTCATTCCCCTCATTTTTTTCTGAGACAGAGTCTTGCTCTGTCACCCAGGCTGGAGTGCAGTGGCATGATCTCAGCTCACTGAAACCTCTGCCTCCTGGGTTCAAGCAATTCTCCTGCCTCAGCCTCCCGAGTAGCTGGGACTACAGGCGTGTGCCAACACGCCCGGCTAATTTTTTGTATTTTTATTAGAGACGGAGTTTCACCGTGTTAGCCAGGATGGTCTCGATCGCTTGACCTCGTGATCCACCCTCCTCGGCCTCCCAAAGTGCTGGGATTACAGGTGTGAGCCACCGCGCCCGGCCTCATTCCCCTCATTTTTGACCGTAAGGATTTCCCCTTTCTTGTAAGTTCTGCTATGTATTTAAAAGAATGTTTTCTACATTTTATCCAGCATTTCTCTGTGTTCTGTTGGAAGGGAAGGGCTTAGGTATCTAGTTTGATACATAGGTAGAAGTGGAACATTTCTCTGTCCCCCAGCTGTCATCATATAAGATAAACATCAGATAAAAAGCCACCTGAAAGTAAAACTACTGACTCGTGTATTAGTGAGTATAATCTCTTCTCCATCCTTAGGAAAATGTTCATCCCAGCTGCGGAGATTAACAAATGGGTGATTGAGCTTTCTCCTCGTATTTGGACCTTGAAGGTTATATAAATTTTTTTCTTATGAAGAGTTGGCATTTCTTTTTATTGCCAATGGCAGGCACTCATTCATATTTGATCTCCTCACCTTCCCCTCCCCTAAAACCAATCTCCAGAACTTTTTGGACTATAAATTTCTTGGTTTGACTTCTGGAGAACTGTTCAGAATATTACTTTGCATTTCAAATTACAAACTTACCTTGGTGTATCTTTTTCTTACAAGCTGCCTAAATGAATATTTGGTATATATTGGTAGTTTTATTACTATAGTAAATCAAGGAAATGCAGTAAACTTAAAATGTCTTTAAGAAAGCCCTGAAATCTTCATGGGTGAAATTAGAAATTATCAACTAGATAATAGTATAGATAAATGAATTTGTAGCTAATTCTTGCTAGTTGTTGCATCCAGAGAGCTTTGAATAACATCATTAATCTACTCTTTAGCCTTGCATGGTATGCTATGAGGCTCCTGTTCTGTTCAAGTATTCTAATCAATGGCTTTGAAAAGTTTATCAAATTTACATACAGATCACAAGCCTAGGAGAAATAACTAATTCACAGATGACAGAATTAAGATTATAAAAGATTTTTTTTTTGTAATTTTAGTAGAGACAGGGTTGCCATTGTATTCCAGCCTTGGCGACAGAGCAAGACTCTGCCTCAAAAAAAAAAAAAAAAAGGTTTTGGCAAGCTGGAACTCTTTCTGCAAATGACTAAGATAGAAAACTGCCAAGGACAAATGAGGAGTAGTTAGATTTTGAAAATATTAATCATAGAATAGTTGTTGTATGCTAAGTCACTGACCCATATTATGTACAGCATTTCTGATCTTTACTTTGCAAGATTAGTGATACTATCCCAATACACTGCTGGAGAAATCAGAATTTGGAGAAATAAGTTGTCCAAGGCAAGAAGATAGTAAATTATAAGTACAAGTGTAATATGGACAGTATCTAACTTGAAAAGATTTCAGGCGAAAAGAATCTGGGGTTTGCCAGTCAGTTGCTCAAAAGGTCAATGAAAACCAAATAGTGAAGCTATCAGAGAAGCTAATAAATTATAGACTGCTTGAACAGTTGTGTCCAGATTAAGGGAGATAATAGCTTTCCCACCCTACTTTGTGCAGGTCATACCTCCCCAAAGTGTTTACCTAATCAGTAGGTTCACAAACTCTTGGTCATTATAGTATATGCCTAAAATGTATGCACTTAGGAATGCTAAAAATTTAAATATGGTCTAAAGCAAATAAAAGCAAAGAGGAAAAACTTTGGACAGCGTAAAGACTAGAATAGTCTTTTAAAAAGAAAGCCAGTATATTGGTTTGAAATATAGAGATGTGTCCCAATTTCAAGTATTTTAATTGCACCTTAATGAAATTATCTATTTTCTATAGATTTTAGTACTATTGAATGTATTACTTTACTGTTACCTGAATTTATTATAAAGTGTTTTTGAATAAATAATTCTAAAAGCATATACTAAGACTCATTCACTTTATTCAAATATTTGTGTGTTCTGTGTGCCAGGCATGGGACTCGTTCTAAGGAGAAAGCAGTGAGCAAGGCAGGCATAGTCTGCCTATATAAAGCTCCCAATCTGAGGAGGATAGGCAACTGACCACGCAGTGTGAACCGGGGAGCCTATTGCACAACCAGTCTGATAATGCTGCATCTCAGTCTAAATATCCTAGTAGTGTTTCTTAGTCGCCTCCTGACGAAAAGGCAAATATGAATGTTCTTTCTTTGGGCCTAGAAAGTGATCTAGTTGACATTTCTAGCCTAAAAGATCTGTACTAGAATATGACAAGTGCAAAGATCCTGGTATCCTAAATGCAAAGTTTTTTACCTGTTTATCATATTTTTAAAATAAATTCAGTCCTCTGGAGTTTTAGTCTCTTTTGCCTAGATTTTAACAAAATGCATTTTGCATAAATATAGTGGAGTCAAAGTTTCCACAAAGATTATAATGACTCAGAATTTGGTAAGTAAGGAGATCTCATAATAGACATTATCCTCTGAAAAATCCCTTTGCCATTAAAAGTACAGCATACACAGTTTTATGTACAACAGTATGTAGAAATATATACTTTCATTGTGTATGATCCAAAAGCAGTGGTTCTTAACCAGGGGTGATTTTGCTGCCTCACTTGATATTTTCAAAATAAAGTTATTGTTATTTTGATGGGAACAAAATGGTATCATGTCTCATTTTAATTTGTACCTCACTAATTACTAGGGAGATTAAATGTTTTAGTATACACTTGTTAGTCAGTATGATTTTCTCTGATGAACTGCCTGTACGTATTCTTTGCTGATATTTCTACTGATCCTTTGTTGGTTATGTAACATCTTAGCTAACATCTTTTCCAATTCTGTAGCTTGTCTCTTCATTCTCTTAATGGAGTTTTTTTGGTTGACAGACATTTTTATTAGTGTTTTCATTAAGGTTAAATCTTTCAGGTAGGGATTTTCCCTTGTTCCTAATGTCACTCAGTTAAGTTTTAGTTTTCCTTGCAGAGATCTTGTATAGTTTTACTATGTTTATTCCTAAGCACTTTGTTTTTTTAAATGTTCTTATAAAGGACATTTTTTTCATAAGTTTTTCCTAATTATTACTGTTAGAATTAAAATTAGTTTTTACATATTGATTTTTCTATCCAGTAACCACAGTAAGCTCTTTTAATTCTTTCTAGAAATATATCTGGATTCTTTTGGATTTTCTATATATATAGTCATATCATCTATGAGTAATGTTTGGATTTTCTATGTATATAATCATATCATCTATGAATAATGTCAGAAATGGAATTGTTAGATCATATTCCAATCTATACTGTTTGCTTTTTTTTTTTCCTTGCCTCATTTTACTGGCTAGGACCTCTCTTTAGCACAATCATCAGTAGAATATTGGGACATTCTAGTCCTGTGCCTCATCTCAAAGATAAAAGTGTAAGTGTTTACCTTTAAATTTACTGTTTGCTGCAGGGTTTTGTTTTGTTTTTTTTTAATGTGTGTATTTCCCTTATCAGATTAAAGAAGTTCCTTTCTGTCCCTAGGCTGCTGTGAGGTTTTATTACAGATGGTGAATTTTAGCAGTTTATCTGCATTTATTGATGATGATTATTTTCCTTGAATCTGTTAATGTAGTGAACTACACTGTTTGATTTTCTAAGGTTAAATCATCTTATACTCCTAGTATAACCTCAACTGATCCATTTTATCTATTGCTTTATTTTGCTTGCAAACGTTTTGGTTAGTGTTTCCAAGTGGGATTTCCTTTCCAGCATTTCTTGAGAAACTTTTTGTTTTCCCAAATTTTGAATCCCAAGAAAAATCAGTAATAAAATCAGGAAAATAGGAAAGATATTATAATTCTCCGGTGAGAATTAAAGCTTAGCAATCAACATAGACACATTGCTGATTTGAAGGAATCCAGCAACACAAACAGCACTGAACACTGAGACATAGTATTAAAGGTTAAGGTCAGTATTCCCATACTGGGACAGAAACATAGGAGAGAAGTGGTCATGATCTTGCTTATTAGTTCTTGCCATGATATAAGTGTGTGTTCATAGCCGGTATACTACTAATGGTGAGTCACTTAAAAACACCCACACACACACAACAAAATTTACCATCTCGTTTTTAAGTATACGGTTCAGTAGCGATAAAATACATTTCCAGTGGTGTGCAACCAACCTCCAGCACTTCTTTAACCTTACAAAACTAAAATTCTATACCCATTAAACAACTCCCCACTCCTCTATTCAACCAGCCCCTGAGAACTACTGTTCTACCTTTTGTCTCTCTGCATTTGACATTCAAGGTACTGTACCTTTTATAAGTAGAATCATGCAATATTTGTCTCTTTGTGACTAGCTTATTTCACTTAGCATAATGTCCTCAAGGTTCGTCTATGTTGTAATATATTGCAGAATTTCCTTCCTTTTTAAGGCTGAATAATATTCCATTGTGTATGTGTATATACTGTATATATTTTATTTATCCATTCATCCATCAGTGGATACTAGAGTTGTCTCTACCCTTTGACTATTGTGAATATTGTCACTATTTACATGGGTATACAAATATGTCTTCAGAACTCTTTTTTCTTTATACCCAGAAACGGAATTGTTGGATCATATAGTCATTCTATTTTTAACTTTTTAAGGAGCCACCATACTGTTTTTCCACAGTGGCCGAACCATTTTACAACTCCACCATCAGTGCACAAGGGTTGCAATTTCTCAACATCCTTATCAACACTTATTTTCTGTTTTTATGTTTTGAGTAGCAGACATAATGGGTGTGGGTGACTCTTACAAGTAGAAGCATTGTATATTTTACACAAATCCTATAAATGGTATTCTAAGTTTTAGAAACAAAAAATGTCCTTCAATTGACGGTTTCAAAACCTGATTCTGTGTATTGTTGTTAACCTTGTTAGGAGATCGTAACGTTAGGTTACTTGAAAACTACCCAAAATGTTCCCTACTGTAGTGTTTGAATATTTAATATAAACTTATAACTCTTTGTAACACTAAATTTTATTCATTCATTCATTCATTCATTCATTCATTCATTCTGAGATGGAGTCCCGCTCTGTCGCCCAGGCTGGAGTGCAGCAGCACGATCTCGGCTCACTGCAACCTCTGCCTCCCAGGTTCAAGCGATTCCCCTGCCTCAGCCTCCCAAGTAGCTGGGACTACAGGTGCCCACCACCATGTCCAGCTAATTTTTGTATTTTTCATAGAGACAGGGTTTCACCATGTTGGCCAGGCTGGTCTCAAACTCCTGACCTCAGTGATATGCCCGCCTCAGCACCCCAAAGTGCTGGGATTACAGGCGTGAGCCACTGTGCCTGGCCAATAATTCTTATTTCTTAAACAGTGTTTTTAGATTTCCATGATTATGAGAGTTGCAAAGGTTTTAAGACAGAAAAAGGAAATTAGCTGTTTGCCAGATTTATTTTAAATCATTGCAGTGTAAAGCATCATGGACAAGTGGACTTCACAGGCATTTCAAAGATGAAAAGGACAAAAACACAGAAAATAATTGTGGTAAGTCAGTGCCATCTATGAAATGATACCAATTCTACAAAAACTCTTCATAATATTAGAATAACCCATTTTATGAAGCCAGCATACTCAAAACCAGACAGAGAATTACAAGAAAGATGCCGGGCACACATCTGTAATCCCAGCACTTTGGGAGGCCAAGGTGGCAAATCACTTTTAAGTCAGGATTTTGAGACCCTGGCCAATATGGTGAAACCCCATCTCTACCAAAGATTTAAAAAAAAAAATTAGCTGGGTGTAGTGGCACATGCTTGTAATCCCAGCTACTCAGGTGGCTGAGGCACAAGAATCACTTGAACCCAAGAGGCAGAGGTTGCAGTGGGCCGAGACGTGCCACTGCACTCCAGCCTCGGTGACAGAGTGAGACTGTCTCATAAAAAAAAAAAATTAAAAGAAAGAAAACTAAAGACCAATATCCTCCATGAACATTGATGTAAAAATCCTCACAAAATATTAGCAAATCAATTCTATCAATATAAGAAAGAGGTAAATCATGACCAAATGGCATTATTCCAGATTGACTCAATCAATGTAACTAAATAAACCATATGATCATGCCAATAGTGCAGAAAAAGCTTGTGAGAAAATTCAGTACTCATTCATGATAAAACTCATCAAACTAGGAATAAAAGACATCTGACAAAGGACATCTGTGAAAAACTTACAGCTCACGTCATATTTAATGATGAAAACCTTGGTTATCTCCAAAGATCAGGAACAAGGCAAGGATGCCACTCTTACCACTTCTATCCCACATTGCACTGGAGTTCCTAGCCATGCAGTAATGTAAATAGAAAGCAATAAAAGACATACCGTTTTAAAAAGGAAGAAGTGGGAGGAGCCAAGATGGCCAAATAGGAACAGCTCCGGTCTACAGCTCCCAGTGTGAGCGACGCAGAAGACGGGTGATTTCTGCATTTCCATCTGAGATACCGGGTTCATCTCACTAGGGAGTGCCAGACAGTAGGTGCAGGACAGTGGGTGCAGCGCACCGTGCGCCAGCCGAAGCAGGGCGTGGCATCGCATCACACGGGAAGCGCAAGGGGTCCGGGAGTTCCCTTTCCTGGTCAAGGAAAGGGGTGACAGACGGCACCTGGAAAATCGGGCCACTCCCACCCGAATACTGCGCTTTTCCGACGGGCTTAGGAAACGGTGCACCAGGAAATTATATCCCGCACCTGGCTTGGAGGGTCCTACGCCCACGGAGTCTTGCTGATTGCTAGCACAGCAGTCTGAGATCAAACTGCAAGGCTGCAGCGAGGCTGGCGGAGGGGCACCCGCCATTGCCCAGGCTCGCTTAGGTAAACAAAGCAGCCGGGAAGCTCCAACTGGGTGGAGCCCACCACAGCTCAAGGAGGCCTGCCTGCCTCTGTAGGCTCAGAAACCTCTGCAGACTTAAATGTCCCTGTCTGACAGCTTTGAGGAGAGCAGTGGTTCTCCCAGCACGCAGTTTGAGATCTGAGAATGGGCAGACTGCCTCCTCAAGTAGGTCCCTGACCCCTGACCCCTGAGCAGCCTAACCGGGAGGCACCCCCCAGTGGGGCAGACTGATACCTCACATGGCCAGGTACTCCTCTGAGACAAAACTTCCAGAGGAACGATCAGACAGCAGCATTCGCGGTTCATGAAAATCCGTGGTTCTGCAGACACCGCTGCTGATACCCAGGTAAACAGGGTCTGGAGTGGACCTCTAGCAAACTCCAACAGACCTGCAGCTGAGGGTCCTGTCTGTTAGAAGGAAAACTAACAACAGAAAGGATATCCACACCAAAAACCCATCTGTACATCACCATCATCAAAGACCAAAAGTAGATAAAACCACAAAGATGGGGAAAAAACAGAGCAGAAAAACTGGAAACTCTAAAAAGGAGAGCGCCTCTCCTCCTCCAAAGGAACGCAGTTCCTTACCAGCAATGGAACAAAGCTGGATGGAGAATGACTTTGACGAGTTGAGAGAAGAAGGCTTCAGATGATCAAACTACTCCGAGCTACAGGAGGAAATTCAAACCAAAGGCAAAGAAGTTGAAAACTTTGAAAAAAATTTAGACAAATGTATAACTAGAATAACCAATACAGAGAAGTGCTTAAAGGAGCTGATGGAGCTGAAAGCCAAGGCTCGAAAACTACGTGAAGAATGCAGAAGCCTCAGGAGCTGATGCGATCAACTGGAAGAAAGGGTATCAGCAATGGAAAATGAAATGAATAAAATGAAGCGAGAAGGGAAGTTTAGAGAAAAAAGAATAAAAAGAAACGAACAAAGCCTCCAAGAAATATGGGACTATGTGAAAAGACCAAATCTACATCTGATTGGTGTACCTGAAAGTGATGGGGAGAATGGAACCAAGATGGAAAACACTCTGCAGGATATTATCCAGGAGAACTTCCCCAATCTAGCAAGGCAGGCCAACGTTCAGGTTCAGGAAATACAGAGAACGCCACAAAGATACTCCTCGAGAAGAGCAACTCCAAGACACATAATTGTCAGATTCACCAAAGTTGAAATGAAGGAAAAAATGTTAAGGGCAGCCAGAGAGAAAGGTCGGGTTACCCTCAAAGGGAAGCCCATCAGACTAACAGCGGATCTTGGCAGAAACCCTACAAGCCAGAAGAGAGTAGGGGCCAATATTCAACATTCTTAAAGAAAAGAATTTTCAACCCAGAATTTCATATCCAGCCAAACTAAGCTTCATCAGTGAAGTAGAAATAAAATACTTTACAGACAAGCAAATGCTGAGAGATTTTGTCACCACCAGGCCTGCCCTAAAAGAGCTCCTGAAGGAAGCACTAAACATGGAAAGGAACAACCAGTACCAGCCACTGCAAAATCATGCCAAAATGTAAAGACCATCAAGACTAGGAAGAAACTGCATCAACTAACGAACAAAATAACCAGCTAACATCATAATGACAGGATCAAATTCACACATAACAATATTAACTTTAAATGTATATGGACTAAATGCTCCAATTAAAAGACACAGACTGGCAAATTGGATAAAGAGTCAAGACCCGTCAGTGTGCTGTATTCAGGAAACCCATCTCACGTGCAGAGACACACATAGGCTCAAAATAAAAGGATGGAGGAAGATCTACCAAGCAAATGGAAAACAAAAAAAGGCAGGGGTTGCAATACTAGTCTCTGATAAAACAGACTTTAAACCAACAAAGATCAAAAGAAACAAAGAAGGCCATTACATAATGGTAAAGGGATCAATTCAACAAGAAGAGCTAACTATCCTACATATATATGCAACCAATACAGGAGCACCCAGATTCATAAAGCAAGTCCTGAGTGACCTACAAAGAGACTTAGACTCCCACACAATAATAATGGGAGACTTTAACACCCCACTGTCAACATTAGACAGATCAACGAGACAAAAAGTCAACAAGGATACCCAGGAATTGAACTCAGCTCTGCACCAAGCGGACCTAATAGACATCTACAGAACTCTCCACCCCAAATCAACAGAATATACATTCTTTTCAGCACCACACCTATTCCAAAATTGACCACATAGTTGGAAGTAAAGCTCTCCTCAGCAAATGTAAAAGAACAGAAATTATAACAAACTGTCTCTCAGACCACAGTGCAATCAAACTAGAACTCAGGATTAAGAATCTCACTCAAAACCGCTCAACTACATGGAAACTGAACAACCTGCTCCTGAATGGGTACAGTACATAACGAAATGAAGGCAGAAACAAAGATGTTCTTTGAAACCAACAAGAACAAAGACACAACATACCAGAATCTCTGGGACACATTCAAAGCAGTGTGTAGAGGGAAATTTATAGCACTAAATGCCCACAAGATAAAGCAGGAAAGATCCAAAATTGACACCCTAACATCACAATTAAAAGAACTAGAAAAGCAAGAGCAAACACATTCAAAAGCTAGCAGAAGGCAAGAAATAACTAAAATCAGAGCAGAACTGAAGGAAATAGAGACACAAAAAACCGTTCAAAAAATTAATGAATCCAGGAGCTGGTTTTTTGAAAGGATCAACAAAATTAATAGACCGCTAGCAAGACTAATAAAGAAAAAAGGAGAGAAGAATCAAATAGACACAATAAAAAATGATAAAGGGGATATCACCACCGATCCCACAGAAATACAAACTACCATCAGAGAATACTACAAACACCTCTATGCAAATAAACTAGAAAATCTAGAAGAAATGGATAAATTCCTCGACACATACACTCTCCCGAGACTAAACCAGGAAGAAGTTGAATCTCTGAATAGACCAATAACAGGATCTGAAATTGTGGCAATAATCAATAGCTTACCAACAAAAAAGAGTCCAGGACCAGATGGATTCACAGCCGAATTCTACCAGAGGTACAAGGAGGAACTGGTACCATTCCTTCTGAAACTATTCCAATCAATAGAAAAAGAGGGAATCCTCCCTAACTCATTTTATGAGGCCAGCATCATCCTGATACCAAAGCCGAGCAGAGACACAACCAAAAAAGAGAATGTTAGACCAATATCCTTGATGAACATTGATGCAAAAATCCTCAATAAAATACTGGCAAACTGAATCCAGCAGCACATCAAAAAGCCTATCCACCATGATCAAGTGGGCTTCATCCCTGGGATGCCAGGCTGGTTCAATGTACGCAAATCAATAAATGTAATCCAGCATATAAACAGAACCAAAGACAAAAAACACATGATTATCTCAATAGATGCAGAAAAGGCCTTGGACAAAATTCAACAACCCTTCATGCTAAAAACTCTCAATAAATTAGGTATTGATGGGACGTATCTCAAAATAATAAGAGCTATCTATGACAGTCCCACAGCCAATATCATACTGAATGGGCAAAAACTGGAAGCATTCCCTTTGAAAACTGGCACAAGACAGGGATGCCCTCTCTCACCACTCCTATTCAACATAGTGTTGGAAGTTCTGGCCAGGGCAATCAGGCAGGAGAAGGAAATAAAGGGTATTCAATTAGGAAAAGAGGAAGTCAAATTGTCCCTGTTTGCAGATGACATGATTGTATATCTAGAAAACCCCACTGTCTCAGCCCAAAATCTCCTTAAGCTGATAAGCAACTTCAGCAAAGTCTCAGGATACAAAATCAATGTACAAAAATCAGAAGCATTCTTATACACCAATAACAGACAAACAGAGAGCCAAATCATGAGTGAACTCCCATTCACAATTGCTTCAAAGAGAATAAAATACCTGGGAATCCAACTTACAAGGGATGTGAAGGACCTCTTCAAGGAGAACTACAAACCACTGCTCAACGAAATAAAAGAGGATACAAACAAATGGAAGAACATTCCATGCTCATGGATAGGAAGAATCAATATCGTGAAAATGGCCATACTGCCCAAGGTAATTTATAGATTCAATGCCATCCTCATCAAGCTACCAATGACTTTCTTCACAGAATTGGAAAAAACTACTTTAAAGTTCATATGGAACCAAAAAGGGCCCGCATCGGCAAGTCAATCCTAAGCCAAAAGAACAAAGCTGGAGGCATCACGCTACCTGACTTCAAACTATACTACAAGGCTACAGTAACCAAAACAGCATGGTACTGGTACCAAAACAGAGATATAGATCAATGGAACAGAACAGAGCCCTCAGAAATAATGCTGCATATCTACAACTATCTGATCTTTGACAAACCTGAGAAAAACAAGCAATGGGGAAAGGATTCCCTATTTAATAAATGGTGCTGGGAAAACTGGCTAGCCATATGGAGAAAGCTGAAACTGGATCCCTTCCTTACACCTTATACAAAAATTAATT
The DNA here is from genome assembly GCF_000001405.40 of Homo sapiens. Lineage (NCBI taxonomy): Eukaryota > Metazoa > Chordata > Mammalia > Primates > Hominidae > Homo > Homo sapiens. Next base: position 108,378,481 of record NC_000011.10, read on the forward strand.
CAGGATGGATTAAAGACTTAAACGTTAGACCTAAAACCATAAAAACCCTAGAAGAAAACCTAGGCATTACCATTCAGGACATAGGCATGGGCAAGGACTTCATGTCCAAAACACCAAAAGCAATGGCAACAAAAGCCAAAATTGACAAATGGGATCTAATTAAACTAAAGAGCTTCTGCACAGCAAAAGAAACTACCATCAGAGTGAACAGGCAACCTACAAAATGGGAGAAAATTTTCGCAACCTACTCATCTGACAAAGGGCTAATATCCAGAATCTACAATGAACTCAAACAAATTTACAAGAAAAAAACAACCCCATCAAAAAGTGGGTGAAGGACATGAACAGACACTTCTCAAAAGAAGACATTTATGCAGCCAAAAAACACATGAAAAAATGCTCATCATCACTGGCCATCAGAGAAATGCAAATCAAAACCACTATGAGATACATCTCACACCAGTTAGAGTGGCGATCATTAAAAAGTCAGGAAACAACAGGTGCTGGAGAGGATGTGGAGAAATAGGAACCCTTTTACACTGTTGGTGGGACTGTAAACTAGTTCAACCATTGTGGAAGTCAGTGTGGCGATTCCTCGGGGATCTAGAACTAGAAATACCATTTGACCCAGCCATCCCATTACTGGGTATATACCCAAAGGACTATAAATCATGCTGCTATAAAGACACATGCACACGTATGTTTATTGCCGCACTATTCACAATAGCAAAGACTTGGAACCAACCCAAATGTCCAAAAATGATAGACTGGATTAAGAAAATGTGGCACATATATACCATGGAATACTATGCAGCCATAAAAAATGATGGGTTCATGTCCTTTGTAGGGACATGGATGAAATTGGAAATCATCATTCTCAGTAAACTATCGCAGGACAAAAAACCAAACACCGCATATTCTCACTCACAGGTGGGAATTGAACAATGAGAACACATGGACACAGGAAGGGGAACATCACACTCTGGGGACTGTTGTGGGGTGGGGGGAGGGGCTAGGGATAGCATTAGGAGATATACCTAATGCTAAATGACGAGTTAATGGGTGCAGCACACCAGCATGGCACATGTATACATATGTAACTAATTCGCACATTGTGCACATGTACCCTAAAACTTAAAGTATAATAATAATAAAATAAAATTAAAAAAAAAAGGAAAATCCATAGCTCCTGGGTTTATTTAAGTAACCCTTACTCAGGGTTAGCCTGCTAAGGGACTTCTACACAAGGACAAATAACATTAGACTGTACCTAGAAGTTCCCTTGACAAGGTGAAGGGAGCACAGGCCAGCTGCTTTACTTTCTTACTCCTCAAGCAGGACTTGGTGATAAATGTTATATGGAATGTCTTGGAGAGTAAATAGTCATGGATATAATTTCTCAAAAAGGGGTAATATTTGACAGATTTCATGGGGGAAGTTTATTTGCTGTGAATTGTCAGATCTAGCAGGCACAGTAGATACCCATTACATGAGACATTTGGGAATTATCTCCAGCAGATTTGAAAAGCACAAGTAAGTTACACAGCAAGAGCCCTCATCTCCACGTCACCTAATTCAGTTGCCCAAATGCTTCTCTCTCAGGCCACACTGATGATACTGACTATGGTATACCTATGGTACATCACTCAAGGTAGAGACGTTCCCTACGAACTTGGGCCTTGCTCATGAATGAGTTGGCTCAAGCTAAAACTGCATTGATGCCTTACTACAGCTCCACTTAGGTATAGCCCTAAAGAACAGTGCTAAGGGAAAATCCTAGTGGGCAAAGCTTTGAGCACTATACTTGGTCATTCACTTCTTATTGAGAGAGAAGTAGCCTTAAGTAGAGATACACATGGATTCTTGGGCAGTGGCAAATTGACTCATTGGTCAGGTACTTAACTTGGAAAGGGCAAAATTAGATCAGAGACAAGGAAATCTGGGAAATGTCATAACAATTGACTTATAAGGTGTGGATCTTCACATATCACTTTTATGCTTACCAGAGAGCATCCACTACAGAAGAGACATTAAACAACCAGATGTATAAGGTGACTTTGGCACTGAGGGCCAGCCAACATGCTCTTGGCCACCCTAGTGCTTGTGCAATTAGCTCATCTACAGAAGAGTCATGATGGCATGGATGGAAGCCAAGCGCCCAAAATCATGGGCCTTTTCTCAGAAAAACTAATCTAGCTGCTTCCACTGCTGAATGACACTTGGCCTTGATATGACACCATCATTTGAAAAGACCAATCAGTTCTTTGGTGGCAACATGATTATATCAGACCCATTCTTGTTTGGACATTGCAGCAATTCATTCTTAACAGGGATTACTACTTGGTCCAGGTATGGATTTGCCTTTCTTGACTATGGTGACTCTTATCAGAACCACTATCTAAGGACCTATAAAATGCATGATTTACTATTATGGGCTTTCTGACCAAGGGACCAATTTTACAGTAAAGGAATTTAAAAAATGAGTAGAGTATATGACAATGGAAAACACTAGTCCTATCATATGCCACACAATCCAGAAACTATTAGAATGTTAAATTGGCCTGTTAAGGAGTAACCTAAGGTTCTAGCTTAAGTATGACATGCAGCTAGGTTGGAGCATTTTCCTCCAGGATGTGATATATACATTGAACCAAGGGCCATTATATGGTGCTCTGTCTAAATAACTTAAATAGTGTTATGACATATGGGTCCAAGAACCAAGGGATGGAAATTAGGTTGGCCCCTCTCACCACTACTCTCAGTGATCCCTTGGGAATTTGTGCTTCTTGTTCCTACAAGTTGAGACTCAGCAGAACTGAGTCCATGTAGCCACTGGATGCATGTATCCTCCCTGTATCCAGTGAGGGAATGGTTCCCCTGGAGGTCACAATAAGGATTCCACTGAACCTAGAACTATGATTGCTACCTGGTCATGTTTGGCTCCTCATGCTGGTAGATAAATATCTGGTTTCTCTGTCCACTAGTAGGAAAATTCTGAAGTACATTCTGTATGGTTCCTCAGAGCATTCCTAGCAAACTGAGGCCTGGATACCCACAGTAATAACCCATTCTTAACACAAAAGTTTTTTGGCTTTTCTCCCTTCCCTGTGTCACTTTCTCTAATTTCTAATTTCTCTAATTTCTAATTCTCTAATTTCTAATTCTCTAATTTCTAATTTGTGCTTTCTGGGATCATCTCCGAAATAAACTATCTGTACCAATGTCTTATGGTTTCCTTTGAAAGGAATCACTAAGATTGTTCCTTTTCTCTTTGTGTTGATTTTAAATGTATTCACAAATTCTTTGACAATCTTCCTTTTAAGAGATAGAGCTTAATTCCCCTCTCCATAAGTATAGGCTGGACTTGATGCATTTCTAATTAATAGAATAGGGCAGAAGTGATGGTGTGTGGCCTCTCAGACTAGTTCTTAAAAGGCATTGCGGCTTCCTCCTTGCTCTCTCTCTCTCTCTCTCTCAGGTTGCTTGCTCAGCCATGTTATGAGGCCACTCAAGCTATCCTATGGGGAGGTCTAAGTATCAAGGAATTGAGGCCTCCTGCCAACAACTGTTCAAGTGTACCATCTTGGAGGCAGATTCTCCAACCCAGTCAAGCTTTCAGATGACTGCAGCCCTGGCCAAAATCTTTACTGCAACCTCCTGCGAGACTTCAAGCCAGAGCCACCCAACTAAACCACTCCCAGTTTCCTAACCCTCAGAAACTGAATGAGATAATAACTGTTGCTTTAAGCTGCTATGTCTTGGGGTAATTTATTATGCAGTGATAGAAAACTAATTCACTGCTCTAACCTGGAAGAAAGGGAATGGGAATCCAAAGAGTTGTATTGCATGCAGAGTAGTGAAGGCAAATCGTAGGCCCCAAAAAAACTGAGATTAGGGGAATGATCTAGGAAGGAAAATGAAAAAAGGAAAGGGCAACATTGATGAAAGCAAGTAAAGAGAAAAATGTAAACAAGGAAAGATAACATTATAAAAGAAAGAAATAACTATGACATAAAATAGGCAGTAACTAAGTGTGAGAGAAACCGAGAATTGCAAAGACAAACTAGAATGAGTAAGCAGACAGAGAATCAAGAGGAAGAAAGAAAAAAGGTTCAGTGAAGAAAAAAATGGAGTAATGAGAGGATAAACGTGGGAGAGGGGATTTAAAGAAGCAAGGCACACTAGGATATGGGATAAAGGGACCGAGAGCTCTGCCTTCCATGAATGCACTAAATGCCTCAAGTAAACATGCAAAATAATCAGTCTGAAGCTTCTTGCACCTAAATGTAGTCTCTTTACTTAAGTGTGACTGTTAGAATACTACAGTTTCTCAGAATACTAGGAATAATTTCTATATTTGCCATGATCATTGTATTCAGTCCAGTGTTCTATTTCTGCTCAATCTTCCTTACTTAACTGAGCTAGATTCTGTGCCCAGAATATATACACAAGTTATTCCAGTCAGAATACACTATCTCTTGGCTATAACTGATGGATGGAAGGCTCAAAGGGCTATAACTCAGAATAGAAATAAAGTACTTTATAGTCCATAAGTAGAATCAGGCGTTAATCTAGTTACATTTGGTTCTTGATAAACATTTTCATAGTAAGTATCATCTGGTATTCCCATTTGCATCTTTGATATGTCTCCTCCATAGTTATATATGTTTTTCTGTGCTTGATTAAACCTGAATCCTAAAGAGAAGTGACAAATGATTAGAAAGATACCAGATATAATAAGATGCTCACTCAAAATGCTACTGTGTTGTGGTCTGTTCCACATTCCTTTTCACCATTCTTAAAGCAAATATCTTCACCTGAAACCAGAAACACCCCAAATTTCTGAGTTCATCCCACTTTCACTCCCACATATCACTGTCCATCCCTACAAAAGGCTCTGCAGGACCTGGGTTTTAGGTCTGATCTACTAATAACTAGCTGTGTAATTTGGGACAAATTATTTAACCTAAGTCTTAGTGCTCTCATCTGTAAAATGGGGATAATAACCGCACCTACCTCATCATATTCCTGCAAGAGTTAAATGTGACAGTGCATGTAAAGAACTTAGAGCATCTGGTATTTAGTTGGTGCTCTGTAACTATTAGCTAACTTCTTCATTCACAAAGGGAGAAATGCCCTTTTCCTCTCAAGAGCTCATGTTTCTCAATCTGCTCTGGATTTACCTTCTCTTGCTTCTTGAAGAAGTGACACACATTATCCTCTTCTCCAATGCCAACATCTTCAATGTATCACCTTCACTGGCTTCAGTTATGCAAATCTCCACTACTTAAAATAATTTTCACTTGCTTTTATGCTCCTTCCAACTACCATCCTATATCTTTCTTCTTTTCACAGTAATCTCTTTTAACTCAGTAACTTATATTGTTTCCTTTTTTTTTTTTTTTTTTGAGACAGGGTCTTACTCTGTTGCCCAGGCTAGAGTGCAGTGGCGCAATCGCACAGCCTCCACCTCCTGGGCTCAAACAACTCTCCCGCCTCAGCTTCCCAAGTAGCAAGGACTACAGGTGTATGCCACCATGCCCTGCTGACATTTTATTTTTTGTAGAGTGAGAGTCTCTTTATGTTGCCCAGGATAGTCTTGAACTCTTTGCCTCAAGTGATCCTCCAAACTTAGCCTCCCAAAGTGCTGGGATTACAGGCATGAGCCATTGTGCTGGGTCTCTGTGCTGATTTAAATTTGTAAAAGATGACTATCTATTGAGCAGAGAAGGGAATGGAGAAGCATTGGTTTGGAGGCTATTGCAGAAGCCTGTAGAGGGGTGAAGGCAACTTGGGCTGAGTGGGTGGCAGTGAGCTGGAAATAGGTGGATTGGTTAATGCTAAGGATGGCTCATATTAATGGAGTATGCATTATGAGATAGGCACTATTCTAAGCTCTGTGCATGATTATCTCATTATCTCACAACCTATGTGCTAGGTACTACCGTTATTCTTCTTTTACTAGTGAAGAAACCGAGCTAGTAACTTGCCCAAGATCATATAGCCAGTAAAGAGTGGAGCCAAAAATCAAACCCAGGCACTCTGAATCAAGAGTCCACAATCCT